>NC_000021.9:32714938-33024892 GCF_000001405.40 Homo sapiens | reverse complement strand
CGTCCCAGTCGCCTGCTTTCTGGAACTGCAAAGAGAAGTTTCAGGCCTGGGCAAGGCTTCTCCACGCTGTGGGCCAGACAGCGAGATGGAACCACTCGCGACCGCGTTGGGACATGTTTTACCGATTGCAGGCTGGCTCTGAAACCTGAAAACTCTTGACGATGAGGAATTAAGCCCGAACTGGAGAAGCACCTCACGGAGGTAGCTGAGGTACGGATGCATTCACCCATTTTACAGATGGGAAAAGCCAGAGACCGTGTGCAGCAAGCCTACAGAAAAAATTGCTAAGCCTTTACAGAGCAGCCCTGCTTGGACTACAGATGCTGGCGTTGGCGGTTCCTTATAGTACAGGCAGCCACCTGTCTCCCCCAGTCCCTAATCTCTTCCCCGAGCTGAATTTCTCACACCCATACATTTCGAATTCAGACATTTGTTTCTGCAGATCTCGGATGCTAGCACTTGACACTGTGAGCGCACGCGCGGGCACACACGCACACAGTCTCCTAGGGAGTGTGAGGAACGTCGGGTTACTTCCGTTGTTGGGGAACTTTTACTGTGCAAGTACGGTTTTAAAAACAAGCAAACAAATTAGCATAGTAAATAATTGGTCTTCAAGTAGCAAAGTTACAAAATAAACAAATACAAAGAGAAACCCACGTTATTGCCCCTAGTTCTGAGATATGTCTCCCTCTGCGGTCTCCGCTAGAAGCCCAGCCCGCTCTCGCCTTCGCCCCAGTCTCGTGCCTTCTGGAGCATTATTTTTCAATCCGCGTGTTTCCCAGCTGGCTCTGCAGCCATCCGTTAAATATGTATTTAAAACATGAAGAACTGAAGCGTGGTGTTATGTCGTCCAACGGTTACAAGGATGACCCATAACCGTTCAATTAGTAGAATCTGTCACTCGGACGACGCAGGGAGCGGGGGGGTGGGGATCAGAAAGGGCTCGGGCATTTGTAGATGCCTCCTTCGGGCCTACCCCGCCAACAGCAGCGAGGCCATGTGTGGTGCGCGCTGTGGGGCCACCAGTCGGGGCGCGGAGTTGTGCGCCTGCCAGTGTAGCTAATAAACACCAGCAGGCGCAACGTGCGCGCTCCTTGGTTGCAGCCGCTGAGGTTAGTCCAGCCGCCGGCACGTGTCCCGGAACCCGGTTTCTTTTTTTGTTGCTGCCCACTGGTGTCTGTCCTGCGACCGACTTGCGGCGGTGAGAGCAAGCGGTCTCAGGTTCTTTGCGCGCTCGGTCCAGTGGCTGGAGTTGGGAGTCAGGGGTGAAAGTCGAGGGGCCCGTCTTGGCATGGCGCGAGTCTAGAGCCTGGAAGGCAAAGTCGGAAGCTCTGTGCTGCTGCTGGCCCCTTCTTCACCTGGCAGGCTTCCCTCAACATCCTCCCGTCGCCGGAGTAGCTTGGGAGGTCGGGGAGGTCTGTGTCGCCCCTGGGCTCCCTTGGCCCTGGTGCCAATCGGATGCTGAGTACCTCTCGGTGTGTCTCCTATGCCTCCCCACCCCGTCCCAGGAATAACTAGAAATTAGATCCCGGTGCCCAAGCTTGCCCTGGTGCGTCCTGGAGGCGTCCCCAGGACTTGTCCGGGTCCTGCGCCCGGCGCCCGGGGTGGGCGACCTGGGCGGGTCCCAGGCACTGCGGTTCCCACCAGCGCGCGCAGCTGGGGCCCCTTCCTGGGGAATGGAGTGCTCATTTGCAGAGGCTAATGGGCCCCGGCTCCGGGAGTTCCTGGTTGGCCCCCGCGTCCTGGTGCTGTTGGCCTCCTCCGTGTTTTTCCCTCTTCTTTGTGTTTCTCTCCCACAAAAGACCGGGTGCGTGTCGGGGCCGGCCTTTGTTGGACCGCCGGGCGGCCCGGGAGGAGCCCGTGCCAAACCGGCGGGCTCTCGCGGGGCTCCAGGGCGCAGACCTCCCACTGCTTCCCGGGTCCCTCCCGGGCCTTCTTTCTGATTCTCTCCCTTCCCTTCTCCGAGTTCCTGCTCACATTCAGGCTGCGTCTCGGCCTGGCTGCCAAACAGAACGACGTTCTTGCGCAGAGCTGACCAGGGGTGGCGGCGGGAGGCAAGGCTCCCGGCACCGGAAAGCAAAGCAAAGAAAAAGGCATTGCAGCCATCGCTCCTGGTCGTGAATGACAGCGTTTGGCTACCAAACATGTGCTACATGACCCCTCAGAAGTCAGAACTCTGCAAACAAATGGCGTGTCTTTCTCACAAAACAGCTCATGGAGTCGTCCAGGGTCAGCACGGCTGGTCAGAACCGCGGCTCCCGGGACTGGTCCAGGACAGTTCACGCCGGGTGCGGAGGACAGGCCCTGGCACTTGGCAGGTGCTTGGTAAATACTGCCGAATGCACACACGTGCAGATGTGCATGCGGACTGATGTGAAACATGGTCCGTAAAATACATGTAAATGTGGGCAAAGGTGTGTTATGTGTTTTTTCGCTGTATATAATAAACTGTGAGAGCTGTAATCTGGATCTTGGGGTATATGGGCACCTTTACAATGATTGGGGTGTTGACTTCCACCTAATGACAACTGTGACCACTTGAAGGCAACCTAAATTGTGCCAGGAGTTTCAGGTGTCTTGACAGACATAGTTTAATTTAGTCTCTCACCGGCCATAGGAGGAAGGTATGACTCCCATTTTACAGACAGGAAAACTGACTCTCAGAGAGCTGTGGGCATTTGCCCAAGATCCTGCCAGCAGAGTGCCTGGAGGTGCAGGGAGGTAGGGAGTGTGGGCTCAGAGACTCAGAGATCTCCAGTTGTCCTTTCTCCATCTCAGGTTCTCATCCGTAAAATGGGTTTCTTGAAGCTACCTGTGGCTTCCAAGGTGTCTGCTGGATTTGGAGGGTGTGTAAGAATCACATGACGCCCTCCCCTTGTAATTTTTGTCTTCTGCTAACAATCTGAGTGACTGTGAGGCCGTGTGAATCCAGGATCCCCTTAGCTGGCCTGGCTTAAGCTCAGGCACCAGCAGAGGTTGGGCTCTAGGAGCATTCCAGAGGAAGGCCTGGAGCTTGCAGGAAGGGGTGCTGCCCCAGGGAAATGAAAGGACAACAAACAAAAATGCAACCTAACGAAGCCCAAACCAGCAACTGCCCCTCCCAGTCAACCCTTCTGTCAAGATCCTGCTCCCATCCTGGAAAGCTGGGCTGACAGCCACCTGGCTATCCTTGAAGTGCCCTTGAAGTTAAGCTGCCCCCCACCTTTGCAGTGAGACGATATTGGGATAGGACTGAGGGGGACACAATGAACTTTCATTGAGCTCAGCTTGCAAACAGCTATCTCAGCCAATCTTGACAGCAGCCCCTTTAGGGCTAGGAGGAAGGCAGGTTGTTCCCATTTTACAGATGAAGATACTGAAAATTGAGGTCAAGGCAGGGGTGGGCTTCAGTATCCAGCCCACCGGATCACAATTGCCTGAGGCTTCTAGGGCTTCATCCTACACCTCCCTTCCCCACACCCCCACCCCAGGAGATGCTAGACACACGCTGGCATTGACAGAGCGGTCCACCCCACTGGAAGCCACCCCCTTCGACAAGTTGTGATTAATCCTGAGAGCAGAGGATCAGGGTAAACAGGTCAGGGGTGTCTGTCTGTCTAGCTGGCAAGACCGTTTGGTTATAATGTGAACTGGGAAACCCGACTGGGCCGGGGGTTACCGGATGGGGCCCAGTGTTTCCCTGGGCCCGGAGTAGTTGCACACGTGGAGGGCATGGAACCCCTCACCGCAGGGTATGGAGTGGGATTTCCCATCACCTCCCTGGGAGCACTGGGCGGACCACCTGGTTTACTATATGGGGGGTGGGGGTGGGGGATGGTGTTTTCTTTAGAGATCTGGCCACTGTGCACATAATAAGTAGCAATATGTCTCCCTGTCGCCTGTCAGGATCAAGTCCAAGCCCTCTAACCCGGCCTACGGGGTCCCAACCTGGCCCCTGCGGGCTTTTCCTCTACCCCTCCCACACTGGGTGGGCCAGCGCTTTCCCCATCCTCCCCCCCCCACCCACCCGCCTCCAGCTCCCCCATCCCACACGCCGTTCCTCCCGTCCATCTGAGCATCTTGTCCAAGCCGTTCAGGGGTTGGCCTGGGAAGGCCCCTCCACCCCTCCTTGAGCCCCTGTAGCATCCAGAGCTCCCCCACGCAGGTCTGGTTCTCGTCTTGTGTTGTAAGGGTCTGGCTTCCTCCACAGCCGGGAAGCCTCTTCCTCCACCGCCAGGGTCTTCACAGTGCCTGGACCTGCTTTGCATTCCTGGGGCCCAGAACAGGGACAGGACCAGAAGGGCTGCACACGTTGAAGAGCTGGTGATAAGACTGTTGCCCAAAGAGTTTTACCGGAGTTTCCACACAGCGCAAAAGACAGTCACGGTGGCTTCAGTGCTACAATTTCCCCCCTAGTTAATCCAGTTTCAAAAATGCCTGAAGAGGCCCTGGACTACTCACTCACGGCCTTATGAGGCCGAGGTGACAACCCGTTCCCTCCTCCCTGCTAGCCATCAGTAATGACGCCAGGTCCCCCCAACAGACGCCCCCTCTCCAATATCTACCGCGCTTCAGGTTGCCCCGGGACTGAATGACGCCAGAGAGAGGCTCCCGGGCTCCCTGGGGGCCTGCAGGGACCCGCCTGCCCTCCCGCCTGAGCCGGGGGTCCGCGGAGCCGGAGATGGGCCGGCCACTGTCCCCGGGCTTCGGGCCTCCCCAGGCCATGGCGGGACTGCGGGACCGGGCGCGGTGATCCATGGTGCGGCGGCGCACCTGGATAGGGCGCTCCACCGCCTAGCGTCCTAGCCAGGGCTGCGGTAAAGTGCAGCTGATAAAGATTCTGCAGCCGAGCGGAGGACTCCCGAGCGGTGTCTCCCCGGCCCCGCGGGGCTGCGCAGCGCGCGCCCGGGAAAGCTTCCGCCACGTGGGCCCCGGGCTGCAGGCCAGCGCCGCAAACTCCCAGGTGTGAGGGGCCAGTGGCCCGCAGTTTGTGCCGGATGGGTTCAGCCCGCAACGCCGCTGCAGAGCTCGGGCGCCCTGCAAGGCGCGCCCGGACTCGGTTTTGAGTTTAGACAAGGGGGCGGGAAAGACAGGAGAGGAGGCTGGGCGTGCTCCCCTGCTCCCCCTTCCTCCAATATTCCCCTCCAATACATACATCTAAATTCAATCTTTGATTTTCCTTCCTTACACCCGGCTCTTGAGAACCAGGAACCTCAGGAAGGCTCCCCGCGCCCGCCCGCCTCTTTCCAGTGAGGTCCTGGGACGTGGGTGTTGGTTGGAAATAAAAGATCTCGATCCCACCCAGATCTACTGAAACAGAATCCACATAAGCCAAAGTCCCCAGGTGGTGCACCGGCACAGTGGCGTCTTCTGGGGCTCATGCTCTAGGCTTTGCTCCTCTCTCCAATGTCCTGGGGTCTTCCAGTCCCAGACACAGACCCCAGTCTGAAGCTCACAAGGGTATCTCCTGGAGATTCAGCAACCTCTCCCAAATCATATGAATAGTCGTGCCTTCAAACCCCTTGACCACCTGTGAAATAACATTCAGTAAGCATGCTGTTAAAAACATGCATGTGCATTATAAACAAAAACAAACCAAAACTTTGAAATGATACAGAAAGCAAACGTCACCATTACCATTTCAACACCTCTGCCCCTCCCAGCAAACCACTGTCAAGATTTTGATGAATGCCCTTCCAGCCTGGTTGTATACAAACTTTGTAACCTGCTTTATTTCATTTCTCAGCACCTCTTAGATGTCTTCCCATATAAAAACAAGATCCACCCAATCCCCTTTAACAGTGTAGGGCTGCACCATTCAATCCCTTTTAGACCTTCCTCTCCTTTGCCCAGGGCTCGTTCAGCCCTGAAAAACTGGCCAGAGCTGGACCCCCTGAAATCTGTTTCCACTGTGTGGATGGTTGTGCTGGGAAGACCCTGGGGTCAGGGCCCCCTCCTGACAAGAACGGAAGGCGTGCTCTCCTCCTGGGCCCTTTGGCGCTCTGCGCCCAGAGCTCGCTCTCCTTTGCAGAGTCTTTCCCTGCAGATACAGAGGGAAGAATTGGTTCCCACTTTGCCCAAAGAAGAGGCAGGTGTGTGTGGAAAGCTGAGCCCACTGGTCTTTAAGTGACTTCGTTGGCTCCAGGAAGAATGACTTTAAGGTGGGAGCAAGACATTCCTTGACTGCAGTTGTGACCAGGCAGAACTTGGGTTCTGTGACTTTGCAAAGTGTGGGAGTTTTAGACATTGATTCCTTTTTTCTTTCCCCACTTCCAACAACAACAACAACAAAAGGTCATCTGCTTCTAGGTTGAATCGAAGGCATTTGTCTAAGCAAAGAGGCCATTCTGTTTAGGCGGTGTTTACAGTTTGCACTAAGAAAGAAATAAAAAAGAAAGGGGGGTTGAGGGACGGAGGGAGAGTGGAAGGAAGGAAGGAAGGCAGGAAGGAAGGAAGGAAAGGAAGGGAGGAAGGAAAGAAGGAGGGGATGGAAGGACATCATATAAACTGAAATTCCCTTCTCTTTAAAACATGTCTTGAATAGCTGCTGTGCAGCACGTACCTGAAGTAAAACTCCAATAGTAGACAGGTTATTTGATTAAAAGTAAGTCTCCCTGGTACAACTGATCTCCTTCCCCCAGACCCCCAGAGGCAACTACTGTTACAGTTTCTTGTGTATTCTATAAATATTCTTCACAAGTACAAAGTATATTTAAAGATCTCTCTTTCTCTTCTTTTTTCACACAAATGGTGGCATGCTCTGTCCACTGTTGTTTCTGTACCTTGCTCTCTCCACTGAATAGAGAATGCTCTCTTTCTAAACCTACAAACACACACACACATACCTGCAGCCCATATTTAGAATACATAGAATACATTTTTTCCTCAGGGCAGGGTGCGGTGGCTCACGCCTGTAATCCCAGCACTTTGGGAGGCCGAGGCAGGCGAATCACCTGAGGTCAGGAGTTCAAGACCAGCCTGGCCAACATGGTGAAACCCTGTCTCTACTAAAAATACAAAAATTAGCCGGGCGTGGTGGTGGGAGCCTATAATCTCAGCTACCCAGGAGGCTGGAGCAGGAGAATCGCTTGAACCCAAGAGGCAGAGGTTGCAATGAGCCGAGGTCATGTCACTTCACTCTAGCCTGGGTGACAGAGTGAGACTGTCTCCAAAAAAAAGAATTGTTTCTCAAACATCCTCACCAGATTGGTCACAGGTGCAGGAAAAATTATTTGCCCAATCAAAACTAGGACCTTCCCACTGCCCCACCCCCCCAACCTCAAAAAAAGCTACCTGGCTCTTTATGGTGCTTTTTTTTTTTTCTTGCCTCAGTCACAGAGAAGCTAGGACAGTCTGTGCCCCAGATGATGGGAGATCAGGGTGCTTCCTGCACTGAATAAACTTCTCTAAGCTGGCCCCAGTACTTTTAGGCACTGCCTGAAATGTACAGATGGGTCCACTTTTTCCTACTGTAATTGCAAAAACAGTAGTATTTCTTCTCTCCTATTTGTAGGGCAATCAATCAGAGGGATCTAGACAGACATATTTTAAAGAATATATATAAGACCACTAGATGAAGCTAATGAGCTATTATTTTTTGTTTGATTATTTTTGAATATGTGATATATTTACATAGTTCAAAATTCAAAAACATATAATGCAAAGTTTGTTTACTACACTTGTTCCCCCAGCCACCCAGTTCTCTTGCTCAGTTACTCTTTTGTCTGTCCTTCCAGAGGTATTCTATGCAAATAGAAGCAAATGTAAACATATACACTCTGTTCCCCTTTTTATACAAATGGTAACATACTATGCACACTGTTCTCCATCTTGCTTTTATCCAGTTAGTGTCTTGGAGATGGCTTTGTAGCTGTCTGTTAAAAGTTTCTTCCTTAAAAATATTTCCATCCTTTTGTAATATGGGCATGCCATAATGTCTTTCGATGGGCCACTTGCTGTCAATAATAAACATAGGTTTAACAAAGCAGAAGGGTTTGTTCTCTCATCTAAGAGACCAGAGCATTTGTTCCCAGCAGGTCTGGCACCCATAGTGTCAGGGACCCAGGGTCCTTCTCTCTTCATTCTTGGCATCCTTCAAGAGAGAGAGCATGTCCCTCTCATTCCATTCTCATCTCCCAGCTAGCTGGAATCCCAACACATTATAGGTTTAATTGACAGCTAGTGGCCTGTCCAGCTTTTTAGTATTACAAACAATGCTCCCATGAAATACCTGGCAAATTTTCATTTGCACAGGTGTAAATATGTAGTATATCATAAGGATAAATCCCTGGAATTAGCATTACTGGGCCACATAATCTGTGCATTGTAATTTTGGTAGATGTTACCAAATTGTCACTTAACCGTTGTTGTCCCCATTTATGTTGCAGTGTATAAGAGAGACTGCCTGATGGCTAATTTAAATGCTCAACTTTTATTTTCCTGAGTCCAGGGAAAAGATGATTTCTAATTTGGATGTCAGAATAGGTGACGAGACTGACCACGGTGGCGCTACAGGGGAGAATAATAAAGTGTCACTTCCCTCCTCAAAACATCAATGCTACAAATTACAAATGATTTCAACATCTGGAACCATTTCCAATCCTTCCAAAGATTTACCAGCGACTTTTCCAAGGAGTTGAGCAAAGCAGCCCAGGTGCGTCAATGCATTATATCTGCTGAGGAATATTTATGTTTTAAGTAAATAATTCAATCGATGTTTATTGAGCTCCTTTCCTGTGCCATGAACTGTCATAGGTGCTGAGGTCCTGCAGCATCTCTGCTCTCAAACTTTATGCTCGAAGTAATTGTGATCACAATTATTACAATTTCTTTGATTCCCTCCACAGCCCTGAGAGGTGGTTAGAGTGCATGTGATTAACACAAGGGTTTCCTGGTCATATGGCGGCATGGCAAACATCGCTGATTGTTCCTCCAAATCTGTTCCACTTTCTATGTAGAAATAGGCTTTTTGGTTTGGCATGTGGCCACCTGGAATTAAAACTACATATCCCAGACTCCTTACATTTCCCAGCCTCTTTTGTGACCAAGTTCTGGCCAGTAGGAAGTAAACAGAAGTGGCATGGGCAACTTCCAGAGCTATCCTTCCAGAGACAGCATGTTCTTCTCATTCCATTCTCATCTCCCAGCTAGGCAGAACCCCAACCTCCGTGATGGTGGAGGCTGGAGGAGTCATTGAGGATCATAAGTTGGCTGTGGGGCCACATATAAAAGAGCATGAAAAGAGAAGGAACCTGGGTCGCTGATACTATGGGTGCCAGACCTGCTGGGGACCAATGCTTTGGTCTCTTAGATGAGAGAACAAACCCTTCTGCTTTGTTAAAGCCATCATGTTGGTTTTTATAATGCACTGAAACCAAATACTAACCAAAGGTAACAGACTTTTGAACTCTGAGTGGGGACTTTTGGATGTCTGGAGGGGTAACTGTCTGCTGCAGATGTCTTTGTTATATCAACTGAGTTTGAATCCTGAATGCTACTCTGGGCAGAATCATAACAAAACTCCAGGTTCACACAATATTGCAATATTAGGAGGCTATCCCTCACTTTAGAGGATGCTGTAAGGGAAGGGTGAGTGGGCATGTTCTGGTCACTCGTGAAGCCAGGCAGGAAGTGGGTGTGGTGATCAGGATTCACCCTAGGCCAACTTACGTAGCAGATGTTGTAGGTCCTGGTTGCCTCTTCACTCTTTCTTTTCGTTTTATGCTTTTGAGCGTAACAAAGACATCTGTCCAGACACATCTGCTTCAGTCCCTTTTAACCCTTTCCATGCATGCCTTTAGGCTTTGGTGTGCTTTCTCTCTCAATGGCCAACATTTTCAACTCATCTTCACAGGGCTGTGCGTGGACTCCTGGGGATACTTTGCTGACTATGGAGAGAGCTGAATGCAATGATGGTGCAAGGTTTTGTAGCTCTGGGCCAAGGCATAATTTTTACTCTAGAGATCCCTTGTGGGTTCAGTCAGAAGCCCAGTCTCTTTAGCAGGACTTTTGCCTGAGATTTCAGTCTTTCTTGGCTTCCTCTCTGGCTTAGTTTCCCCCCACACCCGCCAACTCCCTTAGCAGCCTCCACTGGAAGTATTTTTATTGATAGATCACTTAGCCACGAACCCTCATGTCAGCTTAACAGCTGTGCCAACATTTCTCTGTCATGTAACAGCCTGTATGGAGCATCCCTCAGCCCAGACAGTGGCTCCACAGTGTCTTTTTATCTTGTTGCATTGGCATCCATCCTGTGTTGCCTTTCCTCTCTTGTGCTGATGGCTGCTGTGACTCCCACCATCATGTATGCATTCCAGTCAACAGTGGGAAGAGGGGGAAGTAGAGGGCACACCACCTTCTCTTAAGGTAGGGCCCAGAGGCTGCGTGTATCACTTCTACTCACATCCCATTGGCCAGTGCTTAGTCACATGGCGACACCTAAAGCCAAGTAAGGCTGGGAAGTGTAGTCTTTAGATGCATGGCCAGGTGCCACCAATTGGAGCCCATTAGGAAATAGAATGGTAAAAATAGAGGAGAATGAATATTGGGGTAAAAACCCAGCAATCTCTGTCACACTGAGGAACCACTATCTTAAATGCTAGGAACTACGTTTTCCTACTGCTATTGATTCACTTTGGAAGTATACCTTTAGCTGCTCTGACCAAGTATACCTTTAGCTGTGAATGCCCTGAAGCAGTGGGGGATGTTTCTGGAAAAGATCTGGGAGGTCATCGTCACCTCCAGCATAGTTATTGGGTCTTGGGCCTAGGGCTGGCAGCTGAGGTTAACATGTCTCAGCGAGGGACAGCGTAGGCAGAGCTCCTAGCAGACAGCTGATGTGAAGTGGGTGGCATGGGTTGGCAGGTAGCATAACGTAAAGGGGTCAGTTCAGCAAGAGGATATAACAATTGTAAATATATATGCACCCAACACTGGAGCAACCAGGGATATAAAGTAAATATTATTAGAGATAGAGAGAGATTTCTCTCTATATATAGAGAGAGATAGACCCCAGTCAGATGTACTGGGGTCTATACCCCAGTACAACAATTGCTGGAGACTTTAACACCCTACTTTCAGCACTGGACAGATCTTCTCCTAGGAGCTGACATGGCCCATAAACTGCCCTAGGCCCCTTATACTGACAATGATTCAGGCAGGACCTGCCACCTGAGTCTCCTTTTGCGGGGATTGGGGGGGCGTTGGGGGCGGTGCAGAGCCCTTGGAGGTCCAGGGCATGGATTTGAGCAGGAGTCAGCAGGTCTTCTGATAGTGTGGGGCTTCCTTCCAGGACTGTTTTCCAAGGATTAAGAGACTTGCCCCTTGTCCTGGGTTGAATGGTGCACCCCCCTAAAAAAAATATGTGCAGATCCCCAGAACTTGTGAATGTGCCCTTGTTTGGACAACGGGTCTTTGCAGATGTCATTAAGTTAAGGATCTTGAGATGAGATCATCCTGGATTACCAGGCAGGCCCTAAATCCAATGACAAGTGTCTTTATAAGAGAAAGGCAGAGGGAGATTTGAGACAGACAGAAGATGAGAAGATGCAGCCAGGAGGAGAAGGCCAGATGGGGGCAGAGATGGAGGTGATGCAGCAGCAGGCCGAGGAATGCCTGAGGCCACCAGAGTCTGGAAGAAGCGAGGAAGGATTCTCCATTAAAGCCTTCAGAGGAAATGCGCTCCGGCCAACACCTTGCTTTTGAACTTCTGGCCTCCAGAGCTATGAGACAATAAATATCCATGTATTAAACTATGAAGTTGGTAGCAGTTTGTTATGGCAATGCTAGGAAGCGCCTCCAGAGTAAAGACTCAGCCACCAGTTGGAGGCGAGACAGCGCAGCAGACTCAGTGATGATGGAGAGGCGAGTGCCTTCAGCCTCACCTCTCTGGTGGGTTCACTCTCCTCTGCCTCCACCCCACGCTCTGCTCCTGGATTCCTCCAGTTGGGCTCAGTCAACCTGGTGCGGGGAGGAGACTGAGGCATTTGTCTCCTTGGCTTCCTCCCTGTCATGTCTACTGCAGCTTAGCTATGTCCCCAGTACTAGGTCATGGTTACTTCCAAGGCAGCCTTTTCTGCACAACTCTTTCCTCTGGGTTCTGGAAAATTCTCCCTCCCATTGTTCTTTGGGGACAGCTCTGGCTCTGCTAGCTTCTGACCCCTGTACTATCTCTTGTGGCTTCTCTACATGCTGGCTCCATTGTGGTAATGAGTCCCTTTGTCAATTAGCCCCTTTCCAAGTATCCTAACTTGGGTATGCTATTTCCTGCTGGGACCCTGACTGAGACAGTGCAGCTGGGGCTCCATCTCCCTGGTTTTATGGAGTGTGGGAGTCAGGGTAGAAGTGTAGAACTTTAGATGGTAGGTGTAAGTTTCCTGAGGGCCAGAACTCTCCAAGGGGGTGATCCACATATTCTGAACGGTGAGATGAGAGAGTGCTTTAGGGTCTCTATGTCAGGGACCAGGATCCAGCCTTCATTCTCTGAAGGGCCATGCATGCTGCCTCTGTTGAAATCTAGTATGGTGCTTTGGCACCATTGATGTCTCTTGATGTCCAGAGGCTCATCCAGAGTGAGGTATAACTTGCCTGGCAAAGCCTCCTGGAGGGCTGAAATATGGATGGACACAGAAAGGGTTCCATGGCCCCATTACCTCCCCAGAACGGGGTGTGGACAAAAGTGTTCCAAGTTGCAGAATTAGAATAAAATTCCATGAAACCCACAATGTGCATTGAAGAACATACATCCATGTTTCAATTTCAAAATAGTTCTCACTCTTCCCTGATGTCTTAGTTTGTGTTGCTATAAAGAAACACCTGAGGCTGGGTCATTTATGAAGGAAAGAGGTTTATTTGGCTCATGGTTCTGCAGGCTGTACAAGAAGTGTGGTGCCAGCATCTGCTTCTGGTGAGGGCCTCAGGAAGCTTCCAATCACGGCAAAAGGTGAAGGAGAGCAGGCATCACACAGCCAGAGAGGAAGGAAGAAGAGAGAGGAGGAGAGAGGTCCAAGCTCTTTTTTAACAATTGGTTATCATAGGAACCAATAGAGTGAGAACTCATTCATTACCGAGAAGATGGTACCAAGACATTCAATGAGGGATCTGCCCCCATGACCCATGATCTGAACACCTCCCACCAGGCTCCACCTCCAACACTGAGGATCAAATTGCAACATGAGGTTTGGTGGGAGCAAATATACAAACCATATCACCTGACAAACTACAAACAATGACTCACGGCCCCATTCAGATGCCCTGTGCTCATCAGTGTTTCTGTTGTCTGGAATGTGATGCCAAAGAAGTTGGCCCCAACTCCAGACTCAGATGACTGTCCAGCTGACTCACCAGCCTGAGAAAAGGAAACAGAAGAGGAGAACCCAGATTTGAGGCCAGGGGATGGAACATGGAGAAACACGACAAAGGAGAAGCTTAAAGCAGAACAGACAGTGGCCAAGGAGAAGTCTCTGAATTGGAAGGAGAACACCACCATTTTCTTCAAAATATTTCATTGATGAGTATTTTTCTGGTAATAGAAGTCATACATGGTCCTTGGTAGGAAATATGGAAAATACAGGATCTGATCATTGTAGAAAGCTTAGTAAATACAAGGTTTCATGGTAGTCAAGGTGAGAGATGATAAGGACCCTGTTATGGATTGAGCTGTGTTTCCCTGACCCAAATTGGTATGTTTAAGTCCTAACTCCTAGTACCTAAGAATGTGACTGTATTTGGACATAGGTCTTTAAAGATGTAATTAAATTAAAATGAGGTCATTGGGGTGGGCCCTTAATATGACTAGTGTCCTTATAAGAGGAAGAGATTAGGACACAGACACACACAGAGGGGAGACCATGTGAAGACACATGGAGAAGACGGCCATCCACAAGCCAAGGAGAGAGGCCTCAGAAGAAACCAACCCTGCTGACACCTTCATCTCAGGCTTCCAGCCTCCAGAATTGTGAGACAATACATTTCTGCTGTTTAAGCCACCCGGTCTGTGCTACTTTGTCATGGCAGCCCTAGCAGACAAATGCAGACTCCAACCTTGGGCAGTGGCAGACTCCCCTCATGGAGAAGAGGGGAGGGATGGAAGACATTTTTAGGAGGTGAAATTGGCAAACTTTGATGAATGGCTCCGTATAGACAAGTGAGGGTGCAGAGTAGTGGAGGACTTTGTTAGTTTTCTAAGCCTGAGCAGCTGGACGGATGAGGGTGCCCCATCTCATCAACTGTGATGGAGAATCCAAGAGGAAGAGTTTCTGTTTGGATGAGTTGAAGGGGAGACACAGGAGGAGCACCCAGTGGGGATGCCCGTTCTCTGGTTGATCTAGTCCAGGGCTTCAAGCCAAGGGCTGAAGGGAGGCACAAGGGCACATCAGTGCAAGCGGAAAGCATACTGCGAGTAGAGGAGGGTGGCAGAGGACAGACCCCCGGGGAGGCGCACATTTATTTTCTTGGAGAAAGGAACCATCATGTATTGTGCTGATGATCGCATTGCAGCTGTTCACATTTATTAGGTTGATTCCGAAATATTGTCTGCCTCCCCTAATTTCTCTTTCAACCCATTGTTTAAAAATTCCCAAGATAGGCACAGACAGACTACTCCCCAAATGCTAAATTGGTCAAATTAGGGGGAAGGCTGTCTCTTTAACCTACCCCTGTGATTATTTGGTACACATGGTGCTTAGCATGCTGGCTTCCAGGAGCCACCATATGGGCAGGTAAGTGCGGAGCTGGATGGTCAAACAATGGGCTGTTTTGCTTTTAGCAATACGCGTTCTTACTTTTGTGTACCCCCCCTGGCCTCCTTTCTTTAAGATTATTTTAATTGGAAAAATGCACATCAATGTGTGTTAGAAATGTGTGGGACTGGAAACAATAGTCTCTCCTAATGATGTGAATAATGTGATTTTTGTTATCATATTAATGCCAGCATATCTTGCCGGATTACTATGTATCAGGCACTATGCTGTATCATTTCTCTTAGGATATATAGTTTTCCACGAAGACATACGATCCTTAAACTCTGGAGAATACAAAATTGAAAATTAGCTTTCTGTTTAAGAGTGCAGGCTCTGGATTGAGGTTGCCTGAGTTAGAATTCTGATTTCCTCACTTATTAAACTAATGCCATTCTGAGTGAGCTACTTAACGTCTATGTCTCGGTTTCCTCATCTGTAACAGTGTCTTCCTTACAATTTATTATGAGTGTCAAATTTGATAATATGGGGAAAGCATGTAGAACAGTGCCTGGGACATAGTAAAAGCTCAACGAATTTCACTCTAAGGGCTCCCTATATATGGATATTTCAGGATTTTTTTTTTTTACATGCCTCAAGATTGTTTTTGGAAAACAAAAAAAATTAATAAGCAAGAGCTAACATGGCTATCTTTAGGCCTCAGTTGTATTAAACTACTAGGCTTAGTATTTCTCTAATACTCTATAAACTCTCCCATGCTTGTTTCACGTACATTTCCTCAGTCCATCTCTCCGCATTGAGGCTAGATCAGCTACCTGCCTGCTTCTGTTTAAAGAAATTATTTCCTTCTTTGAAAAAAGAACATGCCTATGCTGTCTCCTTACTACAAAATGTTTGGGATTCCAGCAATTTCTTTAAGTTACTTCCCAAATGAAATTGTCACCATTATCCTACTTTAAAATTCCAGTATTCAGTTCCACATTTTAAAAAGTTCTTTAAAATCTCATACCAAGTGGAAGATGCGAGTCAGTCTCCTGCCTGACATTTTATTAAGAATTAAAAATAATGAAGCCAGCAGAGATACAGAGAGAGACTAATTTAGAAACCTGGCATGATTGCTTTTAATTTGTTGACAATGTGGTGTTTGTCGGGGGAGGGAGGTGGTGGGGGAAGGACAGGGTACCGCGTGGCCAGGCTCAACCAGGCCTTGCATTAATGGGGTAACAGCTGAACTAAGTGTTCAGAGTGAACACATCAAAGACTGTAGTCTTTGAGATACCATTTTTTCTATTCTGGGATGTCAAAGGTGGTTGCAAATATATCCAGTGCTTTCTGGGTGGCATTGTTTAGGATGCTGGCCCAGCAGATGGCCCCAAATGCACCTCAGCCTGGTAAAGCAGAGACCACATGGGATGACATAGTCTTCTCATTAGCAAACAGAAAAAAAAAAAAGGCAAGGATGAGAAAGGAGAGAGATAAAAAGAATACACAAAGACATTTACATATTTACATTGTCTCCTCCACATTTCAAATTCTCCTTTAGCTGAAGTGTCAGGGGGCTTGCTTTTCTCCTTCTGTTTGTATGTTTACTTGTGCTAAATAGATTATGGTAATCAGGCACATAAATGCATGCAACTGTTATTATGGCATTTTAATCACAGAGTTTTTCACTGGAAGCCTTCATTAGAATTCTCATAATCTTACTTGTTATTGTAACAAACAGTAATAAATGCCAAGGAGCTTGGATTAAGGCAGAGGCATTCAGACTTTAAAAGAGGAATATGGAAATGTTGTCAAATCTCTGCATTACTTATTGAAATGTCACATAAACAGTTCGGGATTCTAAATATCTTACTCATTATAAGGATAGGGAACCAGGCAACCTGAAAATAGTAATTATGTCTTTCTTCTGAGCACCAACATTTGCCGTCCATACATTCCAACTAACTCTTCTGAAATAACTGGATGGTCCAATATACAGCCTGGGCCATGATGTATGATTATGATAAACTAGAGAAATTTATTATCTGATTTCATTTATTTTAGGCATGGTGGTAAGTATGTGTGAACACAAACACATATAGAAATTTACTATCTTTCAATTTTGCACAATTATTTGGCAAGCTGCTGGAAAAAACTGCAGTTCTTTTTTTGTTTTCTAGGAAGCAATATCATAGCCATGTGCTTGAGAATAAGCCACTCTTTCTGAAAATAGTATGTTCTTGCAAACAGGTCTAAGCATTGGGACATAGTAGATGACTACCCTGATCTTGCACAAGCCCACAGCTTAGATGTGACAATCTAAGTTCCGGGGGAAACTCCCTTACCGTAGTTATGTGTTGCTGTGGGATAAACTACAGCAAGACTTAGTGGCTTAAAACAAAAACAATGACTTCTTTCTCATGATTCTGGTAAAGCAGCCATGTAGAGATGACCCAACTAGAGAAACTGAGACCCGAACCAAACAGCCTCCACGGATCATCCAGTTTGCATCTTCCAGCTGTCCCAGCATCTCAGTCTGCACCAAGTTAAGCAGAACCTCTTGGTAAAGCCTCAAGTTAATTGCCGTTCTGGGGGCTACACTCTTCCCCATTTATCACTCTCTTGAAGGAATCTTTGCTTTACCCTCCAGCAATAAAAGTGCCAACCACTTCTCAGAGTTCCCTAGGACCACTTGGTGCTGGAGGAGGCTGGCTCTGCTGTGGAGAACCAGTGGAGAGTATCTTTTCCCAACTCCACATTCAGCAACTTGAAATTGGCCAGGATAGGGGCATCTCCACCATGGAAACTGGCAGGACATTTTTCCCTTGGAAACCCAGTTGTCGAACATTTCCCAGCACACCATTGCCCTGACCCCTGAAATTGCCTGGGCAACCTCACCGCACCCTCCTACTAGAGCCTCGGACTCAGTGGTTCTCAAACTCACATGTATAGAACCCACCTAAGGGACTTGCATACTTTGCAAATACTCACCCTCCTTGCCTCTCATCTTCTAGTCATAACTGGGACATGGTAGGAACTCAAGAAATGCTTCCTGAGTAAAAAAATGAACATGACTTTAAGGTGGGTAGTAGTATCATCTGCACTTTACAGATGAGGAAACCAAGGCACAAAATTGTTAAAAAAAAAAAAAAAAAGTCACCCAAGGTAGCATAGCTAGTAGGTACAGGAGTCAAGTGCAGGTCTGTCTGGCTCAGACAAATGCACATAGTGGACTGAAAGATCCCGGGCGATGGCCCTGCAGAGTCCCGGTGGCCTGGTCCCACCTAACAGTGATGGTAGGTCCTACCTACCATCGCAGCTGGCTTATCATCAGCGATCATTTTGGTGATGATTGTGCCCTTAGTGAGCTCAGGGCAGTGGACTTACACATTGTGAACTGACTACAGGACTATGCCTTAACTATGCAGCAAACACAACTATGAGACAGTATCACATGAAATTTTGGAGCATGGGTTTGGGGTCTAAAAGTCCTGGGTTCACATACCACCTAGGCACCTCAATTTCCTCATGAGCAAAAGAAGACTTATCTCTTAGGGTAGTCCATTTGTTGACTTAAAAATATTTGTGTAGCACCTACTTAGCCATGTACTGAGCTAGCTGCTGGGGCAGGCAAAACAGGCTTCATGGCCCCTGTCTTTCTGGAGGTTAAAGAAATTCTGAATAATACAAAACATGATGCATTTTCAAACTCAACCCCTGGCATGTACAAAGTGCTTGCCTTAATCAGAATTCCTAGTAGATAACCATAAGTTCTGTGGATGCAGAGGCTGCACCCATCGTGATAATTGCTGTATTTCTAGTTCCTGGCACATAATTGGTGCCCAATAAAATTTTCTTGTATAAATTAAAAAGAATTTCTTCTCTTGTAAATGACAGATGCCCAACTGAAACAGCTTAAGGAAAAGGAGGGGTTTGTTGGCGAATTGGGCTTGGCTGGTCCCGGATGCCCACTAGCTGTTGCTGGGAGTCTGACTCTGACTTGTCTCTGCTTTCCTCGATGCTGATTCTCTTCTGCCAGCAGCACAAGGCTCCCATACCACCAGCCCAGGCCTCTCAGCAGAAAGAGAATTTTCCCTTCCAAAGAGTGCCAGGGTTGACTCCTTCTGGCCCAGGGGAGGACACGTGTTTGTTCCAGACCAGTCACGAGGACCTGGTTGGCCAGGTCCAGACCGCACATCAACCCCTGGGATGGGTGGCTAGAAGTGCAGCCTCACTGGACCCAAATGCACAGAGGGTTGGGGAGGGGTGATTGCTCCTGACCCCTCCCAATTAAGGAGCTAGGACTGGCAGAGCATGGTGGCTCACACCTGTAATCCCAGCACTTTGGGAGGTCGAGGTCTCTTGAGGTCAGGAGTTCGAGACCAGCCAGGCCAACATGGTGGAACCCGGTCTCTACTAAAAATACAAAAATTAGCTGGGCTTGGTGGTGTGTCTGTAATCCCAGCTACTTGGGAGGCTGAGGTGGGAGGATCACTTGAGCCTGGGAGGCAGAGGTTGCCGTGAACTGAGATCGCGCCACTGCACTCCAGCCTGGGCAACAGAGCAGGACTTTAGTTCTAACAGTTCTGGAGCATGGGAAGTCCAACCTCAAAGTGCTGGCATATTCAGTATCTGGTGAGGGCCCATTCTTCACAAAAAGTTCCTTCTTCCTGCATCCTCACTTGATGGAAGGAGCAACCAAGCTCCCTCAGGCCCTTCTTATAAGGGCACTAATCCCATTCAAGAGGGCCCTGCCCTCATGGTCTAAACACTTCCCAAAGGCCCCATTTCTTAATACTATCCCTTGGGGATTAGCATTTCAACATACAATTTTATAGGGAGACACAAACATTTGGGCCATAGCAGTTGGTACTGTTAGGTTACCCAAAATCCACTCCCTCTGTCATTCTTGTTAATTGAGCCTCAGCTATGTTCAGGTGTTCATCCCTTAGGGACGGTGGTGACTTGAGGCCCTGCTGGGTAAACTCTGCCTCCCATTTCTCTTGTGTGTTAATGTGATTCATGTGGTGAAGTTACAGACCACGCTCATGGGGAAACCTCCAGGGACCACTGAAGAAGGTTTCCTTGCTCTTAAAAAGAGCCAAGAGCAGGAGACAGCTCCAGGTCTTTTGCTGGATGTCTCTGGGTCTCGGACTGTGCCAGTCATCTTGCTAACTGCCTGAGGATGAAGCCAGTTCACAGAGTGGGGTGACTCCACAGAGAACCTTGGAGAAAGAGAACGCAGCACTAACGTACCATGCCTGGAGTCCACCCTGCCTAGGGACTTCATGTCCGAGTGACTCCTCTTGTTGTTTAAGTCAGCTGAATGGCGTCAGGGGCTCCACTGAGCTGAGAGAGAGACCTGAGCTGTCAGGTGTCTGAGTAGCCAATTAAAGCAACAAGCCCAAAATGAGGGTTAAGCCTGTAATCACTTACAGCAATGGTACAAGCAAGAGGCTAAAACCAGAGGAAGTGCCAACTCCTCTGTCCATTTTCCCCCATGGAACAGGAACCTGTGGAGGGGCAGTGGATTCATGCAGATGTGGTCACCTCATTGTTGACAGAGACCCAAAAAAATGGCTCCGGGAGTTGTATGGACCTTGGGGATAAGGGGTAAGGGAGAAGGGCTCAGTGGGAAAAAGCACTGAGTGCTGAGCCAGAGTCACAGGGAAGCATCTTCAAGGTTTCTCCCTCCTTCCCTGTATTAGTCTGTTTTCACACTGCTGATAAAGACATACCCCAGACTGGGCAATTTATGAAAGGAAGAGGTTTAGTGTAATCACAGTTCCACGTGGCTGGGGAGGCCTCACCATCATGGTGGAAGGTAAAAGGTACATCTCCCATGGTAGCAGACAAGAGAAGAGAAACTGTGCAGGCAAACTCCTCTTTATAAAACCATCAGATCTCATGAGACTTATTAACTATCATGAGAACAGCAAAGGAAAGACCCATCTTCATGATTTAATTACCTCCACCTGGTCACTCCCACAACATATAGGAATTGTGGGGCTAAAATTCAAGAGGAGATTTGGGTGGGGACACAGCCAAACTATATCATTCCCCCATAAGGAGGCCTTGGCAGAGGTGCCTGAAGAAGACCATGGACACAGAGACCCGGGAATGAAGGTGCAGGGCTGGGAACACAGGTGCATGTAAGAGCATGGCCGGCCAGGGGCCTGATACCTTGCCCGCAGCTCCCTCCTGGGAGTGCCACTGCCCTGGCTGTGCCAGGTCTGGTGTGGAGTGGGAGTCTCCCCATAAGGCCTGCCAGGTACAGCCTTGTAGTTTCCCACAGCCAGGCCTGAAAAATCACAACTAAAAGTCAGACTCCTCAGTGGGAGGTTCTATTACTTGCCATGGAAAACATCATAACATAACAATTTGGAATCTCTTAGTAACGAGGAAAAAAAACCCAACTCAGATGGGTTTAAAAAAATAAAGGATACGTGATTTTAAAATGGACAGAGGACTTGAATACACATTTCTCCAAAGATGATATATGAATGGCCAACAAGTATCTGAAAAGATGCCCCACGTGACTAACCATGAGAGACATGTAAATCAAACCTACAATGAGATATCACCCCATACCCAGCAGGATGGCCACTATAATAAAAACCCCAGAAAATACCCAGTGTTGGCAGGGATGTGGATGTGTTCATCCGTCTCTTCACTAGCTGTTAAATGCTACTAGTGTTAGGCCCTGAGCATAGAAAAATGGTTAAGACAATAGATGTAGACAGTAGTCTACTTAGGGACATTGTCAGAAGAACAAATACAGTAACTGCTGTAATAGATATACATACACTATGTGCTGTAATTTAAAAGTACTATAATAGAAATTTTGTGTATTAATGTATTTATTTATTAAGGGTCTCACTCTGTCACCCCGGCTGGAGTGCAGTGGCACAATCATAGCTCACTGCAGCCTCCAATTCCTGGGCTCAAGCAATCCTCCTGCCTCAACCTCCCAAAGCGCTGGGATTACAGGTGTAAGCCACTGTGCCCAGCTGCTCCTGACAGTTTTATGAGAAGATCAAGCACTTTTATTCCTGCTAAGTTCCCAGTAAACCTCTCCTAACCTTCCATTGGCTGGATTCATGTTATTTTTCATTGAGCCAGTCACTGTGGCCAGTTGGATGGGATGTGCTGATTGGATTCACCAATCAGGGCCCATTCAGGAGTAGAAGGGAGAGCTCACTTTTTCAGAGGCACATGGGAAGGTAGTATAGTTAAAAGAAAATGAGATGGAGGCAACTAGAAGGGGGAATGGATGTTAGGCAGGCTACAAGATACAGTTGCCAATTACATTGTGACATATGGGTTGCTAACCTGGCATAAAGAGTTCAAATTATTGGCTGGGCACGGTGGCTCATGCCTGTAATCCAGGCACTTTGGGAGGCCGAGGGAGACAGATCACGAGGTCAGGAGTTCGAGACCAGCCTTACCAACATAGTGAAACCCCCATCTCTACTAAAAATACAAAAATTAGCCAGGCATAGTTGCGCACATCTGTAGTCCCAGCTACGCAGGAGGCTGAGGCAGGAGAATCACTTGAACCCAGGAGGCGGAGGTTGCAGTGAGCTGAGATTGTGCCACTGCACTCCAGCCTGGGCAACAGAGTGAGACTCTTTCTCAAAAAAAATAAATAAATAAAGAGATTTCAAATTATTTTAATGGGAGAGGTAGCTGCAGCTTTCCCTGTGTTTAGCCAGACTAAGAGCCTCCCCACTAAACCAATGACAGCTGAGGATATAAGATGTGTATCTCAAGGTGTCAGCCACTCCTTGGCCATAAGTCCAGACCAGTGACTAGAGGTCTGGCAGTAGGTATTAAATTTTTCCGGCCTGTGTGATGCTTCTCTTCTTCCCTGTCCTTTGTGGAGTCATAGATATGAGCTACCAGAAGACAAGTGGAGGAAAATGGCTGGAAAAACAGACAGAACCTGATATTAGCATTCTTGGTACTGAAAGACCTGGGCTCATCTTCTGTTTCTGTAATTTTCTGGCTGTGTGAGCTTTGGTAAATTTCAGAACTTTTGTGATTCAGCTTCATCTATAAAACTGGAGTAATGATGTGATGATCAAATTTGCAGGGTTGAGATAAAGATGGAATGACATCAAGGTGCTGCCCTATAGAAGTACTCAGTAAATGGGAGTTATTTTTTGGGATTAATTTATTGAGGGCTTTGTATGTACCAAGTGCTATGCTAAGTGCTAGAAATATACTATGCCATTTCATTTTCCCAACAAGTCTATGAGGTAGGCATTTTATCTACATTTTACAGTTATGAAAACTGAAGCTCAGAAAGGTTATATAACTTTTCTTTTTCTCACCCAGACAGCAAGTGGATTCGGACAAGTCTGTCTGATGCCTCGGATGGTATTTTATTTGCTACATTATACTGTCTCCTGCACTGCTGATGAAAAACGGTTGCTCAGCTGAAACCTATTAGCCCCCAAGGTGATCTGTGGATGAGTTTCAGGGAATCTCTCAGCCCCTTTATATGATATGCAGACTTCTGTGTATATATTCACTTTTCTGGAGAGAGAGTTTATAGCATTCAATAGAAAGCTGTCCCTGTTCTCCAAAAAATGGTAATTTTTAATAAGGAGAAATCACATAATATATGTAGCAGAGTTTTATTCCATTTCCATCTATCCAGCTATGCATGGGTTGGACAATGGGTAAAAACATGTAGTTAGAGAGAAGGTATAAATTCTAATGTTCAATAGCAGAGTAGGGTGACAATAGTCATATATTTCAAAGTAGCTAGAAGAGAGATCTTGGATCTATCCATCCAATAAATATTTACCCAGGGCATTCTTTTCATCAGGCACTGAACTAAATGCCAGGATTACCTTTGAAAGACAGGATTTCAAGTATGTAAACATTTGTTTTACAATAAAGAAAACTTGCATCTACTGGTGAGATATGTTTTTCTCTGATAATGACTATTATGTAAATTGTTCTATATTCCCTTTATACTTTGGTGGCCAGAAAGCTTAGACTAAAAATTCTTATATTCTTATTTTAGCTCACATTGATTCTTACTCTTTAACTCCATTTAAAAATCTACATTTATTTTTTACTATATGTATTGGCATTGTTGGCTGCCTCAAATTGTCTATGAAATGAGCTGAGAAACAAAACCAATTTATTTAAAAAAAAAAAAAAAAACCAAACAAGCACAATTAAATTTTTGTTGTCTCACTTTTTATTCCATGACTCATGGGAAGCTTTAGGAATATTCAACAATAATACTCTTCATGTATCCAGTGGAACTTATAATTATGTGAGTTTTACACTGGTTATGTATTATTAATCTCATATCAAGTGGAGGAAATAAAGCTCAGATTTTGCCCAAGGACTGATAGGAAATGGCCTTATGCTCTAACTTCAGTGTGGCACTCCTCATGCCATTCTTCCAAGAACGCACATCAAACTTCTATTTCCGGGCATTTTTGTTTGTACTTTTAAACTAAAAATAAAATACAGGCAACATTTTAGACAGTGTAGCCGACCTCTTGATTGCCTACCCAAATCCCATTCCTTTTTCTTCCTTTCTAACAAAGACCTTATTTTTTTTTGTGGTGCCATTGTGGCCATATTAAAATGTCCAACTTCCCAGACTCCCTTGCAGTTAAGGGTGGCCATGTGACCCATTCTAGCCAATGTAATGTTGGCAGAAATCCAAAGAGTAGCATCTATTCCCAGACAAAAACACAAAAGATTGAGAGGAAAAGCCTTGTGGTTCTTTTCTCTCTTCCTGCCTGCAATACGGGCATCATACACAGAGCAGCAGCAGCCATTTTTCGACTTTAGAGAAGGAAAGCCTCAAGTTAAGATTAGTAGAGCAGGAAGAGCAAGCCAGTCTGAGTCCCAGTGGACATGGCTGGTCAAGCAACCACTCTAGCCCTACACTGCTTACCTCGTGCTTTCTTGCTATGTGAGGACAATAACCCTCTTGGAGGTCTCGACCACACTGGTAAGGTTTTCTGGGTCAAACATAATCCTTACTCTTAAGGCAGCTTAAATAAAGTGACAAAACTATTGATGAGCATTTTTTACTCTCAAATGACCAGAAATCACTTACCTAGGAATTGACGAGAGAATACTTATTTCGTTTTCATTGTCTAGATGGCCACTTTATTAACAACATGGCCTAATCCTTCAATAAGAGAAATCACTGGTTGATTCTATCCCAAATTACTCCATGTAAGGAAAGAGATTAAGGTTGAAGTGACTCCTGTACAGTACTTTGAGAGTATATTGTGCAGGATTCCCTTTGAGACTCTTCAATTCAGTATTTACTTATCTGTCCTTTCAAGATTGATTAGCAATTATTTATGGCAAAGATAAAGCAGCCAAACTGTGAGAGGAGCATTTCTTGGAATAGTGATTTATTATTTATTAACATCAGAAATATTCAGTTACAAAATTTGAGCAAGAGAGAAAAATGTAAGAGGAAAACAGCAAATTATCTGAAATCCTACCATCAGCATAACCAGAGTTAATATTTGCTATAGAACAGTCCAGGTCTTTCTTTGTGCATATGGCCCAATAGATGGATAGAAAAGGGGAGTGTGTGTGTGGTGTGTGGTGTGTGGTGTGCAGTGTGTGTGTGTGTGTGTGTGTGTGTGTGTGTGTCAGAGAGAGAGAGAATTGGCTTGTCCATTTTTATTTTTAAAAACTGTTGGGATTTTGTGGAATCTATAGATCAATTTGGGGAGAACTTACATCTTAATCCTGAGTCTCCTGATCCATAAATATGGTATACTTCTCCATTTATTTAGGGCTTCTTTAGTTTCTCTCAGAAGCGTTTTATAGTTTTCAGCGTATAGACCCTCCACATCTTTCATCAGATTTATACCTAAACATTTTTATGATATCATAGAAGGTATTAATTCCCAACTATTCGTTGTATATAGAAATACAATTGATTTTTAAAATATTGACCTTGTATCCTGCAACCTTGCTAAGTTCACTTGTTAGGTCTAATAGTCTTGTTTAATAGATTCTTTAGGATTTTCTCCATCAATGATCATCTTTAAGGAATAAGCCAGTCACAAAAGGAAGTACTTATTTCTTCCTTTCCTATATGAATGTCTTTTTTTTTCCTTGCCTTTTCCCCATGGGTAGAATCTTTACCACAATATTGATTAGGAGTGGTGAAAACAGATATTCTTGCTTGATTTCCAATCTTAGGGAGAAAGTATTCATTCTTCGTTGTTAAATATGATACAAACTGTTGGTTTTATTAATAAATTTCCTTTATCAGATTGAGGAATGTCCCTTCTATTCCTAGGGTTTGTGAGTTTCTATCAGGAATGCATGTTGCATTCTGTCAAGTGCCTTTTTTACATTTATTAAGATGATCATATGGTTTTTCCTTTCTAATCTGTTAATATGATGAATTATATCTATGTCTTTTCAAAATGTAAACCAACCTTGCATTCCTGGCATAATCCCCACTTGGTTATGATGTATTATCTTTTCTACATATTATTGAATTTAAATTTTTATGTCTATATTCAGGAGGGATATTAGTCTGTAGAGAATATTAACAGTCCTATTTTATTATTAAGAAAATTGGAGCACAAAATGATTAATAAACATTCTACAACATTAACAGCTAACTTTCAGGGCCAGGATTTGAACTAAAGTCTGTCTATTTTGAAAAATTTTACATTTTCCGTTGTAACATACTCTTTCTCAACTAAAATGGTGCAAGGGCTACACTTAGTTTTTAAGCATCCTCATTGATGAAGCAAACCAACCAACCAAATAATGACGTTCTGTAGAGAAAAATAAACTTTTTCTTCTGGTCTCTCTGTAACCAAATATGTGGGAGTATCTCCCCACACATGAAGCAAGCAATCAATTCTGTTGCAGATATCAGCTGAGTGTCATCCTGGAACTCAGTTCAATTCTGATACTATCTGCCTGGAAATAGTATCAGATCCTACAGATTGAGCATTCAGCCCCACATGACTGCTCCCCACTTCCAATGACAATTCCAAGCCTCAAGTTGTTTACTTGTGCCTCTGACAATTGGCTGTAAATTGGGGGTTCCCAAAACCCTTCCTTGAATTTGATTAATTTGCTAGAGTGGCTCACAGAACTCAGGGAAACACTTACTTTACTGGTTTATTCTAAAGGACATTACAAAAGAATTACAAAGGATATAGATGAAGAGAGGCACAGGACAAGGCATGTGTATTAGTCTGTTCTCACATTGCTAATAAAGACATATCCAAGGCTGGGTAATTTATAAAGGAAAGAGATTTAATGGACTCACAGTTCCACATGGCTGGGAAGGCCTCACAATCATGGCAGAAGGCAAGAAGGAGCAAGTCACAGCTTATGTGGATGGCAGCAGTCAATGAAAGAGAACTTGTGCAGGGGAACTCCTTTTTATAAAATCATCAGATCTCATGAGACTTACTCCCTATCACGACAACAACATAGGAAAGATTCACCCCCATGATTCAATTACCTCCCACTGGGTCCCTCCCATGACAGGTGGGAATTGTGGGAGACAATCAACCAGTGATTTCTCTTATTGAAGGATTAGGCCTTGATACGAGATGAGATTTGGGTGGGGACACAGCCAAACCATGACAGTATGGGTGAAGGGACATGGTACTTTCATGCCCTCCCCGGGTGCTCCACCCTCGAGGAACTGCAACCTGTTCAGCTATTGGGAAGCTCTCCAAACTCATTCCTTTGGAGGTTTTTATGGAAGATTCAGTGTGTAGGCATGATTGGATAAATCACTGGTCATTGGCAATCAACTTAACCTTCAACCCCTCTCTCTTCCTCAGGGGTTGGAGCTTGGGCTGAAAGTCCCAACTCTAATCCTGAATTGATCTTTTTAGTGAGCAGCCACCTTCCTGAAGCTACCTATAGGCCCCCAGCTACCAGTCAACTCATTAGCTTCAACAATGAAGGGGGCCAGCCCCTCCACACCTGTGGGTATTTCTCATCAGGTGGGACAAGAGACTGAGAAAAGAAATAAGACACAGAGACAAAGTATAGAGAAAAAACAGTGGGCCCAGGGAACCAGCGCTCAGCATATGGAGGACCCACACCGGCACCGGTCTCTGAGTTCCCTCAGTACTTATTGATTACTGTTTTCACTATCTCGGCAAGAGGAATGCGGCAGGAGAACAGGGTGATAATGGGGAGAAGGTCAGCAGGAAAACTTGTGAGCAAAAGAATCTGTGTCATAAATAAGTTCAAGGGAAGGCACTATGCCTGGATGTGCACGTAGGCCAGATTTATGCTTCTCTCCACCCAAACATCTCAGTGTAGCAAAGCGTAACAGAGCAGCATTGCCGCCAGCATATCTCGCCTTCAGCCACAGGGCAGTTTTCTTCTATCTCAGAATAGAACGAATGTATGATTGGGTTTTACACCGAGACATTCCATTCCCAGCGACATGCAGGAGATGGAGGCCTTCCTCTTAACTCAACTGCAAGAGGCCTTCCTCTTTTACTAATCCTCCTCAGCACAGACCCTTTACGGGTGTCGGGCTGGGAGACGGTCAGGTCTTTCCCTTCCCACGAGGCCGTATCTCAGGCTGTCTCAATGGGGGGAAACCTTGGAGAATACCCAAGCTTTCTTGGGCAGAGGTCCCTGTGGCTTTCCGCAGTGCATTGTGCCCCTGGTTAATCGAGAATGGAGAATGGCGATGACTTTTACCAAGCATACTGCCTGTAAACATATTGTTAACAAGGCACATCCTGCACGGCCCTAGATCCCTTAAACCTTGATTCCATACAGCACATGTTTCTGTGAGCACAGGGTTGGGGCTAAAGTTACAGATTAACAGCAAAACAATTTTCTTGGCACAGATCAAGATGGAATTTCTTATGTCTTCCTTTTCTGCATAGACACAGTAACAGTCTGATTTCTCTTTCTTTTCCCTACAAATAAGACACACCACTTTGAAGAGTCCAAGGATGTTGACGTTAAGTGTTGTATGCCAGGAAACAGGGAGGAAGGCCAAATATATATTTTGTAATATCACGTATGTAAACAAATAATATATAAAATTTACATTTATTTATTCCCATCAATTACCAACATATTTAACACTACATCTAATGTAAGGCTTATTGGCTGAATACTGGATACTGGATACTTTGCAAAGGGAAGCAATCATTAGTCACATTGCTCAGTCCTTTCACACTCTGTGGACCTTCAGCAGCTCAGCAGCTGCCTGAAGTTCTCCATTGCTACAAGGTCAGACATTGTTTATCTCACATTTTAGAGGCCACTTCTGCAGGTAACCCAAGCTTAGGTCTACAAAGTAAAGAATTCTCCCTCTTCTCTCCAAGAAAAAACACACAGTGGTAGTTACAGCCTGGGATTATGTCCTGGGATCAGTCATGACGATTCACTCAATTAAACAGCAAATATTTACAGAAGGCCTATTACGTGCCAGGCACTATTCTGGGTCCTGGGGATACAATGGTAACACAATTGACAAATTCTTGCCTTCATAGATCTTATATTCTAGCAAGTGACAGAGTAACACATCTAGTTCAGTTTAGGGACAAATATACTGGAACACTTGAATGGGAAGAAGGGCTGAAGGGGATGGGTTACAATGTATGTCTGCATCTATTGAAACCCTCTCCAGGTAGCACAGCCCTCTCAGGAAAGAAGCAAAAGGTATTCCTTCCTGGTGGATGCCAAGCTCTAAGACTTCCCTTATTATTTGTTTGTTCATTAAGCTTTGAATTACAGTAATATTCAGACAGTCAAAAGTAGAGAGTATAATACAAAGAACAATCAAGTACTCATCAATCAGCTTTGATATATATCAATACAGGATAATCTTGTTCTTCTATATCTGCCTCTGTTCCCACTGTTCCTGGATAATTTGTAGTGAGCCCAGACATTAAGTACTGTTATTTATAAACGTTTCAGTATGCATCTCTAATAGATAATCATTATTTTTAAAAAATCACAATATTTTTATTATACTTAAAAATATTAATCCCTTAATATTATTAAATATTGTCATGTTTATATTTTCCTGGTTGCTTTATATTTTAAAAAATTGATTGTTTGAACCAGAACTGAAATAAGATTCCTACTTTGCATTTGCTTGAAATGACTTATAAATCTCTTTTCTTTATACATTTCCTCTTCTTTCTTTCTTTTTAACCCCTCCATTTTTGTTGTTGAAAAAACGGAGCCATTTGACTTAGAATTTTCCACAGTCCGGAATTCATTGCGTCCCACAGTGTCATTTAACATGCTCTTCTGTCCTTTGTATTTCTATGATTTCTTACATCAGTGTCTTTCTCCAGACCTTTCTTTTTATATTTCTAGTTATTTTCTAAACTGTGCCATCCCTCTTTTCAAGCATTTTTTTTCTCCAGTCACCTTATTTCTGAGCTTTTTTTCTAATTCTGAGGTATGTTATTCTTTCATAGCTTCTATCATTTTCTTAATTTTCTTTAACTTGTTTCATAATATTTGAAATGTTTTGTGGGCATTCCTTTTGGACACGCTTTCATCGTTTTGTAGGAATTTTTTCTGCTCTTTCTTTTCATTTTTTCCTTCTTAACTTTTTATAAGTTTTTACCACAATGCTTTTCTGTTGTTTATTTTCTAAATGAAATGAATTTTCCTATACTTTTAGGAGTGAAGGGTATGCTGGGGCAACCTTTCCAGTTCAAAGGCTCTAGAGCTCCCTCTCCTGTTCCTTTCGCAAGGAAATAAAACAAAAATCTCCAAAGGTTTTGAGAGCTGCCTCTTCTGCTCTGCCCACCCCCATCCCATTTATCTGGATCTTTTTTCCTTGCCTGTATTGATCTGCCCAGATACTCATCAGTGCAAGGCTTTGTATTGGAAGAGACTCTGTTCACTTTGAGGGCATATGGAGCTCAAATCACCCCGACACCATCAGACCTTATTGTATCACAGTCCTCTTGCACTTAGCCATGCATTGGGTTTTCAGATAGCTCTCCTGGTTTTGGTTGCTGTACTCAGATGGTCTTGCTGTGCCCTCTGGTGAATACCTGCAGGTGATTGTGTGATTCTCAAGCTCTCAGTATCTTCAGAACCACAGTTTTTATCACGTGTCTTCTTCCGGCACTAATGCTGCCACCACACAGTTCTTGAACTGTAAATGCTTTGCCCAGACCTGTTAGTATTTGGTGTCTGGGAGGATTACCTCACTACCAGCTCTGTTGTGGATACTGTCCATGGCTCTTTTCGCTTTGCTATTCTAGTTGCTCTTTCTATTTTACAGGGAGATTTGGGAAGATTCTAAGACTACCTAGCCATTTCTTTTCCCCTTTTTAATTCTTCTTGGTACTCAGTGCTACAGTTTGAGTGTTTGCCTCCCTCCTTAAATTCATGTTGAAACCTAATCCCCACTGCCATAGTATTAGGCGATGGGGCCTTTAAGAGGTGGTTTATGTCATGAGGGCTCCACCTTCATGGATGGGATTAGTGTTCTTATAAAAGGGTTTGAGGGAGTCTGTTAGTTCCTTTTTGCCCTTCTACTGTCTGAGGACACAGGAAAAGGTGCCCTCTGTGGAGCAGAGATGGAGGCTTCACCAGACACAAAATCTGCTGGCACCTTGATCTTAAACTTTCCAGCCTCCAGAACTGTGAGACATAAATTTCTATTATTTATAAATTACCTAGTCTAAGATATTTTGTTAGAGCAGCCCGAATGGACTAAGACACCCAGTGATCAGTGCAGATTGGTTAGAAGTTTAACTCAATGAAATATTCCAACTTGGGAACAGGTTTTTCTCACAGGACCTGGGAGCCATGACCCTTCCTTCATTTGGTGCCCTTGAGAAGGTAGCTAAGGCAAGAAAAAGTAGACAGAAGGACTGCCAAGGGTCAGCTGTTGGGTGGGGCATGGCTCTTAGAACCTGCCTCAAGGCCAAGTTGTTGAGTCCTGCCTCTGACACCTCCCTTCTCCTTTGCTGGTCAGGCTCTCAAAAGGAGACAAATAATCACACAGGAAGAGAAAAGAAAACAGCGCTAAAAACAAAAGTTCCCTCTCTCACCTTATACAAAAATCAACTCAAGATGGATCTAAGACCTGAAACTAAAAATTCTGGAAGATAACATTGGAAAAACTCTTCTAGACATTGGCTTAGGCAAGGATTTCATGACCAAGAACCCCAAAGAAAATGCAATAAAACAAAAATAAATAGCTGGGATTTAATTAAACTACAGAGCTTTTGCACAGCAAAACAGTCAGCAGAGTAAACAGACAACCCACAGAGTGGGAGAAAATCTTCATAATCTATACGTCTGACAAAGGACTAATATCCAGAATCTACAACCAACTCAAACATGTTAGCAAGAAACAAACAAACAAATAATCCCATCAAAAAGTGGGCTAAAGACATGAATAGACAATTCTTAGAAGATATACAAATGGCCAACAAACATATGAAAAAATGCTCAACATCAGTAAGGATCAGGGAAATGCAAATCAAAACCACAAGGCAACACTACCTTACTCCTGCAAGAATGGCCATAATCAAAAAAACAAAAAATAATAGATGTTGGCGTGGATGCGGTGAAAAGGGAACACTTCTACACTGCTGGTGGGAATGTAAACTAGTACAACCACTATGGAAAACAGTGTGGAGTTTTCTTAAAGAACTAAAAGTAGATCTACCATTTGACCCAGTAAGCCCACTACTGGATATCTACCCAGAGAAAAAGAAGTCATTATACAAAAAAAGATACTTGCACACGCATGTTTATGGCTGCACAATTCACAATTGCAAAATCATGGAACCAACCCAAATGCCCACCAATCAATGACTGGATAAAGAAACTGTGACATATATGATGGAAAACTAGTTAGGCATAAAAAGAAATGAATTAATGGCCTTCGCAGCGACCTGGATGCGATTGGAGACTCTTATTCTAAGTAAAATAACTCAGGAATGGAAAAACCAAACATCATATGTTCTCACTCATAAGTGGGAACTAAGCTGTGAGGATGCAAAGGCATAAGAATGACACAATGGACTTTGGGGACTCAAGGGGAAAGGGTGGGAAGGGGGTGAGGGATAAAATATCACAAATTGGGTACAGTGTACACTGCTCGGGTGACAGGTGCACCAAAATCTCACAAATCACCGCTAAAGAACTTACTCATGTAACCAAACACCACCTGTTCCCCAATAACCTATGGAAATAGAAAAATTAATTTAAAAAATTCTAGGAAACTGCCTGGGAATTCCCCAGCGTAAAACACCCCCAGATTTGCATTTGACTCCAGCTTTGTATTATTGGTGGGGGAGCCACACAGCTTCCCCCTCACCCCCCAGCCCCTCCCGGGCCTCTGCCTGTGCTCCATTTTCTTGTGCTTCCTGGGTGGTGCAGGGTTGTGATGTCTTGAATACCAAGAGTGAGGCTGAACATATGTGAACCTTTCCTAATCCTGCTAATCTTTCTTCAAAAACCTTTCTCAAAGTGTAGGCAACATCCAGATTGAAAAAAGAGAGTGTGAGCGAGCCTGAGCATTTTAATGACAAATAATCTTTGTCCAAGGGGGACGGGCGGCTACCTCAGCTGGAGATGGAGCTGATGAACTGCAGCAGGTAGAAATAACTGCCGTATTACCTCATGTAATCTGCACCACTCAGGGGCAGACGAGGTCTGAATGCAGGAAGAAATCGACTTGGCTTTTAAACTGGAGACTCTGCATCTGTGACAGCTATTAGGCAGTAATTAGTTGTGACACAGAATTACCAGCCACACAATGGTAATGGGAGCCTTACGAGGTCTTTGAAGCTGATTAGAGAAACTGAATGGATGCTACTTGCGATTAAAAAAGTCTGTCTGGATGTGAGCATGAGTTAAGACTTCACCCTGTCCCCTTCCTCTCTCCTCACCATCCTACAAACAGTGAACTGCTCCAAAGAGTGGCTCCCCACAGCTGGGCAAATATCTCCCCAGGGCTTGTGTTTCTCAAAATGGATCAGGTACCAATGGGTCCTTGGATTTTACCCAACGGAAGAGAGGGGGCTTTGTAGATTCTTTTTGACAGAGTAGAATCATAGAGGTTTCCTAGAGCTACAAAAACAAAAATAAACAAACAAAAAATAACAACCACCACAACAACAAAAAACACACAAAGGAAAGAGATTTGAGGACCAACTGAGACAACCCATCACTCAGGGCTCTAAAACTGAAAATCCAAGTCGTGCCCTGAGAGATATAAGCTCATAGAATAGCTTTGTCATGAGGCAGACATGCAGGGCTGGGGGATTGAAATGCTAGTTTGGGAGAGATGGGTTTGCCGGATACGCAGCCTCTTTCCCTGCAGGCTCCAAGCCCTGGACAAGTGAACCCCAGAGAGCAAAGATGTGGTGCTGTGCCCTGCCCCCTGGGGCATCCTCTAGGTGAGAGCTGACAGCGGAGCAGCTCCTTTGGAAATTTGCAGGTCAAGGTGCTGGAGGAGTCTCCCGGTGAATCGTGTAATGTGTTCATGGCTGTCTTGGACAAGATCTGCCTTCTGCCCCACTGGGTGAGCAATGAAGGATTGCAGGGAAATAGTTAGGGATTTTGAACTTACTGCTTGCTAGAGAAGCCGGACTGGTAAGGAAATTCACTAATTAAACTTTGTGGGTGGTTTTATTTCTCCCATATTTTAAACAAGGCTGCTGTTTTGAATAGCTGTGGATTCATCTTAGGTTTGACATTTGTCATACTGTCTAGCTAAATATATATACAGATAGGTAGCTGGATATAGACATATATCATACGATATCATATGCATGAAACTTCTACCTGTATGTTTATAGATATAGATACATAGATGGGTTGCCTTAAGTAATTAAATATGTTTCTATAATATTGAGCTAACTTCTCCCCATTGTTTAAGCAAAATGGGCCCCCTTTGCACAAGTGATAGACTTTTTTTTTTTTCTTTGAGACAGGGTCTTGCTCTGTTACCCAGGCTGGAGTGCAGTGGCACAACCTTGGCTCACTGCAGCCTTGACCTCCTGGGCTCAAGTGGTCCTCCCACCTCAGTCTCCCGAGTAGCTGGGACTACAGGTGCACATCACCATGCCCGGTGAATTTTTGTATTTTTTGTAGAGACAGGGTCTTGCCATGTTGCCCAGGCTGGTCTCGAATGCCTGGGCTCAAGTGAGCCATCTGCCTCGGCTTCCCAAAGTGCTGGGATTACAGGCGTAAACCACAGTGCCCAGTCAGTATACTTTTTTTCACTTGATAATTTTACTCTTTTCACTTAATGTTACCCCATCCCCATTTTGCAAATGACCTGCTATGTCACCTTAGGAAGATCACACCCCTGGGGGCTTCTGTCTCCTTTTCCTTAAGCAGAGATGATTAACCAGTCCACCTGGAAACATTTTCCCCTGCCAGTTTCAGAGGAAGTGTGGCCCTGCTGACACCTCAATCTCAGACTCTGGCCTCCAGAACTGTGGGATAAGATTTCTGTTGTTCTAAGCCACCTAGTTTCTGGTACTTCATTATTGCAGCCATAGGGGACTAACACAGTATGTATCCCATTCCTAGTTATTGGAAGGATTTAAGATGGTTTGAAACAATACAGCAAGTACAAGACAATTAAAGTTAGAGATAAAGAAATTCAAGGTGAAAGTGAATGGCAAGTCCCAGGATTATAGCATTGTAATTTCATGCACTGAGGGCCCTTCAACTCCATTTCATTCTGATATATAGAAGTGATAGGACAGGAAAAAAACTTAAGGAATGGTACTTAAAATGCATAGTTGATATCAAAATTGGGTAAGTAGCATGTCCTTGGGCAAGAAACAAGAGAAACTCAACATGGAGGTGGGGCTGAATCCACAGGTGTGCTGGCCTCTGGGTCTGGATACAGGAAAGGCAGTTACAACCTCAGCTCCTGTGGGATAAGAAGGACTATAGGTGTCCCAGGTGTGGCAGGTGACCAAGGACAGGCTTGAAACTAAAGACTGAGACTTTAGAATGCTGGAGACTGAAGAATGCTACCAACACCATCTGGGACTATAGCCGCTAGGTAACTGTGCACCCGGGGAGGTGGGAGGAGGCAGAGGGGCCTCATAGCTGTGCCCTAAGCCAAGCTACCAGCAGGAACCTCCATATCCTCATAGCCCCAGCTGCCATGTAACCTCCGGTTCTGGTCTGGGGAACATGAGGAGGTGTGTGTGATGGCAGCAGGGGGTATCACAGAAAGCAAGGAAAGGGGACTCCCCTTTAAGATGACTCTGCAAACTAAGATTTCAAAAGGAATGAAGGAAGCAAATGTTAAGAAAGAACAGCAAGTTTGAAAAAAATCAATCACCTGGAGAATGAATTCCCAGAGAAATGAAAACAACAGCAAAATAGGAAAATGACTTTCTAATAAATGTGGTTTAGGTCCTCCCAGAAATGAAGGATGAGAAATTAGGAAACAAACAGTGGCAGAAATGGAAGAAGTACAGGTGAACATGAACAAAATAAAAAATCCTTGGAATGAAAAATATGGTTATTGAAATACAAGACTGAAGACATAAAATCAAGCTCCATACTTGATGCAGCTGAGAAGGGAATTAGTTAACGATGCTCAAGAATTCACCCAGAATGCATCTCAGAAAGATAAAGAGAATAAAAAATATGCAAGAACAGTTAAGCGACTTAGAAAACTGGTTGAGAGGCTCCAACACACACCTCATAAGTGTTTCAGATGGAGATACGTGGAAAACTCAGGTGAGAACTTTTAGAATTAAAGAAAGACACAGAATTAAAGTAAGTTCCCTGCTACTGTGTATACAATCAATGCTGCACCACGACAAACGAACCTTCACTTAGTCATGATGTAATGAAATGCAAAGATAGAACAGTCTTATGAGATTTTAGAAAGAAGACAAATATAAATAAAACTTAAACTGAGAACAGATGTCACATTTGCAGGAATGGATGTCAAGAGACAGTGAATCAATATCTCCAATATTATTATTAAAAATGGGAGGAGTGATATAGACTGAATGCTTATGTACCCCGAAAATCCATATGTTGAAATCTAATGCCCAGTGGGATGATATTAGGAGGTGGGGCCTTTAGGAGGTGATGAGGTCGTGAGGGTGGAGCCCTCGTGAATGGGATTAGTGCCCTTTTAAAAGGGACCCCAGGAGCTCTCTCACTCACTTTCCACTATGTGAGGATACAGCAAGAAGTTAAGTCTGCAACTCGGAAGAGGGTCCTCCCCATAACTCGATCATGCTGGCACCCTGATGTCAGGCTACCAGCCTCCAGAACTGTGAGAAATAAATATCTCTTGTTTATAAGTCATCAGTCATGATACTTTGTTATAGCAGCCTGAGCTAAGATAGGGAGGATTCGATGAGGAGAAATGAGTAAAAAGAGCAAAAAACCAATTGTGTGTCATGCACCAGAGGCAGGAACGAGGTGCCAAAAGCACATGTCTTAATGACCTTGTCTTTGAAGTGAAGACTCTGAGAATTACATTTGGCGGCTCGTTTAGAAACCCAGTGATATGGTTTAGCTGTGTCCCCACCCAAATATCATCTTGAATTGTACTTCCCTTAATCCCCACGTGTTATGAGACAGACCCGGTGGGAATTAATTGAATCACTGGGTGGTTACCCTCATCCTGTTCTCATAATAGTGAGTTCTGATGAGATCTGATGGTTTTATAAGGGGCTTTTCCCCCTTTTGCTCAGCACTTCTCCTTCCTGCCATCATGTGAAGGACACGTTTGCTTCCCCTTCCGCCATAATTGTAAGTTTCCTGAGGTCTCCCAGCCATGCAGAACTGTGAGTCAATTAAACCTCTTTCCTTTATAAATTTTCCAGTCTCAAGCAGTCCTTTATAGCAGAACGATAATGAACTAATACACCCAGGATCCTCTGGTGTGTGCTTTACTGACCCTGACCTCTCTGCCAGGCCCCTTTCTTTACATTCCCACCTTCTCTCTTGCATGTTGCCCTGAGAAGGCTTTCCAGTGCCTATACTTTGCCGACACTGGCTGTATCCCCAAAACCATGTCTTTACTCTTGGAGGCTTCAGAGTCTCCTTCCCCTATTCCCTTGTAGTTCACCACCCTCCCCAGCCTCCTCAGCAGGCCTATGTCTTTGCTTGACTCTTGTAGCACCTCTTCTTTTCCCTGCTCTGTACTGCACCCTCAGGCCTGGAATTACCCCTTCTATTTTCCTGCCAAACCACTTCCTCAGCCCAGAAGATTCTTCCGAGGGTCCATCTGTTCCAGGAAGGTTCCACCCCATCATATGACTTTGGTGGAGAGGACTTAAAAGCAAGCTTATGTCTTATCAGTGCTGCAAACGCAACCACTTTATGAAAATCACAGCCCTGCAGCCTAAGAACTCTACAGATTCCAAACGGGGGCTGGAATGAGTGGTGAGCCTGCGGATGTTGGGACCATGATGCTTCCTTCATTTGGGGTGAAGGGAGTCTGTGTCTGTGTCTCATCTCTAACCATGAAGTGAGTGTGCAGTGCAACTTGTGTAAACAGCTTTAGGTGACACCTGAGGAGTATCTGGGAGCTTGAGCGTCTCTGTTCTTATTCTCGAGGCCCCAACATTCTTTTTGTATAAACATTGTGTTGTTAGAGTACTTAAAAGCAGACCTCCTTTTTTCATTGTCACTGCTGCTCTTTTTTTTTTAATTGTCCTTTTTCTTCTCTCTCTCTCTCACACACATCTGTAATGATTTTTTGTAGAGGTGGTGCAGAAAAATTCATTTAAACAATCTTTCTAGGTATATAGTGGTGGTGAGGTAGTTCGTTCTATGATCTGATAGCCCTTTTAAACTATGTATTTGGTGTTAATTCCAACAGAAAAGTTGCAAGAACAGTATGAAGAGGATAAAGAGGATGTGTATCTATTTCATGCACAGTTCTCAGCTGTTAGCATTTTACCTCCTTTATCCTGTCAGCCTTATTCTCTCCACAGGTACACACACACACACACACACACACACACACACACACACTGCCATTAGTCTTTTTCTGAACGATTTGAAAGCAAGCCATACACCCAGCACTCCTAAATTCTCCAGTGTGTGCCTTCCCCAAGCAAGAATTCTTTTCTACACACCACCATACAGCTTTCCTATGTAGGACGTCATCAGTGATACAACCTCATCCTCCACCCCACAGGCCCCACTCAAATTTTGCCAACTATCCCCATAACGTCTCTTGTTCCTCGCTGGTCCAGAATCCCATCCAGGGGCCTGTACTACGTGAAGTCTTCAGGTTTCATGAGTCTCTTTCAGCCCGTCTTGCCCCGCGTCTCATGTCCTTATCAGTTTTGAGGAGTACAGGCCTTTCATCATATAGGGCGACCCTTAACCTGGGTCTGGCCAGTGATTCCTGGTGACCAGACTCAGGCCATCATTTCTTGTCTGGCGACCCCAGGAAGGATGCTGTCTTCCCTCCGTGTGTCACAGCAGGAGGCTCCTGGCACCCACCTCTCCTCGCACTGTGACCCTTGATGACCCAGCCAAGTTACATCTACCAGCTTTCTCTACTGTGAAGGCATCATTTTCTCCTTTGTACATACCTGTAATTCACATTTTGTGGGAAGATAGTATGAGATTATACCACTACCTTTTTCTACTTTCTCCCCAATTAATCACAGCTATGATGATTGCCAAATGATGATGATCAGTGTTCATAATTCCATCTACATTTTAAACAGCTTGAGATATAATTCACATACCATGTAATTCAGCCATTTGAGTATACAACTCAGTAGTATTTTTGTATATTCACAGAGTCATGCCTCCATCGCTACAATCTTAGAACATTTTTATTGCTTCCCAAAGAAACCCCACATCCCTTATCTGTCACCCCCAGTATCTTCAACCTCTACAGCCCTAGGTACTAACCTACTTTCTATCTCTACTCATTTGCCTGTTCTGGACATTTCATATACAGGGAATCATACAACATGTGATCCTTTGTGAGTGGCTTCTTTCACTTAGCATGATGTTTTCAAGGTTCATCCACATCGTAGTTTATTTATGAGTTCATATTACTTGTTCATTTATTGCCAAATAACATCCCATTGTATGGGCATACCAATTTTATTTATCCATTCATCAGTTGATGGACATTTGGATTGCTTTTGTTTTCTGACTGCTGTGAATAATGTTGCTATGAACATTCGTGCACAAGTTCTTGTGTGGATACACATGTTCATTCCCTTTGGGTATATACCTAGGAGTGGAATTGCTGGGTCATATGGTGACTCTATGTTTAGCCATTTGAGGAGCTGTCAGACTGTTTCCCAGGGCAGCTGCACCATGTTTCATTCCCATCAGCAATATACGAGGGTTCCAGTTGCTCCACATTCTCATTGGCACTGGTTATTCCCTGCCTGTTTGGGTCTAGCACTCATAGGGGTGCGAGTGCTCGCTGACTGTGGCTTTGATTCGATTCACCCTGATGGCTGATGATGCTGGGCATCTTCAAGTGCTTACTGGCCATTTGCATATTTTTAGAAAAATGTTGGATTCGTTTCCTAGGGCTACTGTAACAAAGTACTACAAACTATGTCACTTAAAACAACAGAAATTGGGCCAGGCACGATGGCTCATGCCTGTGATCCCAGCACTTTGGGAGGCTGGATCACTTGTGGTCAGGAGTTCAAGACCAGCCTGGCCAACACGGCAAAACCCTGTCTGTACTAAAAAAAAAAAAAAAAAAAAAAAATGCAAAAATTCGACAGGCACGGTTCCTTTTACATTTGTTAACAGGTATTCTACTATTAGCAAAAAATGTTTTTTTCTTCCCCATTTATTCATTCATTTATATCAGTACAGACACTTGGACTCTTATTTTATTCAATGTATTATAACCTGGTATTATGATTACTTCTTTTGATTCCCAAGTTATCCTAGCTCTGGCCAGTGGGAGCTTGTTCAAGCTGGCTTCTGCATCCCGTGGGCATATCTCTAGCATTCTTTGAGCCTTTCGTTACTTTGTGGCACAATTATGTGTTCCGGGCTCGTTTTATATGTACCCTGTTGCTATGGTTTGAATATGATTTGCTTGGCCCTGGTAAGTCTCATGCTGAACTTTGATTCCCTGTGTTGGAAGTGAGGCCCTGGGGGAGGTGTTTGGGTTCTGGGGGCATATCCTTCATGAATGGCTTGGTGCCACTCTCATGGGGTAGAGTGAGTGCTCACTCTTAGTTGCTGTGAATCTGACTGTTATAAAGATCCTAGTGTCTCCTCCTCTCTCCTCCTCTTTCATCTCTCACCATGTAATGCCTGCTCCCTTTGCCTTCCATCATGAGTAGAAGCTCCCTGAAGTCCCCACTGGAAGCAGATGCTGGCACCATGCTTCTTATACAGCCTGCAGAACCTCGAGCCAGATAGAGCTATTTTCTTTATAAATTACCCAGCCCCAAGTATTCCTTTATAGCATGCAAATGGACTAAGAGACCTGTATCACTCATTCTCTATAGAGCTTTTTCTGCTTTTGGTGTGGGTATTTAGAAACCAAGATCTGAGTGCTTAGTTGGTTCATTGTTACTGAGGAGTCTTTGTCTCAGGGACAAAGCAAGTACATATGTGAAAGTGTAAGTGTCCATTTACAGATACATGTACCCATCTATAACAATTTCTAGATCTATATGTATGTATGTGCATTATATATACATATATAGGAATTGCTATATGTATGTATGTTGTATGTCTGTTTTACATATACACACAAAATACTCAAATATATATTTTTAAATTATTATTTAATAATAGTTCTAATTCTAATTCAACACTTTGGGGTTCTTTCCAGCCTTCTCCCTAATGTCTTTGTAAATCCATTCTCTGACAGTGAGCAACCTGCCTCTCACTAGCCTTGGTATATTTGCTTATTTGCTGACTCAAGTAAGTAACTTGCTTGTTTATTGTAACCAGTCTCCAAAGAGTTGCTTTCTCTGCCCCCTACCTCCATACCCTGTCCCCAATACCCTGTATCCTGGGCACCAGACATACTGTTGCAGCTGCCTTCATGCTGGGAGGGGAGGGGAGGGGAGGAGAGGGCAGGGGAGGGGGAGGAGAGGGGAGGGCCAGGGAGGGGGAGAGGAGGGGAGGGAAGAGGAGAGGAGAGAAGAGGAAAGGAGAGGAGAAACAGATGGGACCTTTATCTTTGTATAGGACTCAGGTGATAAATTAAGAAGGGGAACAGGAGGGACCTATATCCTTGTGTAGGAGTCAGGTGATAAATTTCATCTTGCTTTCGTTGGCAGAAGGAAGTTGATGGCTTTAGGTATTTTATAGGCCTTTGGATCCAACCTGGTTGTCTGTTTGCTTGGAATGACACCCCTCCCTGTATGCCCCTATGCTAGGGATCCTGGGGGACCCCAGCCATGAATTAAGACACCTGTAATCCCAGCACTTTAGGAGGCTGAGGAGGGAGGATTGCTTGAGGGCAGGAGTTCAAGACCAGCCTGGGCAATATAGTGAGAACCCCTTCTCTACAAAAACAAATAAATAAAAATTTAAAAATTAATAAATAAATATAAAAAAGACTTGGCTTCCCTGTCTCTGCTGAAATGGTGCTTTCTCCAAGTTGCTCCCTCCACCCTTGCTTTATATGGCACAGGGAGCCAGAAACGAGGTTAAAAGACAAACTGCAAACTGGCACAAATACTTGCAACATACGGGACAAAGTGATAATAATTTTAATAATGACATCGGTAGAATAATGGACAGAGGATGTGAACAAAACACATGAAAAGATGCTCAGTCTTGCTTTTAATCAACTGTACGCAAATCAAAATGAGACCCCTCCTTTATTTTTCTTCTCAGACTGCCAAAGATGACAAACACGATAATGAGATGCATTGGTGAGGGTTTGGTTGAAATACCATTTCATCTAACCTCTCTGGAGCACAGACTAGTTATATCATCTTTTAATCCAGTAACTCCATTTCTTAGGAATTTATTCAAAGGAAACAATAAGACAGACATTAGAATATGTATATTATCAATAACATACATAAGGATGCATGTTAAGATATGTATATATGTATTTATGTATGACAAAATGTCTATATTATTAATAATATACATAAGGATGTTTGTTGCATCATTGTTTATGATACCAAAAGTTGGAAAAAGCTAAATGTCCATCACTGGAAAATTAATTCAATAAATAATGATAGAATGGAATATAGTACAGTCTTTGAGAAAGCAAAGGTTGATCTTTTTGTATTAATACATAAAGTTGTGTGTATTGATATATAAAATCATATTTTGTTTTATTTATGACCAAAAAACTTCGCTTGTCTAATACTATTCGTGTGCCAGATGCTGTTGCAAATATATCACAGATATTAATGCATTTGTCCCTCAGCACGCCTTGGGGAGGGGAGGTGAGGGGAGGGAAGGGGAGGGAAGGGGAGGGAAGGCGAGAGAAGGGGAGAGAAGGGAAATACTCCAAACATAAAGTACTCCAAAGCCCATATTCTTAAACACCGCACTCTCCTGCTCATGAAAAAACAGACAAACAAATGTTTTCAAGTTTATGATCTCACTCATATGTGTGTGTATTTTGATAAAAATATACAGGATGAAGTTTCAACAGTGGTTCTTTCTAGAAGTGGAGATTCATTGACACCAATCATGTATTATCAATAAAACATAATTATGCAGCCAATGGAAAAATAAACTGTAACTTGGGGAAGCGTGAGAGTTGCTTGGTCCCCTGTCCTCTCCTCATCTAAGGATTATCCTTGGGGTGCTCCAACAGAGGCGGGTCTGACCCTGGGCCTTCCCCATGTCTGCTGGCCTTTCCTTTGCCAAGACGCAGAAACGATGTGCCTCTGGTGAGACTCACAGTGAATCCAGGAGGCTGGACCAAGAAGAATGTGACACAGGGCAGTAGCAAAAGCACCGAATTGGGAGTTAAGCAACAGGGACCCTTTTAGCCAGCTGGGTGAGTCCAGGCACATCCTTTACCTCCCTGGGAGTCAGCCCCTTATGGGAAAATGAATAAGCCTCCAGCAGCTTATGGACCTTCAGAAAGAAACTCACTGGTGAGGCTACAAAAAACATCATGTAAATAAAGCTCTGCGCATCAAGCCTGTTGCGTGGTAGGTGTTTCAAGAGTGACAGCTATTGTGTCGTCATTGTGATTCTTCTCAGTGAACTGCAGACATGAGGATGAGGGGAGATGGACCACACGAGGGCTACAGATCTGGGGTTTGTGCACTTCAGAAAATCTTCTCAACCGATAAAGTTAGTCCAGTCTCTGCATGGGCTAGGCTCAGAACTTATTTCTTGGTGAAATCTCTGCTCCCTTCTCAACTGGCTTCATAATACCATGACACTTCAGTTTCCGGAAGCACACTATCTAGCCACCTTATGATATAGGATCAAGCCAAGAAACTGGAAAGAAGCAAACAAAAATTAAAGATCTTCCTATTGTACCAAATACAATGGTTGAAATTCATGCCTGTCACAGGAAAAATATTTTGTTCCTAATGATACTAAGTTATCATCTTAATAATAACTCATATTTATTGTATATTTACTACACTGCAATCCCCATTGGGTGCTTGATGTGTATTATTTCATTTAACCTTCTCAATAATATCCTGGAGTAAGTATTATTTCCATTTCCATTTACAGGCACACAGAAATTAAATAATTTGCCCAGGATCACAAAGCCAGAGTTTTGACACTTATTCTTGTTACACCTTGTTAACAGCCTTCACAAGCCAATAGAAACAGCAGAGTAGAATGAAGGCAAGGTGCCCCCACAAGCTAAAGTGACAGCTGAAGGACACAGAAAAGCTATAAAAGCAGGCACCAAACCTCCCAGACCATCATCCTCAGGGTCGCGAGGCGGGAGGGCAAGTCATTGAGAGGAAGAAGAATAGCCCGCGGGTGCATTGTGCTTTAGGGTTTACAGAGCACTTTTGCACATTCTATTTTATTTGAGCCTGAGTCAATTAAAAAAAGTGCAATTCAATTTGGTATCTTCTGTTTAGAATTGAGGATGTGTGCGATGCATTTGAGGAAGTATGATGGATATTTTTGAAAACTTATGGCTTTAAAGGAGTGGGAAAGATATTTATTTCTTGGAACATTAATTTTGGTAAATAACTTGATATGCCAAGTTACAAGGTGCCTGACATGTATAAGGAGATGTCCTTCCTGGCTGGGAGCCAGCAGCAGTGAGGTGGTATTATATATGTTATACATAAAGTGAGCTTCTGCAGACTTTAAATTAAGAATGGGAAACTCATTTTTTAGTAAAATCACCCTCACCCCTCCCTCCTTCTTAGCTATGAATCATGGCGGTTTTCTTCCTTCTTTCCTTTCTTGCCTCCTTTCCTCCTTCCTTTTCCTTCCTTCCTTCCTCTTTCCTTCTCTCTTTCTTTCCTTCCTTCCCTCTTTCTCTCCTTTCTCTCTTTTCTTTCTCATTCTTTCTTCTTTTTCCTTCCTTCCTTTTTCTTTCTCTCTCTCTTTCTCTCTCCTTCCTTCCTTCCCTTTCTCTCTCCTCCATTCTTTCTTCCTCTCTTCCTCTTTCTTTTTTAACTTATTTTCTTCCCCTGGCTCCCTCTCTTCTTCCTCCCTCCTTCTTCCCTTCTTTCTCTATCTCCCCTTCCCTCCCTCCCTCCATCCTTTTCATTTCTCTTCTTTTCTTTTTTCTCTCTGATGGTGTCTAAGGCTGGAGGCTGGCAGACAGAAAAGTGCAGGAAGAGGTGGGTATGAAGCCACAGAGGACCTGGGTGAAATCTCCTGGCAAATTTGTGAGGCAAGAGGGTCTGGCTCTGGACTCTGCCTGAAAACACAGCGGAGACCCTCTGGGATGCTCTAGGCTCCCATCTACTCAGGATGCCAGCTACCCCGGCAGCCCTTTTCCGGACCCAGAGGCCTCTTGATCGCTCGTGGGGTTTGGGGGAGGAACTCTCCAGCAACCAGTCTCTCCTGGGCTCTGCTCCACAGCCTGGCCATAATTTATCGGTGGGGGTCCCAAGCCGAGGAGGCGCTGTATGTTTTTGTTTTCAGGGTAATTTACAAGGCAGGCTGCCCTGGTGGTCACCTTCCCCTCTGCTCAAGGAGGTGAACACAATGTCTCTATCTTGGTCGCCACGGAAAGGGTACTTTCTCCGAGGGCGCCATGAATCGGCCGGCTGCGCCCCTGACAGGCAGGCAGGGGGCGATTATCTGGGCCGATGAGAGCCATTGACAAAATGGAGTGTGCCATCTTCACAGCACAAACGTCGCCCTGGCCATAATACCCTCTTAAGGAGACCTCAAGTGGCCCAGTCTTGTCACCGGCTCTCCCAGGCACACCACCAATCGTTTGTCACCGCTGCTGGTATTTGCAGGGAGGAGAGGGCAAGAGAAAGGCAGGACCCGAGAGCATCACAAGAGATCTCCGCCCTGTGGCCTATTGTACTTCATCTCGGAGACAAAGAAGGCTCCAGGCCTTTCTCCAGCAAGTCGCTTCAGCTTCATCAATAAATCAGAGGCCAGAGAAAGCCATTCAGATATGGCTGAGGCCTCCTGAAGGCTCTCTCCATAGAGCCGCTTTCTGGAATATGCAGGATATGAGAGATTTTTTAGTCGAGCGCATTTTGTTTTAATTCCCCCCGCCCCGCGTTCTTTGTCACTTTTCTCCTTTCTGTCCCCTCGGTGTGGAACAGAAGATGCGTTTGTAGGCCTGAATCGGGGGGATTGTTCCAATCATCAGACCATTCACGCCCGCCCCTCCCCTGTTGTAAAACACAAGCCCGGGCCGGGGAACAGCGGCCCCATTGTGCGGCGCCCATGCCACCCAGATTTCACCTCAGCCTTCGCCGAGCCCCTGTTTTGTTTCCAGTCAAAAGAAAGCATTTGCTCAGGGGAGGGGAGGGGTGTTCCTATTGCTTCCACTAACAGAGAGGTTAAAGGAAAGATTGATGGGAGAAAGTTCACCTAGAAAACCAGGATACATTTCTGGCCGGCCAAGGCCAGTTGTTTCATTGTCCTGGGGCCATGTTTTTTGTTAATTATCTCTCACTCTCTCCTTTTATCAAGGAGAAAAGTAGCAAAGCAGGCAGAAAGAAACAGGATATAGGGGTCAGGGGTCCCCCTGGGCCACCTAGGTATTCCATTTGAAATGCTGGGGCGGGCAGGGCCGAGGGTGAGTCTTGCCTGGCTTGGGGTGGAGAAGAGAGGCGGCCACCAAAATAATAATTAATTTGATCCCGTTACTTATGGGGAAACTTCCCACCCTTCACCCCATTCGCTGGCCTCCCTGTATCCTTATTCTAACTCCCAGGGTCTTTATCTCCTTTCCAGCTCCAATCCCCTGCTCATTGCCTCCAACACACACACACACACACACACACACACACACACACACGCACACACATGCACACACCCATACACACACATACACTCTCTCACACACACGCACACATGCACACACACGCACACACCCATATGCACACACATGCACACACATACACATTCATGTATGCTCACACACATGCACACACGCACACACATATGCACACAGACGCGCGCATGCACACGCACCTGCACTTTTTCCTTTGTAATTTTAAGCTCCATGCAACTGTAAGGGTGATTTCAGGAAGGGCGGGGGTAGGGTTGTGGGGGGAACAACGAGAGAAAGGCTAAGAAAGTTGGTCCAAACAAGAACATGTTGTCAAGGGAATAAACCTTGGTGAGGGTAGGCATGAAACCACAGCTGCTGAATTTGGCCAGCCTCAGACGCTGGTGGTAATGACAATGATTCTCAGTGGCAGGGCCCCAGCTCCCAACATAAATAGGGCTCAGCCTGAAAGGGGAGGAAATGGAACAAAACATTTCCTTGGGTACCACTGGCAGAGAAATAACATCAATTTCAATTTGGGGAGGGCGGGAGGCAAAGAATCTGCCTGTTTCCCCACAGTAGCAAAGGCAAATTCATAACTCGCCAACAAAGTACCTTTGAAATGCAGCTGCACTCCACGAACACACTGCCTTTTTCCACCCAGAGAGACAACCCTGTCTTGACCAGAAAGAAGGGGAAAAAGAAGAAAGCACACACTATTGAAAACCCACAAGAGAGGGAAAAAGAAGGGAGGAGGGAAGTTGCTGGGGGCTGCGGGGCAGGGAGGGAGGGGAAATGCATGGATCTTGGCAGATGCAAATGATAAGCTTTACCTAGTATAATGCAACCTTCTTTGCCTTTCCAAGAGGAGGCCTGTGATGAATGGCCACACAGATTCTCGGGAGAGAGACTGCACACAGGCAGCTGGTGGCCAAAGGCAGCCATGTGGCCAGGAAGGAAGGCCACTGGACAGGCCCCGGCCTCCAGGTACCCCTTGGTGCTCTTGGACTCCAGCACCTGCAAGGAATGGAGCAGCTGCTGCCTCCTGGGAAGAGGGACTCTGGTGGTGTCAGAGCCAGGGTCCCAGGAGCCCAGGAATGTGTCTACAAGACAGCACTTTGGGATGAGTGATAGTCATAAACTGGGCAAGTCCAGCTTCTACATTTAAGAAAAAGATTGTCAAAGTATGAATAGAAAATTAGGCATAAACAAAAATATTCACTTAAAATGAGAAATGAAATCACAACAAACTACAAAAGTTAAAAGCCGAAAAATATCAAACATCACAGAATCCAGAAATACTGTGTGTGTGTGTGTGTGTGTGTGTGTATGTGTGTGTGTGTGTGCATGCAAATGTTTCTTTAATTAGCATCTGGACACACCTCTGCAATACTTTTCCACAGACTGGCTTCTCACCTTACACATTTTAAACGTTGTTTATCCTGCACCACCCACCTGTTTCTGATGCTGGACACCAAAGGATGTGATTTCTGACCCTGCAACCCCCTGTCACCATTCTAGGAACTCCATTCAGTGGGTAACAGGTGTACTCCTGGAAGCTGTTTCTATGCCCGAATGACCAGCAATAATTCAACCATGGATAAGCGACAGAAAAGCACGCAAATACATCCCACTCACCCAAACCGGCCTCCCGATCCAGTTCCACTTAGCCACATCCCAAACATGCTCTCGGCCACTCCAGCACCCACAGACACAGGGAAGTAGGAGAGAGAGGAAGGAAGTCAGGCTGCAAAGCACTGAGACAGCATCTTACTGCATTGGGGTTAAAACATCTAACAGATACAAATTTTACAAAAACATATGACCATGTGAACTGTTGGTGGGGCCCTTCCCAAGCCTTGGAAGATGGTGTGCAAATGAGCATCCTTAAGTTTAAGTTTTATTCTTGTCACAATCAAGCTGCCTCTGCCCACGTGGCTCATGTGGTCAATATCAATGTCTGCAGGTCTGGGTGCTGATCACCTTGACAGTGCCTGTCCCCCGTGGAGCCTTCCCTGATGCTCTCCAGGGAGAAATCCCTGGGCCTTATTAGGGTCTTCCTAACCTTCCACACTGCACAGACCTTACTGGGGTCCCAGGGCTACAGAACATGGACTGGATTGTGTTCCCACATAAGCACCCATAGCAGCAGTCAGAATGCCCAGCACAACATGAGACTCAATAAATATGCGTCGAGAAAAAAAGAGAACAGGGCCAGGTGCGGTGGCCCACGCCTGTAATCCCAGCACCTTGGGAGGCCGAGGCAGGCAGATTGCTTGAGTTCAGGAGTTCAAGACCAGCCTGGTCAACATGGTGAAACACCGTCTCTACTAAAAATACAAAAATTAACTGGGCATGGTGACAGGTGCCTGTAGTCCCACCTACTCGGAAGGCTGAGGCAGGAGAATTGCTTGAACCCGGGAGGCAGAGGTTGCAGTGAGCTGAGATAGCGCCACTGCACTCTAGCTTGGGTAACAGAGTGAGACTCCATCTAAAAAATAAAAAATAAAGGGAAAAAGAGAACAGATGAGCTGCACTACATAAAATCCCAAGGTTAGCTGGCTTATGTGAAGAAGGTTTATACTTCCATGTCCTGCTTTGGGGTGATGCAGGAAGGAGATTCGGGATGAAGTGTCAGTACCGACAGAAATAACCTGCTATAACCAAAATGGTTTCAGTGGTGCTTTCCAAGGTCCAGAAAAGAAATTCCTAATCTACCAAGTGCCCAGTGACACTGTCCAGCCATAACCCCATGCTTACCCACAGTGCCCGAGAACCATTCGTTAGCTGGAATGTCCTTTACCGAGCATATCTATTAGGGTGCTGTGCTCTGGGCTAGAAATTGCCCAGTGGATGATGAGGATAAACCTGAGCATTTTGTAGAAGCTCATATGATCCACCCAGCTATCCAATCAGGTAGACTCTTTTATTAGCACATGATGGACAAGGAAACAAAGGTCTCAGAGAAGTGGCTTGTTCAAGTCACATAGCTATTAGGAGACAGGAGTTGGAATGTGAACCCAGATGTGCTGGAATACACTGATGAACTCATGCCCCAGCTGGGAAGATAGCATGGAAACACGTTAGTATACAATGGGCTGAGTGCGCCAGAGAAGTATGTACAGGGTGCTCTTCAAGGCTAGGGGAAGGAGCAGCTGATTTTGCTGGAGAGGGAGATAGGAAGAGACTGGATATTGGGGATATGGTGATGAGTGGGAAGTTTCTCTCTTTCAGCCTTCAGCCTTCCCCTTCCCCAAGGACATAGCTTTGGGGCTAGATGACTTCCCAGCCTGATGTGCAAGTCAGATTCATGAGTGTTCCAACATGGTTTGGAGAAATTCCACTTGAAATTCCAGTCTTGGTCGTCTCTGTGACTATCAGCGAGGTGCCCTGTTCTCAATCGGCCATTGACACTGGTGGGTCCTCTCTGGAGATGGACAAGCTGTTTACCAGCCTGCAGGCCCCTCACTCACACAATTCCTTACTCTAAATGAAGGGACCACTCTGGCAAATTGCCACGTCTTTCTCTAGTTCACCCTTCTTAGTTACTTGACCTTTCCACCCTTCCACTAACCCCCTGGTTTGGCTAGAAAGCAGCAGCTCCCCAGAAGGGCTGAAGGACTCCAGCCTGACCCCAGCCTGCCCCCATGGGGGTCACCATCAATGGCACAGTCCAGCAGCAAGCAAGACTGAGGCGACTCACAGCCACAAACAAGTCAGCAATGAACTGGTTCAGTCACAGGAACTCAAAGGATACCTGCTTCCGGGTGGTTTTTGTTTTGCTTTGTTTTTTGAGACAGAGTCTCACTCTGTTACCCAGGTGGGAGTGCAGTGGCGAGACTATGGCTTACTGCAGCCTTGACTTCCCGGGCTCAAGTGATTCTCCCACCTCCCAGCCTCCTGAGGAGCTGGGACTACAGGCATACACCAGCATGCCTGGCTAATTTTTTATTTTTATTTTTTAGAGAAACAGAGTCTCACTTTGTTGCCCAGGCTCATCTTGAACCCCATGGGCTCAAGCAATCCACCCTCTTCAGCCTCTCAAAGTGCTGAGATTACAGGTATGAGCCACCGCACCTGCTGCCCTCTCTTCGGGTTTGGTACTAAATAAAAATATCCCTCCCTTACTTTTCTGATGGCTCTGGGTGCATTTTCTGGCTCTTTTTCTTCTCTTCTTTGTGGGTGGTGGTGATGGGAGGTAAGAGCAGATCCAAGCTAACATTTGCACTTCCTGGTTTGTATTTTTCCAATATCAATATGGGGCCTTAACATACAAATCTACCTGTTCTTGTTTTTCAGGCACTCATAGCTATAAACACCAAGTACACTCTTCCTGATATGGTGGGGCTGAGAAAGGAAGGGATGCCCATTCAGTTGGAGTGGATTTACTTCCCAAAGAGCAAGGTTTCCATGACACCAATAGTTTTCTTTGGATCTTTGATTGTATACTCCAAGTGGTCTATGAACGTGCCACATTTGACTCAAACATCCATCCCATAGACTCTCATAGTATGTCTACGCTGTGCAAACCGTGTGTTACAGAAATCCTAAGGCATCACTTATATGAAATGTTGAAGGAACTGTATTTGAACAGAGCTGGTCACAAAGAATTAGATATTCAGGGCTTTCTTCATTTATCCATGCCATCTGCAAAGTGCATTGACAGACAACTTACCCATTTCCATGTTTGCATAGTATTTTCCAGAAAACAGAACCAAGCCGAAGGCAAAATTCACAAAAGGAACGAGAGACTCTTGCCCCTGTTATTTTACTTTTACTCCTTTTTTCACTCTTTCCCTATTCAAGATAGCTTGAGACAGAGAGGAAAAGCAGAAGAACAACTGTGAAATAATTGGACATCTTTGCAAGAGGTCAGAGAGAGTCAAATCTTTGCTGCTCAAAATCAGTGCTTTAGGCATTGATAACACAAGTAAGCATTTGTTTCTCTTAGGCTCACTCTTCTAACAAAGTTTAGAGCTTTGTGAGTGTGTGAATGTATTTATGAAATGAAAACTAAGTTATCTGACTCTGGTGTGCTGATGTTATTCTAGTTGTTTCAGAACTGATTTCTTTGTTCTCAGTGTTGAAGCTTAGCATGCTCACAGATATTCAATATACAAAGGCATTTAACACAACTGAGAAAGAATTTAATTTGGCTTGTTTTTTTTCTGCTTTATTTTCCTTTCTGTTGTATCCTAAGCATTATTAAGTAATCAATGAATTGTATAGCTACTTATAATAATTCTCCAATGGGCATATAGTTTAATCTCAACCCATTGAGACTGAAGAAATAAAAATACAGGAAAACCCTATAACTCAATGCCTGATGAGCCTGTGGGGAAAGCAGATATATCATTCTTTGAAAACTGGTACAATGCCTTTTGAGGGCATTTGGCAATCAATGCGGGTCAAAGGTCATAAAAATGTTAGTACTCTTTGACCCTGTAATCTCATTCTTTGGAATTTATTTCAAGAAAGCAATTTAAAAGGAGAAATGGTGTATGCATTGATATATTTATAGCAGTGTTATTTGTGGGAGTGAAAAGCTGAAAATAACCAAAGTCTTAGCAAAGGGCAACAGATAACAAATTATGGAACATTGGTGTAATGGGATATTATCTATTTACTAAAAATGATAAAGATGATATATAATTAGGGCTGTGAGGAAAAACATAGCATATCTACAGGACTGTCAAAATGATGTGAAAACAGGACATACATAAATAAAACTCCAAAGTGATGATTTCTTATGATGAAGAAATGAAAACAATTGTAATATAGGATAGTATGAATCTGGGAAAAAATGTATTTACATTGAAAATGGCATATTTTAACTTTCATTTAACAACAAAGAATAGTTCTAACTTGGGAGAGAGCTTCTAAGGCACTACTCCAGTTATCAAGCAATTCCACTACCTCATTTATTCATCTCTTGTTATCTTTTCTTAATCTTTATATCTTGCCGAGTAACTTGGGTTACTCATTTCAAATTAAACAATTCTTTTAATAAAGAGACTCCAATCAGAAAAAAATAGGAGCAAGCTACATGTAAAAATAGCTCCCCTAAATACTGAAAGGCCATAAACCTAGGTACAGAGGGTGAAAAGCCACCGCCCACCAGTCCCACCTCCTCTCCCGCCCATCCTGTGAGCCTGACAAATACGACTCTTTGGACTGTGTGCTTTTCACCCAGGAGAGGAGCTGTACATCTTCGTTTTTTTAATATTCCCAAACAAGCTTTCTTGGAGAGCAAGAAGAACCAGCCACCAAATTTTTTTTTTAAAAGCAAAATATTATTCTCGATTTCTTCCTCTACATGTAGAATGGAGAATCTGTTTAGAGTCTGCGTGTGAAGGACACCCACTGCTTTCAAAATTAATATCTGAGTTGTTCCCAGAAGACAGGACTGGGCCTTGAATGTTGCAGTGGAGGCCACTGAACAGCATTATGTCATAGACAATGGTGGGGTTGTGTAGAGAAAGAAAAGGCTTTGCATGTTGGTGGGATACTGCTTCTTGCTCCCAAACTGGTCGCCCACCCTAATCCTTTCCGCTCTGTGCAAGGAACCATTTGGCTCCTGGATTCAGGGCCCGTTCTCCAAGGGTTCTGCATCAATCGTGCATTCCGTTTGCCCCACACTGGCTAATTGGGCCCAGCCCACCAGCTGCTATGGAGCTGTTTGTGTGAATGCCCTCAAAGTCGGGGCCCAGATATATGCGGGGGTGGGGGTGGGGGGCGGGGGGGAGAGGGGGAGGCGGGAAGATGCTACTGGGAGCTATTTCTTTTTTTTTTTTTTTTTTTTTTTGAGACGGGGTTTCGCTCTTGTTGCCCAGACTGGAGTGCAATGGCGCGATCTCAGCTCACTGCAACCTCTGCCTCCCAGGTTCAAGCAATTCTCCTGCCTCAGCTCCCTGAGTAGCTGGGATTACAGGCAACTGCCACCACCCCCAGCTAATTTTTGTATTTGGAGTAGAGACGGAGTTTCACCATGTTGGTCAGGCTGGTCTCAAACTCCTGGTGATCCACCCACCTCAGCTTCGCAAAGTGCTGGGATTACAGGCGTGAGCCACCTCGCCCAGCCTGGGAGCTTCTAACAGTGCACTCCCAACTAGCCTATCTACAGAAGAAAACTTACAAAAATGTGTTCCACTAAATAGGGCAGCCCACTCCCGTTTGGTCAGGGTGAATATTTACATGGACTTTTCAGGAATCCCAAAAGAATACTATTATCTGGTGTAATAAAGCAAAAGGGTCTAAATACGTTTTAGTATTTGATTACATTTCTAAATACGTTTATTTCATATGGTACCAAAGTTTGTTTTAAAATGAACAATTTTAGGTAAAGAATACTTTTTAAAGTTTATACATGTCCCTGCTTTCTTAATCAGAGTCTTATAAACACAAGTTCAACTTTTCCTGGTGACTTTTCATTAGAATTCTAAACATATTTGCTCTTATGTGAATATCCCCAACTTTTGTTTTATGGAATAGTTTTCTTTTTCTCGATTTTACACTCCTGTCTCTCATTATCAACTATCCCTTCTTGTGGTACCAGGCCTACCTTCTTGTGTTTTCAGAAGACAAACTATACCTTTATTTACTCAAATTCGGCAACATTTATTGTGCCATAAATCAAGGCCTTAGGTAAACTGTGAGATTGCAGCATGAACAGAACACACTTAAGTTTAATATTCACTTAAATCCCCATGGATGCATTGGTTGGGGGTCCTGACTGGACCACATAACTCAGATCTTTGCAGGCCATGAAAATCACCAAGCAAAACTTATTCTGTACCACCAGCCTGACCCACCTTCTGTTATGCATGTTTTCTTTCTGAGTAAAGAAATTGACACATGATATGTGGTATCGGTGGTCTAGTACAAATGAAAAGCAGATATCAGAGAGAAAGAGTGAGTAAAGAGGCTTTAGAAAGATGATGTATAAATGATCAATAAATTGCCACCTTCTATACAAATATCTGTTAATATCTCTAGATTGGATCCATCCATTTCTTCCTCCTCTAGCTTGTCATCAGATGTTAGCTGGGTACACCTAATAAATAAGGCTATGTTTGTGTAAATAGACCCGAGGGAATCGCTTCTGAGGTTAAACAAGGATACTATACTCTCCTTTTGTAGAATCCTCAGAAAGATAATTTTATTGTCACAAAATAGAAACAAAAATGAAGTTGGATGCAGGGGAGTCATTTTTCCTTATTTCCTTCTCTCTTTATATAGCTCTCAGACACAAGGAGCTTCCCAGGACTGGCCACCAGCTGGACATCCCTTTGGGGACTGAGTCCCCCATTTTTCACATTTGGTTTAATTTTCCTCATCCATCATTTCAAGTCTAATGAACTGAAAATATACTTATTTTTTAAAGAACAACAAACAAGAGGAGAAAAATTTGGTGGTGAAAATCTCCAACCATTATTTTTCTGAGTTTCAGTTCCATTTTACAACATAAATTCCTGGAAACAGACACAGTGCTGTAAAGGGCATCTGCAGATGATGTCTGTGATGGCCTGAGAACAGCAGACCCTCATCGTCTTCTGAACTGACAGACTATCTCCTCGACCAAATTCTAGTCAGGCTCCTCTGAACTCTCTTCTCAACTGAGCCCTGACTTTTGGGGTTCTGTGTTCATCTCTGCATTGTCCAAGTCTTAGCAACAATCCTGCTAAGTCATTTTAGCTAGAATCCTTCACTCCTGGTATTGTTACCAGCAGTGAATCCCTATGGGCCTACAGCAACTCGATTCTTGCCTCCTTGGAGGAGAGAATTCAGCCAAGTGACATAAGGCAGAATAAGAGACCAAGGCAAGTTTTAGAGCAGGTGTGAGAGTTTATTTAAAAGTTTTAGAGCAGGAACAAAATGAAGAAAGTACACTTGGAAGAGGGCCAAGTGGGCAACTTAAAAGATCCGGCCGGGCACGGTGCTGTAATCCCAGCACTTTGGGAGGCTGAGGCAGGCGGATCATGAGGTCAGGAGATAGAGACCATCCTGGCTAAGACAGTGAAACCCTGTCTCTACTAAAAATACAAAAAATTAGCTGGGCATGGTGGTGGGCACCTGTAGCTTGCAGTGAGCTGAGATTGCGCCACTGCGCTCCAGCCTGGGCGACAGAGCCGAGACTTCGTCTCAAAAAAAAAAAAAGATCCAAGTGCCAAGTGCTCTGTCCAACCCTTGACTTGGGGTTTCATGCATTGGCATGATTCCAGGATTTGTGTTTCTTCTCCCCTGATTCTTCCTTGGAGCAGGCTGTCCATGATACAGGAGGTAGAAAGAAATTATTCAGGCAGATAGTAAGGGCAACAGAGCCCTCGGCAGAATTTCCCTTTTAACAAAAAGCAGCCCCCAAATCATTGTCTTTCAAACAAAGAACAGCCTGAAAAATCAAGCTGCAGACATAGATAAGCAAGCTGGAAGCTTGCACAGGTGAATGCCGGCAGCTGTGCCAATAGAAAAGGGCTACCTGGGGGCCAGGTATGTTCAACATGGAGGCCCCATCTTCCCTTTCCTTTATCACCACGTGTACAGTAAAGAAACAGGCAATGTGGCACGGCCAGGTAGAGAACCCATCTGCATAACAAAGGATTAGGGTGGGGTGGCCAGTTTTTTGTGTCTTATGCAAATGGCACACCTAGCCCTAACCAGTTTTTCATGCCTTATGCAAATGACACACGTGGTCCGACAAATCTTTCGTGCCCTATGTAAATCAGACACCGCCTCCTCAAGCTCATCTATAAAACCCCACTGCATTTCACCACGGAAGCAGAAAACCCATTTGGGACCCCTCTCTCTGCAGCAGAGAGAGCTCTTCTCTTTCTTTCGCTTACTAAACCTCTGTTCTTAACCTCACTTCTTGTGTGTTTGTGTCCTTGATTTCCTTGGCGTGAGACAATGAACCTTGGGTATTACCTCAGATGAACAACGTCACTTCATCCAAATGCTTTGGTGGGCTGCCAGCACTTGGGAGGGGCCATACGCACAGTGAGTTTACTGAAGTTGTGCGCATGCTCATTTGAGGCATTTTACCCTTACCAGTTGAGCGTTCCTAGAGGAAGGTCATATACTGGTTAAACTCCACCATTTTGCTTCTTAGTGCTCATGCTTGAGCACATTTGCCAAACTCCTGAGATCTTATCAAAAAGCCGATGATCGTCTGGGAGCGGTGGCTCACGCCTGTAATCCCAGCACTTTGGGAGGCCAAGGCAGGCGGATCACTTGAGGTCAGGAGTTTGAAACCAGCCTGGCCAACATGGTGAAACCACGTCTCTACTAAAAATACAAAAATTAGCCAGTTATGGTAGTGCATGCCTGTAATCCTCCCGAGCTACTTGGGAGGCTGAGGTAGGAGAATTGCTTGAAACTAGGAGGCAGAGGTTGCAGTGAGCCTAGATCGTGCCACTGTACTCCAGCCTGGGCAGCAGAGTGAGACTCTGTCTCAAAAAAAAAAAAAAAAGGCTGCTGATCACCAGCTTCAGGTGTTTTCTGTCTATTGGGAGGCTGTCTTTCCCTGGCATTGGCTGTGACCAATTATTATTTTAGAGAGACAGTTTAACAACAACAACTGCCTGGCCAGTACCTGATGGTCACCTGACATCCCAGTGGGGAGGGGGACCCCCTCCTGGCCTGCTCATGTCTACCTAGCTACTTACTCTAACTGTATCTGATCACCTTCCAGATCTGGGGAAGTTGCTCATCCTCCACCATCCTGCAGGTGCTGTCTGATCACCCTGGCCTGTGTTCAGCAAGAAACCCATTAGGACAGTTAGCCAGAATCCCCGCTTACCCCTCATGTTTCTTCTTGGTAATTTACCATCCACTGGCACCCCTCTCACTCCTTGGCTATAAATTCCCACTTTTCCTTGTCGGATACAGAGTTGAGCCCAATCTCTCTGCCCTACTATAAAACCCCATTGTAATAGTCCCTAGACCTATTGTGATAATCCCCCTAAATGAAGTCTGCCTTGCCACGCTTTCATAAGTGTCACAAATACTTTTTTCTTTAACAGAACACAGTTTATTTTGTTACTTAGGCCCACATCTTTCTGTCTTCCAGCAATCATGCTATTCCTAAGTCATATGGAAGATGACTGTGATTCTGGGGAGAAGCTAAGTCATGCTATGATCAGGAGTGGGGTCCTGCTCCTGGCTCTGAAATCCCAAGTCACAACCACAGTGTGCGGTGGTCAGACAGCTGGTGGAGGAAGTCAGGAGGTCTGCCAGTCCTTTCCCGGAATGCTGGGCTTCCGGGAAGAAGTGAATGGCTTTGAGGCTCCTGTGCCCATCACCAACTCCAAAAGTCCCCATTGATAGCTTGTTGACATTTAGCTGAGGTTAAACTATTGCTTTGGAGGACAAAAAGTACGGCTGTGAATGTTTAAGCAGAAACAGGATATTTATTTGCATTGTCTCAAAGTATCTCCCCCTCTAAAATATTTAATAATTACAAAGGGGAAAACGGAAAGTTTACAGTGGAGAATCTCGGTGGGTATCACCTTAGCCAAGTGGTGAGGATGGTGAGGATGGCATGGTGCACTGAGACGGACACGTCAATCACTTTGTGGTTTCCTTTCCAATAATGCATAACGCTAGTCTAACCGTGAGAACGCACCAAACAAGCCCACATGGAGGGACATTCTACAAAATGACTGATCATTACTCTTCAAAAGTGGCAAGGCCCTGAAATCAAAGAAAGACTGAGGAGCTGTGATAGATTGAAGGAGGCTAAGAAGATGTGAAAACTAAATGCAACATGGAGTCCTGGATTGGGTCTTGGAATAGAAAAAGGACATTAGTGGAAAAACTGGTGATGTGAGTAAGTTCTGCACTTTAGCTAATAGTCTCATGCTTAGTATAATTTCTTAATTTTCATGTATGGTATATAAGATGTTAACAGACAGAGGGCTGGTTGAGGGGTAACCAAGTACTCTGTCCTACTGTTGCGACTCCTCTGTAAGTATAAAATTACTAGGATTTTTTAAAGTGCTGCTGTGATTCAAAATGGCTGAGTGCAGCTGAAAATGTCCATCAGTATTTTGGGGAGCAAGTGAGCAAAACTACAGTGCACTGTAAGAAAAGAAATTGCTTCTTTTAGGAAAGAGCTGCCAAGAAGTCTTAACAAATATTAGGCAGGCTTAGAGCTCTCAATGTGAGAAAGAAACCAATAAATTATCCAGAATGCTAAGAAGATTATCAATGGTTTTTACTCCTCGATCCTGTTTACATCTCCCTGCTCATTAGAAGTAATAAAGATGTACAGGTGGAATCCAGAGTCAGTCTTAATTTACTATTCCCATTTTGTTTATCATTCTGTAAAACTTCCAAAAGCTTGGCTCTACCTTTAATTCAATAGCTAGGACCAAATTGAAGTAATCAAATCAAGCTACTGTTATTATGTAAAGCTATTTTCCTGGGCCCCTGCTTTGAGTAAATGATTCCTATTAACATGCAGATTTGCTAGGGATTACCAGAGAGTCTCTCAAAATAATCATCAGACGATGTCTTTCTAAAGAATACTTTTCTCTCTGACTTGGACCAGGATTCAGTCCATAAATCTCTCCCTTCTACTCAAGGACAATTCAGGACTACTTCGTGACTAGGATGGGAAAACGGTACTCCTAATTCACAGAGTTGAACAAAACTGAAAATACAAACTCCAGCTTCCTCCCCATGCTCTGCTGGGTTTAAAGTTGTGCCACAACCAGTCATGAGGAGAAAATTCAGGGCGGGCATATGCATTAGCACTGTGTATGTGTGTGTGTGTGTGTGTGTAAATGAGAATATATGTATGTGAATAAAGTGAAGTGTAGGCATTGTATTAGGTATTATAAGTAATCTAGAGATGATTTAAAGTATACAGGAGGATGTATATAGGCTAAATGCAAGTACTATGTCATCTTCTATGGGAGACTTGAGCATCAGCTGATTGTGGTATCTGCAATTTGAAATCTTTGTTCAACTTTTATTTATAAGGGAAAAAGTTGAATAAAGATACCAAACTGCAGATATGGAAGATACTGATGATTATCAGTATATTTATTTATAAGAGAAAAAGTGGAAGTAATCTCCACTGTTCATCAATAGGGAAATGGTTAAATGATGATCCACCCACTCAATGAAATATTATGCACCCATTAAAATAATTAGTTGAAAGACTCTCTAATAACCTAGGGCAATGTTTAGGAGAAAAGTAGATCACAAACTTTTATGCACATTATAACTGTAAATATAAATGCAGTTAGAGACATAATGGAAAGAGATGACTGAAACATTAAAGTAGTTGTATTTGGGTTGTGCCATTATTGTTACAGGAAAGGGGTCCCGATCCAGACCCCAAGAGAGGGCCCTTGGATCTCTTGAAACAAAGAATTTGGGGTGAGTCCATGGACTAAAGTGAAAGCAAGTTTATTAGGAAAGTGAAGGAATAAAAGAATGGCTACTCCATAGACAGAGCAGCCCGGAGGGCTGCTGTTGCCCATTTTATGGTTATTTCTTGATGATATGATAAACAAGGGGTGGATTATTCATGCCTCTCCTTTTAGACCATATAGCGTAACTTCCTGACATTGCCATGGCATTTGTAAACTGTCATGGCCCTGGTGGGAGTGTAGCAGTGAGGACAATTAGAGATCACTCTTGTCACCATCTTGGTTTTGGTGGGTTTTAGCCGGCTTCTTTACTGCAAACTGTCTTATCAGCAAGATCTTTATGACCTGTATCTTGTGCTGACCTCCTATCTCATCCTGTAAGTTAGAATGCCTAACCATCTGGGAATGCAGCCCAGTAGGTCTCAGCCTTATTTTACCCAGCTCCTATTCAAGATGGAGTTGCTCTGGTTCACCTGCCTCTGACGTTATGGGTGATTTCACCCCCTCCCCACCCCCTCCCACCCTGCCATTTTCCTCCTTTTTTTTTTTTTTTTTTGGGAAGACAGAGTCCTCCCTTTGTTGCTCAGGCTGTAGTGAAGTGGTGTGATCACAGCTCAATGCAGCCTTGACCTGCTGGGATCAAGCAATCCTCCCGCCTCAACCTCTGGAGTAGTGCGAGCCAGGACACCTGGCTAATTTTGTTTGTTTTTGTAGAGACGAGGTCTCACTATGTTGCCCAGGCTGGTCTTGAACTCCTGGGCTCAAGATATCCTCCTGCCTTGGCCTCCCAAAATGCTGGGATTACAGGCATGAGCACCATGTGCAGCCCACTTTACAGCTTTTTATTAATAATAATGATTTGTTAAAATTTTCTTCTCCCAAAGTGAAAACGTTTTAGGGAAGGAATAAAAGCAGGAACAGGGAGTTTGTGGTGGTTTACACCAGAGTAGCTTAACTTTTTTCACCCTTCACCTCGCTCCCATGCCCAACTCCTGACCTCATCTAAAATCCTTGCACTTCTTTAAAAAGATGCCTGGTGCCTTCCCAGGCAGGAAGCCTTTGCGCACGTGCATTGTTAAGAGGAAAATGAGACTGAATGGAGCTTGGCAACCCAATGGAGCTCTCAGAGCATGGATGTGATTTGAAGTTTGGGGAGGATATTCCCTCCCACCCAACCTCCACTTCTAGGGCATCTTAAGGATTTGGTTTCTGTATTTACGACACTGACATAAATAGTTGAGCTGATTTTATTTATTTATTTATTTATAGAGACAGGATCTCCCTCTGTCACCCAGGCTGGAGTGCCGTGGCATGATCATAGCTCACTGCAGCCTCCAATTCCTGGCTTCAAGCCATCCTCCCACTTCAGCCTCCTCAGTAGAGTAGCTGGGACTAAGATGCACTCCCCACCCCTGACTAAATTGGGCCAATTTTATTTACAAACAGACTTCATAACAGGTCAATTCTGGCATTAATTTATTTCAAATGGTAAGTTGTGAAATTAAATTCAAAACTTGTAAATGAGACACAATATTATCCCTTTTATTTCCAAAGCTATTAATTGTAACTGACACTTCACCATTCTCCACGCTTACTACTTTTTATGCTGCCTTCTTTGATGAATGTATTTATGGTGCTATAGATGGTGAGGTGAAGGGTGGATGGATGCAAATTAAAATGGGCTGTGTTTTTTAAGAGGATGTATTATCACACAAACAGGCAACCAAAAGAGTGGACTTTTTGTTAAGTTTTAGAGTTATTCAGCATTCTAGCTTCAAAGATAGCCTTAAAAAATCAATGAAACTATACTTAAGAAAGGTCAGGGTGGGTGCAAATGGAGATTTAGAGACTATGAAGATTCTTAACTTTGCCAAAGTTTTAATCAAATGTATGAGAAAGTCGTATGTCTCCCGACCTCCATCCCCACCCCCACCAGTAGCAACAGGGTTTGTCTAAGGAAAATCACTACTTCCCTGACTTGTGATTGAAAGGCCATCTTAATCCTGAGCACGCCTCTGCTATTTTTAGCCCTTTGCACAAAGCACACCAGAGCCAAAGGCTGGGGACATTACTGAGCCCCTGGGGAAGAGGCTGTTGACTTGTTATTTTCCTTTAACTCTGCCAGTCCTGTGCCTGTCGAGGTGATAGTAATCCAGTTTGACATGAGATCTTGCCCCTTCCCCCACCCCAAATTCAAGCATCATTTTGATTGCCTATGGACATACTTTGCACTTTCTAGGTTTCTTTATTTTTTGAGATGGAGTCTCGCTCTGTTGCCCAGGCTGGAGTGCAGTGGCATGACCTCGGCTCACTGCAAACTCTATCTCCCAGATTCAAGCAATTCTCCTACCTCAGCCTCCTGAGTAGCTGGGATTACAGGCGCCCACCCCCATGCCCAGCTAATTTTTGCATTTTTAGTAGAGATGGGGTTTTACCACATTGGCCAGGCTGGTCTCGAACTCCTAACCTCAGGTGATCCTTCCACCTTAGCCTCCCAAAATGCTGGGATTACAAGCGTGAGCCACCGTGCCCGGTGCACTTTCTGATTTTTTAAAAAATTTCGAGGGATAGTGTACAAGAACGAGAAAGGCAGCCTACTCGACTATGAAGTCTTCTTGTTGGGGGATGGAAAAGATCATTTCTAGCCATCTCAGTGTCTCCATAGCCTAACACAGGTGTCTCCATAGCCTAACACAGGTGTCTCCATAGCCTAACATAGCCTAGCATAATATTTGAACTCTTTACATACAGCAATTCATTTAATCCTTAAGGCAACCCTATAAGCAGACACTCTGATAATTATTCATATAGAATTAAGGGAACTGAGGCTCAGAGAGGTAAATAACTTGCCCAAAGACACACAGCCAGGGCTAGACTTCAGGTTCCTTAATCAATTCCCATGTCCTTCACCACCATGCTACACTGCTTCACAGCACACCGTAGGTGCTCAATGGATGTTGTTGGCTGCATGAATGAAAGAATGCACGGAAGACTCCTAGGCAGTGTCTTGGCATTATAGGAATGCTCCTAGTCAATGCAGTGAAAAAAAACTTCCCCATTGCTCCAAGGCAAAATTAACTTTCCTTACTCTTAGTCTCCCACTCACTTTGTGCTCTGTATAGCATTTTTCTCCCACAGTTCTTTGTTCATCTAAGTGTTTTTTAAGCATTTATTATGTGCCAGACACTGTTCTAGTCACTGAGACTGGAGCAGTGAACAAAATGAACAAACTTTGCATTAATGGAACTTACACATACAAGACCAGGAGGAGACACACAGTAAAATAATAATTATGTAGCTGTATCAGGTTGTGATACTCTGCTGGTAAGCTTTCACCACTGCTTTCCCATTGATCTCTCTAGAGTGAAGCTCCATGCCCAGATAGAATTAGCTACCCAGTACCTCCCTCTTATGAACTGACTGCCAAAATCACATTTGAAGTAAGCTCCAAGAAGAAAGATAAAGACAAAACCAACCAAACAAAAATGAACCCAGAAGAGACAGAGACAACTCAGTAAACGTTTCAACAAGCAAACGTATTTTTAAAAACTATGGCCTTTTCAAAAATAGCAAGAGATTAGCTCATGAAACAAGAAGAGGAGGATATCAAAATGGATCAGAGAACCAAAATTATTGAAAATTAAAATAGAATAGCTTAATTTAAAAAACACTTTTAATAATGGTATTGGAAAATACAATTCAGGAAATCTAGAAACATATCATCTAGAAATATGAAAGGAAATTCCAGAAAAAAAATTAAATTACAGAGTTGAAATGTGTTGTTTCAAGGGTATGAAAGATGTCAGAAGAAGCTGAGCAGAGAACTGTGTTTATTTATTAGAATCTATCCAATTACTACTTGATTTTCAAATGATGGAATGCATTTTGATCAAAATAAAAGTAGTATTTTAAAGTGTTCATGATATTTGTTAAGATTTTAGAAATGTATGGCAAAACATTTTAATATATCCTGAGTGATGCGTACATTTATTGTATATGCTTTAGAGACACAATATAAATGACTTTGAGTATTAAAACTCTTAATTTGATCCAGGCTTTTGGGGGCATGGTACAAAATTCAGTGCATTTTCCTGAAAGACAAGATGTGGTCTGATTGGGTTGGCTCGTGGGTCGTGGCTGAGGGATGGCTGGTGTCCTCTGTGTCCTCAGGACTGCATGGCCTTGGACAATTGTCAGAAAGCTTTTCAGGACTTTAAGTTTTTATTTTCCTAATGACCTTTTCAGATTCCTGCATTGTTTTCACTGGGGCTATGTAAAAGGCTGTCCAGCCAGGTCTTTCCCCACGGATCTCCTTTAAGAGGCGGAACAATTCTATAACAAAAATATTTTACACCACAAATTAAGTAAGTGGCTTGGGGAGTCTCTGAGTCCCAGTTAATATTGGGATAAAAGAATACCATTTGGATTTCCTCAGCTTAGATCAGAAAATAGAGGGAAGGTGGGAGGAACCCCTCCCCTCCCACCGCCACCAGAGAAGGAAAAGAACAGGATGATTTAGGGTCATTGTTGTCTCTCTCTCCTCCCATTCCTTCTTCTGGTGAAATAAGAGGCTTAGATGAGCTGGCATCTAGGTTGTCTTGCAGCCTAAGGATTCTATGCCCACTGGTAGGACAGTTGGCTGGTCTGGGTGGTTCCTGACTCGCATCTCAGCCTTTGGACACATGGAAATCCACTCTCTGAAGTACCAGAAGACAGGAGGCTGCTAGAAAACAGCCTGTCTTTTCCGAAACAGGCCAGATAATAATGCATCTTGTAGAGCCGTAGGAAAAACATCTTATGTCCTGGCAGTGCTTTCAGTGCCTCTAAACTCACCCTGCACTCTCTGCATTTCCTCATGTACAAATACATGTCAGAAAAGTTCTTTTAGAAACATTACTCTTAGGCAATCTCCTTTCCTCACTCTGCACACACCTAACAGACAATATTAACAAGTGCTGCTGAAGACACTCCATGCTATAAAATTCAGTTATGATAATAATAGCAAGGCTGGGCACAGTGGCTCAAACCTGTAATCCCAACACTTTGGGAGGCTGAGGTGGGAGGAATGCTTGAGCCCAGGAGTTTGAGACCAGCTTGGGCAACATAGTGAGACCTTGTCTCTACCAAAAAATAAAAAATTAGCTGGGTATGCTGGTGCATGCCTGTGGTCCCAGCTACTCCAGAAGCTGAGGTGGGAGGATCACTTGAGCCAAGGAGTTCGAAGCTGCAGTGAGCCATTATTGCACCACCGCACTCCAGCCTGGGTGACAGAGTGAGACTCTGTCTCACTTAAGAGTGTGCCCACCTTTATCCTAAGTGATGTGAGCTAAGCTGCTCCATGCCCCAGTCTTTCTGGGATAAACTCAGATTTCACTTTAAAAAAGAGACAGAATGGCTTTTTGGTGAGTAACGCACCAATTTGCTGAGGAACTCACCTCTATTACAGACTTTTGTATCCGAACAGTGAGATTTCCATAAAGATAAAAGACTGGCTTTTCTTTTTCCACCCCCACAATGCCACAGGAAAGGAGCTCTTAAAGCCTAATGTGAAATTATCCAGGGAATCACCTTTCCTGCAGGAAGGAAGACTGAACACTCAACCTTGTTTCTAGCTGTTTCCTGCCTGGTAGAAATTTACTGCAGTAGAATGACTTTGGTGGAACTTAACACTGCCTGAGTATTTTACACCAAACACCTGTTACATCACAAATGCCTTCTACTCAACACCACCCGTGTCACATGCTCCTTACAAAGGCGGTGCCTGATGAGGGATTTGCTGAAGGGCCAATGACAAGAAGTCCTCACTGCCTTGCCTTTCTCTCTCTGTCTGACCATTCTGCCTCTTGTATGGGAGCGAGCGCAGGAATAAGAAGGAGAAATCAAGTTCCATTAGTTAACAACTCTGATAAAAGAGCAAGGAATAAAGGATAATAATGACACATGACTTGCTAGTGTTCTGTGGCTTTAAATTACCCAGGTCTCTCCTGGTTTCAGAGGCAAGTGAGTCAGAGCTGCCTGTGTGGTTGGACAGGTTGTTCACTGCACAAGGGCCCTGGACCAAGGCGGTGAGCAGGGACGCAAATCCAGCCTGCACCTTGCTTACCAAGACTGGTGCCCTGCACAGAGCTGAGTCCTCTTAGTTCACACAAAGCCATTATATAGGCTAGCAATGGCTGGCCCCCATTAAACCCTAGTTCACAATTCAGCTTTATGGATTAGCATTTGGGGTAGGAAATGCTAAAACTTAAAGAAAGAAAAGAAAAACTGTACAAAGGTATGTACAAAATCTGTACAAAAGAAAAACTGTACAAATGGGGAGGAGGGACTTTCGCTGAAGTCACCAGATGAAGTTGAGATTTGACGTGATGGAGTTTTTATTGGTTGCAACCAGTTTGATGGTTCACTTCAATAAGGGCACATCGAATAGAGCTCAGAAATCTTAACACTGGAGTGGGCTATCTTCCAAATGTTTTCTGAGTGGAGTGGCAGAGTTTGTTTTGTCCTCCTGGAACTCATTTTCCAAGAAAATTTTCAAAGTCTGAGGGGACTTGTCATCCAAGTGGATTTTTCCCCATCACCTTTTTCCTGCCATTCAAACATCGCTCCCCACCAATTGTGGGCATGGCAAGCTGTTCCTTCCACGGGGTTAATGGCCCATGGTGATGTTCTGGAGATGGCAGTTTGTAATATAAAGAGGCTGAATTGTTTGTTTAACAGTGAAGTGACAAATTATTTAATTAGCACATATGCCATTTGTCTCCGCAGCTGTGATCATCGGTACTAATTGCAAAGCAGTCTTAATTTATTGTAGATATATTGCTCCATGATGCTAATGTGATCATTACAAGCGGCCATTATGCCCCTGGCCCATGTTTGAAAATGAAAGCAATTCCGCCACATGGGGAAAACCACACTTCTAGTCCCGGCCAATATATGCAGCCACGACTGTCTTCCAGTGAAGGGAATATTCAAAAGAGCAGTGCTCCTTTGACATCTTCTCTTTAGGGCTTGGACCCGGTTGGTGCAGAACACCACCTCCTTTTAAAGCCGGTGCCTGATCCCACCTCCCCACCTGGAGGATAAATGACAGCACAGACCCTGGCTCTGGCTGCCAATGCGATTTGTCCTGGTCACTTGCCTGCTACTCACAAAGGGAAACCTTTTCTTTCTCTCTGCCTTTAACCAGATATGCTTCACAGGCCTACAAATGGGGAACTCAAGGCAAGGTGCCCACCTCAAGACAAATCCTGGAGGCCAACTAGGTGTTACCAGCTTCTTAGCAAGCACTGTACTCAAAGGTAGCAATCCAATATCCCCGGGAGTAGGAGCACTTGATTAGAAAGGATGTGGCTTTCTCCCCACATCTTCCATTAAACACTATATTTGCCTCTAGTAAAAGCAAGAGGTGCTGAACTGGGGAGTTTTATTTCAATTTATTGTTATCTTTTTGGAGACAGGTCTCATTCTGTCACCCATGCTGGAGTAGTACAGTGGCACAATCATGGCTCACTATAACCTTGAACTTTTGGGCTCAAGCAGCCCTCCCACTTCAGCCTCCCAAGTAGTTGGGACTACAGGCATGCACCATCACACCCAGATAATTTTTAAGTTTTTTGTAGAGATGGGGTTTCACTATGTTGCCCAGGCTGGTCTTGAACTGCTGGCCTCGAGCAATCCTCCTGTCTTGGCCTCCCAAAGTACTGGGATTATAGGGGTGAGTCACTGCACCCAGCCTGGTTTGATTCTAAAAGAGGGTCGAAACAAAATTATGTGAAACCCATCAGAGAAGGGGCTCTGGGCACCAGGAGGAAATGACACCAAACTCTCTCTAGTCTCATTGGTCATGTCTCCTGGTTTGAACTGGATGCTAAGAGGAAGGCCTTTAGCACAGCTGGGGCACTGGAACCACATGCTAACCAGCAGGGCTAATTAATGACCTTTCTGGAAAGCAGCTACCCATCTATTCTCTCATTATCCTCTTAACATCCTGAGATGCAGGCAGAGGAGGCTGTTGATCACCGCCCCCCTGCCCACCCGCCACAGGTGAGGGGAGGTGGGTGGCTGGACCAGGAAGCCTGGTGGCGTGGGAGTAGCATTGTCAGATAACGTGCAAGACACTCAGTGAAAATTGGCTTTTGGGGAAACAGCACATCACGGCTTAGTACTTGTTGTTCTGAAATCCAAATGTAGCTGGGCATCCTGTATGTTTACTTGCTAAATCTGGCATTCCTGAGTGAGGAAAAGATGGTGACAAAGAGCAGCATATCTCTTTCTAGAACCTTCGGTTGGGGCAGAGACCCAGGGTGTAAACCTAACACCCCTGCCAGTCTCCAGCCAGAAACCACGGGAGAAACCACCTGGCTTCAGCCCCAGACGCATTGCCAGGGAGTTTTTTTGAAGCTTCACTCTTTTCCTCACCGGCTCCGGAAAGTGTCTGCTTGTGAGCCTTGGGCCCTTTCCCCCTCTGGGCTGTCAGGACCCTGCCTTCCCAGCCGCTACCTTGGATAAAAGGCTTTATTAAATCAGGCAAACGTCAGCCCCACAGCTCAGTCGTAAGTTAACCAGCCGACGGGGGAGGATGGAGAAAAGTCCCCTCCTGGTCCCTCGGCATAAAGGGAGGCCCAGGGGATGGAGGCAGAGGGGACAGTCCCCAGGCCCTGGCCCTGATTTTCAGGTGGCCACTGGTCAGAACTGTCAGCTGTGCCTGTCCCCCAGACTGCAAATTGAAAACAGCAAATGTAGCTCTATTCTTTTTTATTTTCCTCCCCCCTCCATCTCTGCCCCTTTTCTCTTGTTTCTTTCTTTCTTTTCTTTTTTTTTGTCAATGAGGAATACAAGGCCACTGCCAAAAACATATCCCACACAATCAAACATCAGATGGTGACTCCTTTCCCACAGCTTGTGTGAGTGAAAACAGTGAAATTATACCCATGTTTTCGCGGCGAAGCCCCTGGTGTTCCAGCAGAGGCAAGCCTGGCGCTGGCTCTTGTTCGCCGGCTTTTTGTTCCTGCGCTCGCGGTGTTTTTAGCGCTGGACGCCATTCAGCCGGCATTCAGCATTGTATGTCGCTTCACATATGGTTCATCCGCTCCAAATGTGTGCATGTACCCAGAAAATGCAGCTTTTCATTATGTATTCTCTATGTAACAGAAAAGATTAAGATATAAGCCTGGTGAATGTGGCAGGAATTAGTTGGACAGATGAATAAGGGAAAAATGAATCTGGAATGATGGTGGATTTGGTCTAATGATTGTGGGAGGGCGTTAAGAACTTGCTGGTAGGTTTCAGCCCTTTTAATCCCAGGCTGTGTGTGTATTTTGGCAGGAGAAATGCTCCTTCAGAACTCGATCTTGAAGGGTACAGTAAAAGACAGACGCACGCACACACAGACGCCCACAAACCTTCAGCCTGAGGCGGAGACTTCCATAAGTCTGGGTCCCTGCCCCCTGTGTCTTCAAACTTTCTGAGCGGCTTGGGAGGATTCCATATTTCCAACTTCAGCTCTTAAAATACAAGAAAATAAAAGTGGGACGCCTTCAAGCCATTAATGATGCCTTCCTTTTGCATTTCATTTTATTTTATTCATCTGGACTTATATAAAGGATCCAAGCTAAGAAGGGAGGACTCTCTCAAACAAACTTGAATTGGGACAGTCGACAAAAGTTAAAATGCTTTTAGATGCTTTTGACGTGAGCACCCAAATTAGAGAGAAAAAAAAAGGGAGGGGGGTGTTCATTTATAACGCATAAACTCAGCACCCTTTAAGACTAAAACTATAGTTAGTTAAAAATGCTAGTTGACACGGTTGAGTTTTCAATCCGCAGTTGCAAAAGGTGTATGTGTTTGATAACATTTGTTTTGTGGCTTAATAGGAAGTCAGAACAGAGAAAATTTAAGATTTAGGCTTACGTGCTTCCTACAACGGTTTCCAGAGAAAGATTTTTTTTTCTAGCCAATTTTGATTGAAAATCGAGATTTGCATCACAATGGAGATAGCTCAAAAGTGTAAATACAAAAGGCTGCAACTTCAGAGACTTCTTGGTCAGATGTGTTGTTTTCTGGTATATCATCTCATAAGGGCTTTGGGAAGGGGCTTCTCTCAGATTCAGGCCAGAGGGGGCTATGTTCCCCGTTCATTGCGAAAGGTCACACAGCCAACTCCTTCTGTCAACTCATATAGAACTATTTAATGCGGGGGAAGGGAGTTAGCAATGCTTCTGCTTTTGAGGAAACTGTTTACATAATTTAATTCACAGATATTTATGGTGGGCTGAAAGGGAGCATATTAGACTATCCAATTAATTCACATCAAAAATAAGCCTTTCAGAGATTAACAAAATCAGACAAAATCTACATCCTTGTGTTGTTGCAAATTATAAACATTTTGATATTCCCTCACATAATTGTGGTCCAAAAATTAGACAAATTCCTTTATTGGAGTCCACATTTGCATATCACCATACCAATGAGCAGTAGTAGTATCAATGTTTTTCCTCTTTCAATTGAAACGAATTTGTTTGAATTTTTATTTGTAATGTGATCAATATTTCAGTGATTTAGCTGTCAGGTTCATGTTGTTCTCACAGAAATGTTAAAAGCTTAAAAGTTTCTTTTCCATAACTCGAAATGCAAGGTTATTCTAATTTTTTCCACATTCCTACAATCTTCTCATCCTGTGTGACGACTGTGGAACAGATCAAATTGAGAGCTGCAAAATGTCCTATATCCACTAACATGTTTCTTTTTTCTTTTTACACTCCAGGTTCTATTTTTCTCAGCCTATTCCGGGATCTGGACACATGAGAGAACAAAACATATGACATCAACTAAAACATCACTCGATTTTCACACCAGTTTTTATACAAGTTGATGTCTTTTGATAACCCTTTAGGATGAAAAGTGCTGACCTGTGTCCCGTCTTCGGACTTTATGTCAAAATGTAGTAGCTGGGTGCGTTGGCTCACCCTTGTAATCCCAGCACTTTGGGAGGCCAAGATGGTTGGATCATGAGGTCAGGAGTTCCAGACCAGCCTGGACAAGATAGTGAAACCCCATCTCTGCTAAAAATACAAAAATTAGCCGGGTGCAGTGGCGGGTGCCTGTAATCCCAGCTACCCGGGAGGCTGAGGCAGGAGAATTGCTTCAACCCAGGAGGCAGAGGTTGCAGTGAGCCGAGATTGCGCCACTGCACTCCAGCCTGGGCAACAGAACAAGACTCCAACTCCCCCCCAAAAAAAAAAAAAAAAAAAAAAGTTAGTTAAATGGAGCCATTTCCCTCCCTGGCTGTTTTATTAATATAATCCCTGGGTAACAGATAATTGTTGGTATATCTCTGCCTTAGGTTGTTACCATTCTTGTACAAGTTGGACTGAACCTAGCAAGGCTGCTATCTCTGCGTCCCAATTTAGTCATTTGTTGCCACACAGTTTCTGTGTTTTCTTTCCTCTCCTGTTCCTTGCAAGTGGCACAGTGAGGCATAAAATTTTTCCTTTAGCCTAGATAATCTGGCGTAATTTTCCTCAATGCTTTCCCTTTCCACAATGGGAGTCAGGTTTCCATTTGAAACAGTTTACTTCTACATAATAAGCCTTCTCTCTCTCTCTAACTCTCTTATTCTCTTTTTTTCAATCCCAGAAAATTTCATTGCAGTTTAGAATCTCAATAAACAGGCTGCTGTTGCCATAAACAATCAGGGGAAAAAAAGTGGTGTTGGCAGAAAATTTAGATCATAATTTGTCTGACGGGACAAAACAGGCATGCCCTCTGCTTTGTCTTTGTGTATATTTGGGGTTATTATCAGTGTTCTGGCTTCTAAAGCATCTTTCTGTGTTAAATACGGGGCTGGACCGTGGAAAATCAAAAAACAAACTGGCATTTGGAAGGGCAATAACTTTCCTCGAAGAAAGGAGACAGCTACCGTTGGCCTATTATTTCAAACTTACTTCTGGTTCTCCACATCTTCCAAGGTAACAAATGAAGATGGTCACCCACCTTCAGTCTCGCAGCAGCAAGAAAGCAACAGAAGCCTTCTCTCCAGGAATTAGTATAGGAAACCTGTTTGCTTTTAAAGTTCCGAGTCCTCCCATAGAGATGAAAGGGGAATTAAAGTGAGTTACCCCTGAGGAATCACCAAAGGAAAAACGGGTTGCTTTATCTGGGCTCTTCAGAACTCTTTAAGACTTGAAGATCTGGATTGAAATCCGTATAATACGTTCATTCACTAAGTCAAGATTAATAGCGTTGGTGTTGTGTCCTCCGGGGAGGGCCTCCAGAAGGCATTTGGAAATAAAGGTTGTCTTACTTTGAAATGCTTCCTCCACAGCACAGAAAAATTGATTTTTCCCCCAGTAAATATTCTTTTGGCATCTGATTTAAAGTCACTAAATGCTTTCCTCGCTAAAGATACCTTTCTCTGTCATCTCTTTCCGTCTCAAATATTGCCGGCTCTCACTGCTTTCTCCCTTCCCTGGCATAACTCTGGTTACAAATAGCCACTAGTGAGTGATATTTTGCTCTCACTTCTTAGCCATCCTATATTTCAAGGTTATCCCATTCTTTAACACTGCCCTTCAGGGTTTTGATAACAATCCTTGAAATCGCTGTATTTAGGACCAGAAATCCTCTAAGCTTGCTTTTCTTCTTAAACATGTTTTAAAATAAAAGTGGAGGGAAATCATTCTGAATTAAAATAGATTTCATATTAAGTTAGTAGCAAAAATGTGGTTTTATTTGCTTTCTGCTTTTTGCCCTGGAAAATGGGATACAGTAAAAATAAAACAGAACCCAAAGCACGATTAAATGAAGCAGGTGGCTCTCTGCAGGTAGTAAAGCAAAGAAGCAACTTGCTTTGGAAAGTTACATTCTGAAATGTACATGACTGTTGGGCAAGCTATGAAGCCTGCTGCATACTTTCAGAAGGACCCCTTCTGCAGGAACCTTCCAAATACAGTTTCAGAATTTTTTTTTCCTTTCACAATCTTTCATTCTTTCTTTGCATCTGGTTATGGTCCATTTTTAGTGGTTACTTTTTGCACGTTGGGAAGATTTTACTTTTCAAAGGCCTAAAACTGATGGCAATGCCTGTTGGCTCATTCTAAACCACCCAGACTGCGACCAGGGTTTCAGTCTGGGTTGTGCATGGGGCGATAAATCCTGGCGAAGCAGCCCTAATCCTCTACAAACCCCTGCTGCAAATTCTGTCCCTGCCATTGTGTTTTCTAACCAACTTGGGGGAATACCATATTGATCCTAAAAATGGGCAGCTTCTTAGCTTGCAAGTGGCTCCCTTTAAGAAGCACAGAGAACACGGCCTCAGGAAGCAGGGATTGCATCTCAGGGCAAAAGAAAGGGATGAGGTAAGACCCCGCAGAGGAATGCTGCCTGATGTGTGTGCTGGTTATTGTGAGTTGGTTCAGTGTTTCTGTCAGCTGTTTTACTGGTGTCTGATTAATCCCGCTGGTCACCAGGGGTAAGCCAGGGTTTCATCTGATCTAAGAACAAAACTTTTCCTCTTTTGGACAGAAGGTGGTCTGTCCAGGTCAGGGTATGGGTCACTGGAAGGGCAGCCTTCGGAAGCCTGCGTTTCACAGCAACCACTTGTTACAATTAGTTTAAAAAAAAAAAAAAAAAAAAGCCAACATGCGGTGAATTGACACTTTTGTGGGTCCCTGAGTCTGGACGGTGCAATTGTTCTGGAAAACAATGTCAGGATCTTCATTTGAAAGTGGAGAGGGTACAATGGTATTTCAAGTAGCAAAATCCCCACGCTCTGAGCCATGTGGGGATTTCATTTCCTTCAGTGTCTAGAACCCTATTCCCCTTCTCTGTACCAAATCCAAGTGTATTAAATGAAAATGCACAAATGAAGAAGGGTTAAGTTGAGCAAGACGGCATCTGTGCATGCTGTCCTAGCCTGCTCCTCAACCGGGCTGACAAATCATTTGCAGAATTGAAATTAGGAAAAGGTCCCTTGACTCTTGGGACAGAGTGCCCTTGGACTCTGGCAGAGTCTAGACAGTAACCCCCCTCTGCCCGCCCCACCCAATGTCAATTCTGTTCTGCTTCCTTTGCAGTAGAGGCCCCAGTTTATACCTGGGCACAGGTCCACGTGGAATAACAACACTGCATTTTGCAGTATTGCTTCCAGCTAAGTGTGTCCTTGAGACTAAGTCCTAGCCAAAGGCTGAAGGTAGAAGTGGTATACAACTTCCAGAAAGCATACTGTAAGGGAAGGGACATTCCCTTCTTTGCTCTCCTTTCTTCCTGCTGACTGGAATGCAGACGTGATGGCTGGACCTCTGGTGCTATAAGAAGCTGTGCTAAGGAGGTAGAGCAGCCCCTCAGGACCTATGGAGCAGAGCCATCCCACCAACCCTGGGCACATGAGACAGAAATAAACTTGGGTCATTTTCAAGCCACTTTTATTTGAGGCCTTGCTTTCAGACAGATGAACCTAATTCTAACAAAGGCAGATGCTAAAGAGATTCTCACTTAATCCTGCCTAGTCCGGATGAAAGTTCTAAAATATTTGTTTCTAGAGACTCCACTGGAAAAGCCAAGTGAGAAGATGTCACCAGTCCCACGTGACAAGCTGGCCTGGCCCTGCCCCAGAGGAGGGTGGTGACAAGGATCAGTAAGCTCTTGTGAGCAAAGCTGCGTCTGCAGGAAGCCAAACCACCCAGTCATGCTGTCCTTTCATGCTAATTGCTGTTTGATGCAAAGCCACTCAAACAAGTCTAGGGACATTTATCAGATAGACAAGGAAAACTAATTCTCCACTAATTTTTTTTTATTTTCAACTGATTTTTGTAGCTTTGTGTGGACTCTTCACCTGGTTAAACAGGCCCCAGAGATAGAGAAGGAGAAATATTTCAGCTGCATTGGGACAAAAATAAATAAATAATAACAAAGGCTAGAGGATCTCAAAACTAAATGCCAAATGGGGAATTATTTGAGCTTAAATAATTTTCTTTTGCAAAACGAAAATTTAGGAGTTTTGCTTTCAATTTTATGTTTTCTAATACAATTAAAGCAAGGCCTGGACTGGTGTAGAGAAATGTGTAGAAAACACTGAATAAATGGGAGCTTCAAGTCTCTGTAAGTCCTAGCTGTTAATGTCCAGCAGAGGTGGCAGGGAGCACACTGATGCCACCCCCTGTGAGGTCATCTAGATGTTACCCAAAAGGAGTTCTGATCCAGACCCCAAGAGAGGGTTCTTGGATCTCACGCAAGAAAGAATTCAGGGTGAATCCATAGAATAAAGTGAAAGCAAGTTTATTAAGAAAGTAAAGGAATAAAGAATGCCTCCTCCACAGACAGAGCAGCTCCAAGGGCTGCTGGTTGCCCATTTTTATGGTTATTTCTTGATGATATGATGAACAAGAGGTGGATTATTCATGCCTTCCCTTTTTAGACCATAAGGGTAACTTCCTAACATTTCCATGGCATTTGCAAACTGCCATGGCACTGGTGGGAGTGTAGCAGTGAGGACGACTAGAGGTCACTTTTGTCAGCTTCTTTATTACAACCTGTTTGGTTTGGGTCAGCTTCTTTATTACAACCTGTTTTATCAGCAAGGTATTTATGACCTGTATCTTATGCCAACCTCTTATCTCATCCTGTGACTTAGAATGCGTTAAACATCTAGGAATGCAGCCCAGTAGGTCTCAGCCTCATTTTACCCAGCTCCCATTCAAGATGGAGTTGCTCTGGTTCACATACCTCTGAAACAGACATTAACAAATGGTGTTGGGACGAAGGATATCCACATGCAAAAGAATGAAATTGGACCCCCTCCATCACACCATACACAAAATTTAATTCAAAAAGGACTAGAGTGCTAAATATAAGAGCCAAGACTATAAAAGTCTTAAAAATCCTTAACCTTGGATTAGGCAATGATTTCTTAGACATGACACCAAAGGAATAGACCAAGGACAAAATAGATAAAGTGGACTACCTCAACTTAGATTTTTGTGCTGCACTATCAAGAAAGTGAAAAGATGACCCACAGAATAGGAGAGAATGTTGGCAAATCATGTTATGTGAGAAAGAACTGGTATCCAGAATATATAAAGAACTCTTACAACTCAATAAGAAAAAGACAAATAAGTCAATTAGAAATGGATAAAGCCTTTAAGTAGACATTCTCCAAAGAAGAAAAACACATAGCCAATAAATACATGAAAAGATGTTCAATATTATTAGCCCTTAGGGAAATGCAAATCAAAATTACAGTGAGTTACCACCTCACACTTGCCAGGATGGGCTAGAATCAAAACCACAGATAATTACAAGGGTTGGTGAGGATGAGGAGAAATAGAAACCCTCGTAGTCTCCTGGTGGAAATGTAAAATGGGGCAGCTGCTTCAGAAAACAGTTTGGCAGCTCCTCAAAAGCTTAAAAATAAAGGTTCCTTAAGACCCAGTAATCACATTCCTCAGTATATATCCAAGAAGAATGAAAACATATGTCCAAACTAAAACTAGTACATGGATGTTCATAGCAGTATTATTCATAATAGCTAAAAAATGGAAGAAACCCAAATGTCCATCACCTAATAAATGGAGAAATAAAAGGGGTATATCCATACAATGAAATATTATTCAGCCATGAAAAGGAATGTAGAACTGATACATGCTATGACATGGATAAGCCTTGAACACATTATGCTACGTGTAAGAAGTCAGTCACAAAACACCACATATTATGTGATTCCATTGATATGAGATGTCCAGAACAGGCAAATCTATGGAGACAGAAAATAGATTAGTGGTTGCCAGGTGCTGGTGGGAAGGGGAAATGGGTAGTGATTGCTAATGGGTATGCAGTTTTTGCGGGGGTGATGAAAATATTCTCAACTTGGATTGTGGTGATAGGTGCCCAACTCTGAATATACTAACCCCATTGAATTGCATATTTTAAATGAGTAAATTTTATGGCATGCAAATTATGTCTCAACAAAGATTTTTTAAAAAGGGAAACAGAATTGACCCAGCAGCCAAAATGAAATCAGCCCCAAAGCAAAGAACCTCTACCCATGATCTGGGGTTTTCAACCCTGCTCTCAAAGCCTCTTATTAACTGCCTGGTCTCCAGGGTCTTGTCTCAGCCTGCCTGGCTCAGTCTCTGGTTGATGCCCAAGGCTTCCTGCCTTGATTGGGCTTCTCTGGACTCTAATCTGTTTCCTGCCCAGACTCACACACTCCACCAGCCCCTTTCTGCTTACCTAGCTCCTGCTCCCACTGTGTCCTGACCAATACCTGTCTCACTGTACATATTCCTGGTGTAACCACACTGCATCCACACTGTCACAGTTGTCATTTATTGAGCACAACTATGTGCCAGCTGATGCCCCAAGAGCTTTACATGTTGTAACTTATTTAATTCTCAAAACAACTCTCCCTTTTGTTTGGAGACAGGATCTTGCTCTGTTGCCCAGGCTGGAGTGCAGTGGCATGATCATGGCTCACCTTAACCTTGAACACTTGGGCTCAAGCCATCCTCCCACCTCAGCCTCCTGAGTACCTGGGACTAAGGTGTGTGCCACCACACCTAGCTAGAACAACTCACTTTGATACAAGTTCTATTATTGTCTCAATTTTACAGATACAGAAAATGAGGTCAATGAGATCACCAAGTTCACACAGTCAGTGAATGGAGCAGGAGGATTTGAATCTTACTCGAGGGATGACTCACAACCATGGGCCACATGGCCTCCCCTGCGATTTGTTGATGATAGCTGATGGAAGCCAAGATCATGGCTTCCAGATTTTCTCTTTGGAGCCAAGTCACACTTATGTGGAAGGACTGGGCTTCTTCACTCCTTCTCCTTTGAGATCTCCTTGGACCCCTTTTTCTCATTTTTTTGCACTCTTCTTCTTGAGATTCGTTTTGCTTCCCATACCTACAGCCAGCACCTGTGGCTTCCCTTGGTCTACTGGAGCCCCACTTTACTCAAAGATGTGGAGCTGGAAGTGCCTGGGAATTTGTATTCCCCCAAGGTGGGCCTGATCCTCTAACTGATGGCATGCAAGTAAGAAAAGCCCAGCTTCCTTGCTTCTACTGGGCATAACTCTGGGGTAATTTACACTCCACTGTCCCCTGCAGGATCAGGTGACAGTTGCCTTGGAGCGATTTTGCCTGAGATCATACATTTGCTCGGTTTCCTCCCTCTCCGTGTCCTGCTTCTTCACTCACTCACCTCTTTTCCCTGGGAGCTTATCTTTCATAAATGACTTGCACATGAACTTTGTCTCTGGGGCTCCTGGGAAACCCAGCCTAGGATAGAACCTACGTAAAGTACTGAGCATGGCCTAGAGCACGTAGTATGTGCTCATTAAATGGCCACTGTTCTTGGCTTTGCTGTTCTAATAATCATAGCTTATGAAGGATGCTTTTCTTTTCTCCACTAATTCTTGAGTTATGACAAAGAGGTGGGGGAAGTAGAAAACTTGAGATCAGGGGTCAGTCTTGGATTCCAACCCTGTTTGCTTCTCTTAAGAGCTATTCAGCTCTTACACCAGATAGCTGATGCTCCCATCATAAAATAACTTTCACATCTGGCCTTGAAGGTACCAGCTGATATATTTTAAAAATTTAAGAAATTTTGAGAGAAGTTAGAGGATTTAGGCCTCCAAGCAGCTAGCTTCTAATGCTTTCCCAGTCTTGCCTCCTAAAAATAAAAATCAAATATTTATTGAGAGTAAAATGTCCAAGTATTAAAAAACCTCTTATAACCACATATCAAATGATGGTCCTTGTCATACAGCAAGGCCTTTCCTAAGTGCTTTAGAGATGTTGATTAATGCAAACTTCTCAACAACTCTGTGAAGCAAGTGCTATCATCACTCCCATTTTTATGGGTCAGGGAACCAGAACAGAGAGGTTCAGTCACGTGCCCAAGTTCACCCAGGCTGGTTGTGAACTTCAGCAGCGTGGCTCCAAAGTCCATGTTCTAAACCATGAGACTATTCCACCTTCCTGTAATAGAACAGGGTGGTCTCATGAGTAGGCAATGGAAGCAGTCAAAGTCCATATCCCTTGAGCGCCTGCTATGTGCAGAGACGTCCAGTTGCCTGAAAGAACTACCATTAGCGTGCACATGTGCACACACACACAGACACATACACACACACTCACACTAACCTCCCCCCAGAGCCAGAGCCTGACATTACCACTGTCTGGTTAAGTCTCCAGGTCTCAGGTAAGGCTACCATGACTAGGTAAACCCACCTATAACCATGAATAGCTCTTGGTATTCATAACCCCAGGTATTCATGGTATTCATAACCCCAGGCATACTCATTTTGTTGCATTGCCCAGCAATTCTCCAATAAAACTATGATCTAATCTTTTCTGATAGTTTCTACTCTGTGGAAGTCAGAAAGTGTGCTGGGAGTATCTGTGTTTTGTAGCACCTCAGAGGTTTCCTCCACAGAGGAGCTCAGAAAGCCTTTGGTGGATGCGTGAATGAGGGAGAAGGGAGAGGTCCATTCAATGGTTTTCCAACTGTGTTCTGAGGAATCCTGGGGTTCCATGGAGGTCCTGCAGGTGCACCAGATCAAGAGAAAGGCCACGCAAGGGGGATGCCAGAGGTATCCTTCTCCCCATCCTGTCCTGCCTCCAGACCCCTTGCCCACCCTCTTCTCACTTCAACCAGAGAAGCTCTGCCTCAATGTTTTTCATATCTTTGTCTGCCACTCAAACAATATTTGAAAACCCCTTTTGGAAGGAAGGTTAGATGACCACAGTCTCCATGTTCTCACTGCTTAGCCTGCAATGAATGTGCTGATGCGGCCTGTGACATTCTGACCTGCCACCACCCTTGAGACCCCTGTCTTGCTCCCTGATGATGTGGGTTTTTTGTTGTGTTGTGTTGTGTTGTGTTGTAAGACAGGGTCTTGCTGTGTTGCCCTGGCTGGAGCGCAGTGGTGCAACCACAGCTCACTGCAGCCTCAACCTCCTGGGCTCAAGTGATCCCCCTACATTGGCCCCCGAGTAGCTGAGATTACAGGCACGCACCACCATGCCTGGCCAATTTTTGTATTTTTTGTCAAGACAGGGTCTGGCCATGTTGCCCTGGGTGGTCTTGAACTCCTGAACTCAAGCAATCTCACCATCCTGGCCTCCCAAAGTGCTGGGATTACAGGCATGAGCCATGGTGCCCAGTCTCCTGATGATGTTTGACACATGAGTCACGGCCCCTCCTGGGGGCTCTGGCTCTGCTAAAGTCTTCTAAACTCTCCTAAACAAATGCTGAGCCAGCTTGAGATTGGCCAGGGGTGAAGGTGTCTGTTTTTCAGTCATCCAGATACAGTAGCCTGTCATTGAGTCCTTTCCCTGCATTCCTGCACATCAGCCTTGCTTTTAGGGGCGGGAAAGCTCAGGCCAGTCAGTCTTAGTGTGTCTTGGTGACTCTGGTGAAACCTTGGTGCCAGGTACCTAGGGAGCATTCTCTATGTTCCTTATTACTGGAACCCTGGGGGTCTCTGAGTGTGGTTCCCTGGCCAGCAGCGTCAGTATCGCCTGGGATCTTGTTAAACATGCAAATTCTGAGGCCCACCCCAGACCCGCTGAATCTGACTTGGGAACTCTGGAGCAGGACCCTGCAGTCTGTGTGTTAATGAGCCCTCCAGGTGACTCTACGGCTCATTGGAGGTTAAGAGCCTCCGCTGCAGATCATTAGAGTCAGCAGTGTCCATTCAGTTTTCTGTGTATCCTCCTGTGAGTCTGTAACCAAGTGGTAATCAAGCTCTGTGTCTTGGAGCTGGAAAGGGTTTGGGAAGAGCCCATTAGGATCATATATATTTGCATATTATGATTGGAGGAACCTGTTCAGACCACACAAAGGTATATGAAAACCAGAACCCATGTGTTCCCCATTCCAGAAAAACCCTCAGCACCTTTTTGTATCTAGGTCTTCCAAGAAAGAAAACATCAGGACCAGGTGCTGTGGCTCACACTTGTAATCCCAGCACTTTGGGAGGCCAAGGCAGGTGGATCACTTGAGCCCAGGAGTTTGAGACCAGCCTGGGCAACATAGTGAAACCCCGTTTCTACAAAAAATACAAAAATTAGCCGGGCATGGTGGCATGCTCTGTAGTCCCAGCTACTAGGGAGGCTGAGGTGGGAGAATCACTTGAGCCTAGAAGGTCAAGGCTGCAGTGAGCCATGATCACACCACTGCACTCCAGCCTGAGCAACAGAGCAAGACCCTATCTTAAAAGAAAAGAAAAGAAAAGAAAAGAAAAGAAAAGAAAAGAAAACACTGGGCAGGATTCTGCCCCCAAAGTCAGGAATCCTGGAATGTTGAAAAGCCATATGATGTCCTAGTGTCCAAAGCCATCCAAGAGGACAGGATCAGAGCGAGTGGGCTTTGGGAAATGCCCCACTTTCCAGGGAACACTAGGAAGCTCTAATCACCTGACACTTGGAAATGCTCACTTCGTCCTTTTTAAAGTAAGTTGTTTATTTTCACTGGTAGCTAGTGATACTGAATATTCTATCAAGCTTTTCGAGTACTATGGACTCCAGAAATGCTAAGGAAGGAATACTTACTGGAGAAGTTTGCTCTACGGTGTTCTCAGAACACTGAAATGCCTCGCCCTATTAAGTCCTGTGAGTTCTCAGTTTCTGTGAGGTGCTTCGCTCTTAAAAATATGCCATGTCTTTAATTCTCTGTGGCTATTTTTTTCTGTATTGTTTTTGTTTTTTTGAGACAAAGTCTCACTCTGTCATCCAGGCTGAAGTGCAGTGGTGTGATCTTGGCTCTCTGCAGCCTCCACTTCCGAGGTTCAAGTGCTTCTCATCTCTCAGTCACCCAAGTAGCTGAGACTACAGGCGTGTGCCACCATGCCTGGCTAATTTTTGCATTTTTAGTAGAGCCAGGGTTTCAGCATGTTGGCCAGACTGCTCTCGAATGCCTGGCCTCAACTGATCCACACACCTCAGCCTCCCTAGTAGCTGGGACTACAGAGCATGCCACCATGCCCAGCTAATTTTTGTATTTTTTATAGAAACGGGGTTTCACTATGTTGCCCAGGCTGGTCTCAAACTCCTGGGGTCAAGTGATCCACCTGCCTTGGCCTCCCAAAGTGCTGGGATTATAAGTGTGAGCCACAGCACCTGGTCCTAATGTTTTCTTTCTTGGAAGACCTAGATACAAAAAGGTGCTGAGGGTTTTTCTGGAAAAACCCTGGGATTACAGGTGTGAGCCACCTGGGATTACAGGTGTGCGCCACTATGCCTGGCCTATCTTTTCTAAACACAAAGCAAGGCTTCACAGATGCTTATTTTTGGTTATTACTTTTCTGTGTCTGTTTGCAAATTCTTTGACATATTTTCTCATGGATGTGCGCTACATCTTTCCAAAAGCATGCAGTCCTTTCCCCACTGCACGCCGTTCTGTGAAAACACACTACCGTGTGTGTGCGAGATGGAGGGAAGTCATTTCAGAAAGGCATTCAACTCCAAACTTTGAATCACATTATTTAAATGTACCAAACAAAGAACAAATGCATTTCTCAATTATAGAACCCATCTGTGAGGTGCTTTCAAAACACGCAGTTGTGCAGCCAGACATTTGATCAAATTCTTAAATCATCTTGAAACAGTAGTTGCCCCCCTGCCCCTCTCCACGTTTGCTTGTGCAATATGATAGCATTGTATGTTTCACTTTTTAAGTTAAATATGTTTTCCATTTACTCCAACCAGCAACAAAGTGATTCCAAACCACTGAGGGTGGCAATAAGCAGTGATAACCGCCTCTCGGAAAGAATTGTCACCAATCAACTTGAACCTTCCAGTGCCCAGGCTGGAATCAGTTTTCTCTGGCTGAAAACAACTACCCCTTCCTCCGGGGAGGTGTAGGCTGGATGCATCATTAGCACCATGTGGAGGAAGTCCTGTTCTCAAAACTCCATAGCTGTAATGTCAAGAAACCAGGAGAGACTTTAGAAGCCATTTGTTATGGGTTGAATTGTGTTCCTGCAAAAGACGTTGAAGTCCCAACCCTCAGTACCTGTGAATGTGACCTTATTTGGAAACAGGGTCTTAAGATGAGGTCATCAGGGTTGGCACAAATCCAATATGGCTGCTGTCCTTATGAAAAGGGGAAATTTGAACAGACAGACACATACACAGGGAGAATGCCACGTGAAGATAAAGGTAGAGATTGGGATGTTGCATCTATAAGTGAAGAAATGGCAAAGATTGCCAGCAAACCACCAGAAGTTGGGAGACAGGAATGAAAGAGATTCTACCACAGCGACTTCAGATGGAACCAATTGCGCAGACACCTTGATCTTGGATTTCCAGCCTCTAGAACCAAGACAATATATTTTTGTTGCTGAAGCCACCCAGTTTGCAGTGCTTCATTGCAACAGCCCTAGGAAATTACCATGCAGTCCACCTAAGTCTACAGATGAGCATCTGAGTCCCATTAATTAGGTAGTTACGGCAAAACTGAGACTTCTTAGAGCCTGATTTGGGGTCCAACAAACTTTCCATTATTGTGTCGCTAAACTCACTACCAAAGGCAATAATCATAGGCCTTGCCTTGAGAGATCACTTAGCATCCCTCTCCAGGGCTTGTTTTCAAATCAAAATCTCCCTCTCAAGCACCAAGGGGCTGAGAATACAAAGACACCCAAGATTCAGCCCTTTCGGCGAGCCGGTCTCCCCGTGGCGAAGGTTTATTTAGCTCCAGTGTCAGGAAGTTTTGCCGAGGCTCTTTGAGTAGAAGAATGGCAGAGGAACCAAAGTTGGTTAATGAGGGGCTGAGATGAAAGAGAGACAGTTGAATCTGTCTTCTTTCTTCTCACCCTCGGGACCAGGGCGGTGTAAAGACAAATACAAGAATACCTTGATAGTCGCCAGTCGCCTCCTCCTCTCTTGAGCGCCCTCTGGTGTTCTCAAGTAAGACAGCAGTAGCTCATTAAGGTTGCAAAGGTGCCTGAGCAAAGGCGCAATTCCTTTATTTAGAAAGCTGGAGGAATTCTTTCGGGTAACTCATTTTCAGAGTTTAATATCCTTCAACTTTCCAAGGACAACAGAGGTAGCAATTCTGAGCTCAAATTTTGGTTTGCTTCCTCACTGTTTTCGGCATTCTTTCTGACCTCAAATTTCACTACCGCGTGTCTTTTACGATGACTTTTTCCTGTTCCACTGACCTTGCCCATACCTCACATACACCGGTTCTGAGAAAAAGGAAAAAGACTCTGACCCCACTTCCCTGGGCACACAGGCAGAGTCGGGCTAGTCTCTAAAGCAGAGTTTCTCAACCTTGGCACCACTGACATTTGGGACCTGACCACTCTCTGTTGTGGGGGCTGTCCCGTGCTTTGCAGAATGCTTAATAGCGTCCCTGGCATCCACCCAACAGAGGCCAGCAGCACCCCCCTCACCTTGTCACAGCTAAAGATATTTCAGATATGGTCAAACGTACCCTTATGTTCCCTAGGAGGTAAAATCACGCCATCGATTGACCTAATGTGCTCTCTCTCAGTATACATACTTTTTTTTTTTTTTCTTGGAGACGAAGTCTCACTCTGTCACCCAGGCTGGAGTGCAGTGGTGTGATCTCAGCTCACTGCAACTTCTGCCTCCCAGCTTCAAGCAATTCTTCTGCCTCAGCCTCCTGAGTAGCTGGGATTACAGGCAGGTGCCACCAAGCCCAGCTAATTTTTTTGTATTTTTAGTAGAGACGGGGTTTCACCATGTTGGTCAGGCTGATCTCGAACTCCTGACCTCGTGATCCACCCACCTCAGCCTCACAAAGTGCTGGGATTACAGGCATGAGCCACTGCGCCTGGCCAGTATACATACTTTAAAAGCACTTTCCCCTCAATGAAAATGAAACTACCACTCAAAGTTCTTTTTGATTTTTGGATGTCATTTACAATTGTGTGTGTGTGTGTGTGTGCATGTGAGAGACAGGGTCTTACTCTATCGCCCAGGCTAAAGTGCAGTGGCACAATCTTGGCTCACTGCAACCTCTGCCTCCTGGGCTCAAGTCTCAGCCTCCCAAGTAGCTGGGACCACAGGTGCATGCCACCACACCCAACTAACTTTTGTAGTTTTAGTACAGAAGGTGTTTCACCATGTTGCCCAGGCTGGTCTCAAACTCCTGAGCTTAAGCAATCCACCCGCCTTGGTCTCCCAAAGTGCTGGGATTACAGGCGTGAGCCACCATGCCCGGCCATCAGAAGTACTTTTATGAGCTAGCCTCTGAAGTCAATACCATTATTCCTTAAATATCCTATTGGTTACACAAGTCAGCTCTGTGTATATGGGAGGGGACTATACAGGATGTGAATGCAAGGAAGTGAGAATTACTAGGGGCCATCTTGGAGGCTGGCTATCACACTGCTGAGATAAGGAGGGTACAAGTGTTTGCCACTAGGGAGTGTAGACAACAAAGTGGCAGTGGTAGGAGTGGATGCAGGTGACTACCAAAGGCTGTGCTGTGGAGTGGATGCTCCTTGCCCAGCTGGGAAGAGCCTTCCTCCATTTTGAATTGCCATTTGCGACCAAGTCCTGTTTATCTCTCTCCAGAATCCAGGAGCATAGCTGTCACTTTGTGTCTTTGACAGAAGCAACTAAACATTGCAGAGGAGACACAGGGTGTCTATCTTCTATCTGGTTACCAGAAAGTCATCCATAAAAATAAGCTATTCCCTGCTCATCAAATCTCCCAGGTGTATGCGCACAAGAAAATGTCCCACAGGACTCCTTCTCATGCACATTTGCTTGTAAGATTTATGCCAGATTTCTCACCAACCAAACCTGCCCCGTCTGCCCCCAGAGGAACAGAAAGCAAAGGATGTTTCCGTTCATTTCTTCTTGTTTCCTTCTTGAATGTTTATGAGATCAGGCCAAAGTCCCCCATGTATCCCAACTCCTAGAAATTATCCCAAATCAACACCAAATGCTGCATAAGTCCTGAGCATCAGCTTTTAGATTTAAGGGTAAGCCCTGATACTACCTGCCATGGGTTGAATTGTATCCCACCAAAAGATATGTTCAAGTCCTAATTTCCAGGACCTCAGACAAATGTGACCTTATTTGGAAATAGAGCCACTGCAGATGTAATTCGGGTGAGGTCATGCTGGAGTAGGGTGGGCCCTAATCCAGCATGTCTGGTGCCTCTATAAGAAGACAGCCATGAGAAGACAGAGACACAAGGAGAAAGCCGTGTGAAGATGGAGGCAGAGATTGAAGTGATGCAGCCACAGGTCACAGCAGGTCCGAGGCCACCAGAAACTGGGAGAGAGAAGAAGGCATCCTCCGTAGAGACCTCAAAGGAAGCAGGCCCTCAAAGAAAGCAGGAGAGATAAGAAAGCCTCCTCCCGTAGAGGCCTCAAAGAAAGCACCTTGATTTCAGACTTCTAGCCTCCAGAGTTTTCAGATAATAAGTTTTTGTGTTTTAGGCCACACAATTTGTAGCATGGCATCTACAGTTTCCACAACTGTGCATTCAACCAGCCACAGGTCGAATATATTTGAAAGAATATAAAAAATAACAATACAACCATAAAAAATAATACAAATTAAAATACAGTATAACAACTATTTGCATAGCAGTTACATTGCGTTAGGTATTATAAGTAATCTAGAGATAATTTAAAATATATGGGAGGATGTGCACAGGTTATATGCAAATACTGTGCCATTTTATATCAGGGACTTGAGCTTCCTCTGATTCTGGTGTCCTGTGAGGGTCCTGAAACCAATCCTTCACAGAAACCAAGAGATGGCTGTATGGTACGTTGTTATGGCAGCCCCAGACAATGAATACACTATTGTTATGGTGAAATTAACTTCTCTCCATTGTAAGCATTTTTAATGAATGAAGTAGACTTTCCTATGATTTTTTTTCGCTTTTGCTGCTGATGCTCCTGATTCCTACAAATCACTACCATTATTACTTAATACTACAACATAGCATTTATCAAGCAGAGAAATAAAATTATTTTGACCCCCAAACTGGGTTTTCACCCAATCACCTGATAACGCAATATAACTGCTTAGGAGAAACATTGCAAAGTCGACACAGATAAAAACAATTACGTGATGTTTTGAGGAACTGCAGCAAGTGTGGAAAGCAAAGTCTATTAGTCCGTTCTCATGCTGCTATGAAGAAATACCTGAGACTGGGTAATTTATAAAGGAAAGATGTTTAATTGACTCACAGTTCCACGGGGCTGAGGCCTCAGGAAATTTACAATCATGGCGGAAGGGGAAGCAAACACATCCTTCTTCACACGGCAGCAGCAAGGAGAAGTGCCGAGCAAGGGGGGAAACGCCCCTTATAAAACCATCAGATCTCGGGAGAACTCACTACCGCGAGAACAGCATGAGGGTTACAGCCCCCATGATTCAATTACCTCCCACCTGGTCCATCCCATGACAGATGGGGATTATGAGAACTACAATTTAAGATGAGATTTGGGTGGGGACACAGCCAAACCATATCAGGAGGCTTTTCAAAGGAAACCTGGCTATCAATCATTTAGGGAGGGTCTCCACCTGCCAACTGAGAGTTACAGAAGCAGAGCCCTGGGGAGAGGAGCTGGCAGGTAAATGCATGGATGTGAGTCACACAGGAGGCCTCATTTCCAGCCCCAACAATTGTTTGTGACCTGGGCAAATGGCTTAGCCTTTTGCACCTACGTCTGTTAATCTGTGAAATGATGATAATTCCTGCCACGTGGACAACACAAGCAGGGGTTTAGCACCATGCCTGGCACACAGTAAGCTCCCAGTAACTCCCAGTAAGTGGCCGCCACCGCACTTTCCTGATGCCACCATTATTCACAACCATCATCTTCAGTGATCACAGAAGATAGTCCCAGTGACGCAGAGAAGACAGCGAGGCCATGTGTTCACCAAGCTCAAGGAAGCAGCTGGTGAAGGGTCACAAATGCGGCTTCAAATGGTGGAAATGGACTCTGTCACTAACTGGTTCTTCCCCTTATGTGACTTTGATTGAGTCCTCTAGCCTCTCTAGAGGTGAATATGGAGGGAAATGAATCAAACATTGAAATACTCAGCCTATAGGGTGATTTTGAAAATTTAATAGGAAAATATACGAAAGAGCATTCTGGAACATAGTAAAGGCTCTGCAAATAACATTTGAATATAAATAGTGATTTTGTTCACAACCATAAAGGTAGCATTAAACATATATATATATATACGTTTGACACATATCTTGGAGGTTTCACCACAGATTGGAATAATGTGTTCTGTTAATTGGGCCAGTGGTATCATAATAAATTAGCATTAGATTAACTGAAAATATAAAAACAGATTAGCAGAGGTTGCAGTGAGCCAAGATTGCGGCACTGCATTCCAGCCTGGGCGACACAGCGAGACTCCATCTCAAAAAAAAAAAAAAAAGAAAGAAAGTACTTCTGACTTCTGCCTTGCTCCCTCTTGGATCACCATCTAAGAGGGAAGCCAGCTGCCATGTTGTGAGGCCATTCAAGCAGGCTGTGAACAGCCCATGAGGGAGGAATTGAGGTTTCCCACCAACAATTAGCACCAACTTGCCAGGTGTGTGAGTGTGCCTCCTTGGAAGCAGACCCTGCAGCCCCAATCTAGCTTTCAGAAGACTACATCCCCAGGTGACACACGACATGAACCTCAAGAGGGACCCTGAGTCAGAACCACCCAGCTAAGCTTCTCCTGAATCCGTGACCCATGGAACTGGGAGATAAAATAAGGTTTGTTGTTGTTGTTGTTTTGAGACAGAGTCTCACTCTGTCACCAGGCTGGAGTGCAGTGGCCAATCTCTGCTCACTGCAACCTCCGCTTTCTGGGTTTAAACGACTCTCCTGCCTCAGCCTCCTGAGTAGCTGGGATTACAAGGATGTGCCATCACGTTTGACTAATTTTTGTATTTTTAGTAGAAACGGGGTTTCACCATGTTGGCCAGGATAGTCTCGATCTCCCGACCTTGTGATCCACCCGCCTCGGCCTCCCAAAGTGCTGGGATTACAGGTGTGAGCCACTGCACCCAGCCGGTTTGTTGTTGTTTTAAGCCCATAAGTTTTAGGGTGTTTAATTACACAGCAATGGATAACTAATATGGGGAGGTCTAAACCTATAAGGCAGATAGGACAGAGTTCCCAATGAGGAAATATCCCTTGTAGCTATAATCGGAACCTGATGTTGCCCTTTCTAATCTAAAAGACTTCAGCAGAACAGAATTCCTTCACCCTGACACTGTGGGGTTTATTTTGTCAGTGCCCTAAGAAACAAGCCAGTTTTCTGAATTCTAAGCATGTAATCAGCCAACTGGGCTGAAGAAGCTGGGCCCCAAGCCGCTCTCACCTGGAGGGCTGGGGCCTATGACCTAATAATTATGCTAATGCACCTGAAAACATACCGTGAGGGTTGTAGCAAACATGTCCTACATCCCCACTGAAGTTCTTCAACTGAGGACAGCATTAAACTGCAGCATGAGACCCTTTAAGGAAGACCTGTCTGCTGCCTGGCTGGTTGGAGACATGGATCAGTTACTGGGGCTGTGGTGGATCCATCTATGGAATGGGGGGCACCCGAAGCTGCAGGAAGCTTCTGTTAAAGATCAGCAGAGGTTGCCTTGGGTTCTTGATGTCCCCCTGCATACTATAGGTCATGCCAGTTACCTGGGGGACAGAAATACTGAGGAGCTGCCTGTGAATTTCTTTTAAATAAATGGTCCTTCCCATATGAAAATTATCCTCACTGGGAAACTATATCCTTTGAATGCTTTCTCTCCTAAATTGGTTCTCAAACTTGACTATGCATTAGACTCACCCAGAGAATCTACCAAAAATGCAGATTTCAGGAGTCCATTCCCAGCAGCTGTTAGCTAGGCCCAAAAAGATGGCTCTTGTTTTCTAGCTGCTCCCAAGATTTTAATTTGCAAACAGGTTTGAGAACCACTTGTCAGTCAATTTATGTGACAAATCCATTTCAAGTCCCCAGTCAAACATCGTGCTGTGGAAGCCCCCAGACAGGCCTGCCCACGTTACAACAGTACGGTGGGAGACATTGGTCTAACAGCCCCCTTACTAAAAGCATCATAAAGCCTAGGTGTTCACTCTTGCCCAGGGAGTGTTAGAATTCTGTCCCCCGGCTCCCTTCTTCAGGCAGTTAATGAGGGGGTTAAACATAAGAGTTTTGGAATCAGACAAATCAGACCTGGGCCCGTGATACTCAAGAGCTACATACCGGCCGGGCGCGGTGGCTCATTCCTATAATCCCAGCTCTTTGGGAGGCCGAGGCGGGCGGATCACCTGAGGTTGGGAGTTCTAGACCAGCCTGAGCAACATGGAGAAACCCTGTCTCTAGTAAAAATAAAAAATAAAAAATTAGCCAGGCAAGGTGGCGCATGCCTGTTATCCCAGCTACTCGGGAGGCTGAGGCAGGGGAATCGCTTGAACCCGGGAGGCAGAGGTTGCGGTGAGCTGAGATTGCACAATTACACTCCAGCCTGGGCAACAAGAGCAAAACTCCATCTCAAAAAAAAAAAAAAAAAAAAAAAAAAAAAAAGAGCTATATACCATTGGGTCAGTTAACTCACTTGGCTAAGCCTTGGTTTACCCATCTGTAAAATGGAGGTTGGATGATTTTGTTAAGGCTGTCATAACAAAATACCACGGACTGGGTGGCTTCAACAGCAGATTTTATTTTCTCACAATTCTGGAGGCTAGAAACCTGAGATGAAGGTGTCAGCAGGGCTGGTTTCTTCCAAGGCCTCTAACCTTGGGTGTAGACAGCCACCTTCTTGTGCTGTCACATGGACTCCCTCTGTGTATGCGTGTGTCCTAATTTTTTTTCTCATAATGACACCAATCATATTGGATTAGGGTCCCCTCATATGACCTCATTTTAACTTAATTGCCCCTTTAAAAACCATATCTCCTGTTATGGTTACAATCCTAGGTAATGGGGAATTAGGGCTTCAACATATGAATTTTGGGGGTACAATTCAGCCCAGAACAGAGGTAATATGGTCATGATTAAATAAGATAAGGCGCCTGAAGCCGAGGCTGTTGGACGCTCTCAGAAGATGTAAACTCCTGTTTCCACGCCTACCAGTTTTGGTGGCACTATGTAAAAAAATCACCTTCAAGAAGTGGGTGGCGGGCGGATCACGAGGTCAGGAGATCGAGACCATCCCGGCTAAAACGGTGAAACCCCGTCTCTACTAAAAATACAAAAAATTAGCCGGGCGTAGTGGCGGGCGCCTGTAGTCCCAGCTACTTGGGAGGCTGAGGCAGGAGAATGGCGTGAACCCGGGAGGCGGAGCTTGCAGTGAGCCGAGATCCCGCCACTGCACTCCAGCCTGGGCGACAGAGCGAGACTCCGTCTCAAAAAAAAAAAAAAAAAAAAAAAAAAGAAGTGGGTGGCACACAGGAAAACTGGCTTTGCTTTCAGGCAATAATCTCCTTAAAACATCTGGTCTGCCCCCACCCCTACCCCCGCGACTGGTGCAAATCAACCCTAGCGCTGGAATCTGAGCAGCTGCAGCCACACAGGGCTGTTTCCTGACGAGGCCTTTGCCGGAGGCTGCATGGAATCCGAGCTTAACACTTGAGACTGGGCTTCTTTTCACAGGCGCTGAGGGCTCAAGCACTTTGTTGCATCTAATCCTTTTTCAGAAGGAGAAAGGCATTTTAATGCGGCCACAAAATCCTCAATTTGGGCTTGCAAAGGGCCCTGGTGGATTTTCACACTTGGCCTGGTCTCCCTGCAAGGTACCAGAAACAAGGCCAGCGACCCACACATGGGACTATCTGATGGTGCAAGGAACAGGGGACCATGGGCCCCTAGAGCCTGAGGATGCACTCTACATGGACTGGATTTTTGCTTCTTAGGTGTGGTCTGCTGTGAAAGTCCACTGCAAGATGATGTCCCCTCTCTGCACCACGAGGGAGCCCAGCGCTCTCAAAACACATTGCTGCAGAGGCTGGGGCAAAGGAACTCATCTCTGAACTTCCTTGTTACTCATTAGGGTGCTAAGGTGAAAGGAAGTGGGTTTTGTCTTTTTTTTTTTTTGAGACAGAGTCTCACTCTCGCTCAGGCTGGAGTGCAGTGGTGTGATCTCGGCTCACTGCAACCTCTACCTCCTGGGATCAGGCGATTCTCCTGCCTCAGCCTCTCGAGTAGCTGGGACTACAGGAACCCACCACCATGCCTGGCTAATTTTTGCATTTTTGGTAGAGATGGGGTTTCACCATGTTGGCCAGGCTGGTCTTGAATTCCTGACCTCAAGTGATCTGCCTGCCTTGGCCTCCCAAAGTGCTGGGATTACAGGCGTGAGCCACCATGCCCGGCCAGGAAGTGGGTTTTTGGGAGCCCTCAAAGAGGCAAATGCGAAGTGCCACAACCACAAACGCTGACCAAGCCCCTGGTGGCCTTGAGACCTTGGGGTGAATGTACAGTGCCCTCTTGTCCACAGCTGTGCTTTGGGGCCCACAGTCTGCTGTAAAAGGATGCTGGCTTGTAAGAGATGAGGGTAGGCAGGGAGCAACCTGGATGTGAGTTTGCAGATCTGGGCAAGGAACTTTTCATCTCTGGGTCTCTGGTTCTTCATTTGGTTACATCAATTACCTACAATATTCTAGCTCTAATGTTTATGATTACTGAATTGCATCCACATCTAGACTAACTAGACGTGATGCTTCTGGTTCAGCCCAGCTAGCAATCAAGCATTGGATCAGAAAGGTGACATCTACTTTTGAAAAGGGAGAGACATTGAGAGAGAGAAAAAGAGAGAGAGAGAGAAAAGCAACATGTTATCTCAGCAAACCAAGCTCAGGGACCTATAATTCTGTCTGGAATTATGGACATCTATAATTTTCCCTGATTTCTCTGGGGGAATAGCCCGGCACAGATCCATGGAACCTGCCCTGTTGTTGTTGTTGTTGTTTTCCCGTGGGTCTCGGGTAAGGTCCAGGCAACTGTATTTTGCATACTCCAAGTAATTTAAAAGCTTGCCAAATTGTGAAGGTCTCTGTTTTAAACCATTTGCCTCTTGCCTAACCAGACTTTCTGGTCTTGCCTTGTTCCAGACTTTTGGCATCCTAATCTGAACAAAATCATCTAATCTGAATAAGATCACTACCCACATTTACGAAGTGGCCCAAACTATCCTTCATCTAGATTCTACCATTAACAGAAGCCTCACCAAGGTATAGAAAGATTAAGACAGTGGCCCAGGGAGCCATTTATATTCTCAAAAGTTATCTGAATCGTAGCAGAATGGGCAACAGGCCTTGCTTGATGGGATTCCTGGGCCTGGCTCTGCTTTGAATTTTGGCCTCAAACATTGCAGAAGCTCTCTTTGCCTCTCAAGATATGAAATATCCAAATGGGCAAAGTCTAGCATGAAGACGAAGCTTGGTCTTCAGCCCCATGACAGACACTACCAGGAAACTAGACTGCAAACCCCAAGGCCCAAGACTTCCTCTACCTGGGGGTATTGGGTGTGGAATTGGCACTCAACGCCTTCCTGGTGGCAAGTGTTGCTTGATGAAACCAAAGTGTCCTCCAGGTTTCTTCTTGCTCGTTAGGAACCAGCCCGCACAGCAGGAGCTGAGCAGCAGGCAAGCGAGCCAAGCTTCATCTGTATTTACAGCTGCTCCCCATCACTCGCATTACTGCCTCAGCTCCACCTCCTGTCAGATCAGAGGCAGCATTAGATTCTCAGAGAAGCATGAACGCTATTGTGAACTGCGCATGCGAGGGATCTAGATTGCTGCTATTTATGAGAATCTAATGCATGATGACCTGTCACTGTCTCCCCTCACCCCTAGATGGGACCACCTAGTTGCAGGAAAACAAGCTCAGGTTCCTACTGATTCTACATTATGGTGAGTTGTATAATTATTTCATTGTCTATCACAATGTAATAATAATAGAAATCAGTGCACAATAAGCGTAATGCACTTGAATTATTCTGAAACCATCCCCCCGCACCCCATCCATGGAAAAATTGTCTTCCGTGAAACTGGTCCCTGGTACCAAAAAGGTTGGGGCAAAACCTGGGCACGGTGGCTCACACCTGTAATCCCAGCACTTTGGGAGGTCAAGGTGGGCAGATCATAAGGTCAGGCGTTCCAGACCAGCCTGGGCAACATGGCGAAACCCCATCTCTACTAAAAATACAAAAAACAGCCAGGCATGGGGGTGGGCATCTGTAATCCCAGCAGGAGGATTGCTTGAACCTGGGAGGTGGAGGTTGCAGTGAGCTGAGATTGTGCCACTGCACTCCAGCCTGGGTGACAAGAGGAAGACTCTGTCTCAAAAAAAAAAAAAAAAAAAAAAAAAATCTGTGTTAGATAACAAAGAATGAATGATAAAAGTAATATGTGTATTAGGCAGAAAACTTGGAAAATATAAAAAAACTAAAACAAAACAAAAGCAACTCTTATCCTAACACCCAGAGATAGCCACTGTTAATATTTTCTGGTGCATCTGCTCTACATTTTGAGTAGATAAAATGTATGGTTAGACTCCTTGTCTTTCAAGTCCTGCACTTTCTCCAGCCTCTACTCTTTTCTCCTCTGTGGTTCTTTAATGGGTTATTTCTCAGAAAAGGATGTCACACTCATTCACACCAAGGTATAATTGAATAATAATAGCTGAGAGTATTACTTTGACTAGGCAAGTTCTATTTTTAACAGACTTAAAGCTTTCAGATGAGAGAATAAAGCAGTTAGCACTTCTCCCCCGCCACCTCCTCTATCTCAGCTATCTCCGAGTCCACTACACTTAGAATGATTAGATCTGAAGTCTAGGCCCAGCATTGTCACAGTCAGCCATTATTGTGAACTTAGACAAGTAATTTCACTTTTTTATGTCTTTTCTGTAAAGTAAAAGGGGTTAAGCCAGGAAGTAATAACTCATTAAAGTCAAACACTTTTTTTTTTTTAGATGGAGTTTCACTCTTGTCGCCCCGATTAGAGTGCAATGGTGCGATCTCGGCTCACCGCAAACTCCACCTCCCAGGTCAAGTGATTCTCCCGCTTCAGCCTCCCGAGTAGCTGGAATTACAGGCGCCAGCCACCATGCCTGGCTAATTTTTTGTATTTTTAGTAGAGACAGGGTTTCACCATGTTGGCCGGGCTGGTTTCAAACTCCTGACCTCGTGATCCACCTGCCTCGGCCTCCCAAAGTGCTGAAATTACAGGCATGAGCCACCACGCCCGGCCAGGTCAAACACTCTTTATTCCATAATTGAATGCATATATATGTACTTACGTATATTTAATATCTATTATAATTATATCTTAGATATAAATATATATTTATGTATTTAATATTTTATTATACAAATTTCTAACAAATTAAAAATAGAGGAAATAGCACAAATTACCTCTATTTACCCATCCTTGGGCCACAAAAAGCAGAAATTCCTGGCCCTCTGATTTTACTTACACTGCCACCTAGTTCTCTTCAAGTACCAAGTTATTTTGAAGCAAATCCCAAACATTATACCATTTCATATGTACATATTTAGTATATGCCTTTAAAAGATAAGAAGTCTGTATTTAAACAAAATGATGGTCATGCCTGAAGAATGAAAAATAATTTCAATTTCATCAAATAACCATTCAGTGGAACTGAATGTGTTTTTGTGCATATTTATGTAGGCATGTTCAGGATTTTGTTTTATTTTGTGTGGTTTCAGGAGCCAAATCTACAAGTTCCAACGAAGTCCTTCGTAGATGCAGGGAGTACTAATAATGTCTCAGTTGGGGAGCTTGCCCCCAGATGGAGCTTGGAACAATAAAGTAAACAACACTAAGTGCCAGGCACTCAGTACATTGCTAAGAAGAGCTGTTGGTGCCTTTCAGTAAGAGGGTGAGAGAGAACGAAGAAGTTATCTTTGGGAAGCCCGACCCTGATCAGAAAGACTTCATCAAGGAGATGCGGCATAACCTGGGGCTTAAACTTAGGGATATGCAAGAAGGAGAAAGGGATGATGTGAGAACAAAGAGAAAAAACAACTCACTGGGAGGCTGAGGCTGGCAGATCACTTGAGTGCAGGAGTTTGAGACCAGTCTGGGCAACATGGTGAAACCCCGTCTCTATAAAAAAATACAAAAATTGGCTGGGCATGGTGGCACACACCTGTGGTCCCAGCTACGTGGGAGACTGAGGCAAGAGGATTGCTTGAGCCCAGGAGGTCGAGGCTACAGTGAGCTGTGATTGTACCACTGCACTCCAACCTGGGCCCTGTCTCCGAAAAAAAAAAAAAAAAGAAAGAAAGAAAGAAAGAAAAGAAAAAGAAAAACCAACTCATTTGACTTTACAAGCTAATTTCCATGAAGACAGGACACATGGGGCAGTTTGAGTTTGTGTTAATCTCTTATTCATATACTTGTCTACTTGTCAAACTTGTATTGAAATCTAGATAACACCCTGATTAGATTTAATGTGTGTCAGGGTGGGTGGGGGGAGATGGTACAAGAAATAGAGACACAACGTTAGAAAGAGGCATTGAGAAGCAAGCGCTCGGTGTTTGTTGCGTAAATTCTCATAGCGGGTGGTGACGTGATAAATCTGAATAATTTTTATATATAGTAACAAAGCAACTTGGTAGTTTCATGAAACAAATTGTCCTGTACTGAGGAGGGACCTAGAATAGAGGCAGACTCTAGCACTTAGGGTGGACCAACCCAGAACTGTTCCATTGCCAAATAGTAGCCTGCTGGTCCCTGGAAGTGATTTTTAGTTAATTCTCATTCTGCTATACTACTCTATAATTTTGACCATTGATCTCTTCCTTTTATTAAAATTTTTTAAAATGAAAGTTGTAAATCCACAGAGTTTAGGGTTAGATTGTTTGTGGGTATTTTTGGCTTGTTTGTTTGTTTGTTTGAGGCAGGGTCTCTCTCTGTTGCCCAGAGCTGGAGTGCAGTGACATGATCCCGATTCACTGCAGCCTCACTGTCCCAGGCTCAAACAATCCTTCCATCCCAGCCTCCCAAGTAGCTGGGACTACAGGCATGCACCACCATGTCCTGCTAGTTTTTTTTTTTATTATTATTTTTTGTAGAGATGGGGGCTCACTATGCTGCCAAGGCCAGTCTCAAACTCCCGGCTCAGCAATCCTCCTGCCTCAGCCTCCCAAAACTTTGGGATTACAGGCGTGAGTCACCATGCCCAGGAAGATAGATTTAAAGCTTATGATAGAGAGCAGTTCCTCAACTCTCCATTTTCCCTCTGCCATTTTCTAATTCTAAAGCAATCACTTTCATTTTAATGGATTCTTTTGATATTTACATCCATATATCTATAATAACATGACTTCATTACTATTTCTTGGTGTTTTCATCTTATGCATTGAACATTGACTTCCTCTACAGATAAAAAAGGATTTTACTGTTTCACATAACATACAACATATACACACAAGAGCATGCACAAGTGCTTGTGGGCGCACACACACACATACACACACACACACACCCCTTACCTCCATTCTTCCTCTATAGTTTCACTGAAATTCTGCAGATTCATATTCGATGCTCTTCAAGTAAATTAAAGTGGAGGTCAGGCCTGAAGAATCTCTGAGCAGACAAAACAAGTTAGGCCTCTTAAGTGACCTAAACCTTGCTTGATTGCAAACATAAGCAAAACTTAACTTCAGATTTTTCTTGCAAATGCCTGTATTAAAGAAAAACATAATTTAAGCCCAAACAATCAGAAGTAGCCAAAAACTTGTAATTATTTAATTAGGGATTTTCCAGTGGGACTGATATGGTTTGGATATTTGTCCCCACCGAAATCTCATGTTGAAATGTAATTCCCAGTGCTGGAGGTGGGGCTTGGTGGGAGGTATTGGATCATGAGGGCGAATCCTTCATGAATAGCCATCCCCTTGGTGATGAGTGAGTTCTCACTATAAGTTCACGTGAACTCTGGTTGTTGAAAAGTGTGTGCACCTGCCCTCCTCCCCCGCCGCCATGCCTGCTCTTGTCATATGACTTACTGGCTTCCTCTTCACCTTCCGCCACCAGTGGAAGCTTCCTGAGGCCTCACCAGAAGCAGATGTCAGTACAACACTTCCTGTGCAGCCTGCAGAACCATGAGCCAATTAAACCTCTTTTCTTTATAAATTACCCAGCTTCAAGTATTTCTTTATAGCAATGCAAGAATGGACTAACGGACATAGACCAAATAAGGCAACTGGATAACTATATCCAATCAAATTTTTCTTTGCTTTACTTCTGTATCTGTCCTATAAAAGTCTCCTGCTTTGTGGTCTGTTGGTGGAGCTCTTGAATACTCCTCGTTTGGAGCTGTCTGATTAATGAATCATTGTTTGCTCAAATATATTCTTTAAAGTTGTGCTTCAATTTATTTTATTTTTCTTTTAGAGACAGGATCTTGCTCTGTCACCCAGACTAGAGTACAGTGGCACGATTATAGCTCACTGAATTCTTAATGTCCTGGGCTCAAAGGATCCTCCTGCCTCAGCCTCCCAAGTAGCTGGACTACAGGTGTGCACCGCAACTCCTGGCTAATTAAAAAAAGGTTTTTGTATAGTCAGGGTCTCGCTATGTTGCCCAGGCTGGTCTCAAATTCCTGGCCTCAAGTGATCCTTCCACCTTGGCTTCCCAAAGTACTGAAATTACAGGGGTAAGCTGGAGCAACCAGCTTCAATTTACTTTTTAACAATGTTTACATTGTTATAATTCTTTAAATACTGTGAATCACTGAACCATAAATACTACATTTATTTTTCCATTTCTGAACAACTTATGCTTTTCCTGAGGTTAAAAATTCCCTTTTTTACCTGACTTACTTTCTCTAATCCATATAGGTAGATATTTTGTTTTTTATAAACAAAGACAATTTTTTTTGTTTGTTTTAATCATTTGTCCCCAAACTGTGCCCTCCTCTCAATTTGTTCAAGCACAATAATTCCATCTTTTTGAAGCAGTCTCTTCTGGAACCTTCTGGATTGTTGTCCTATAAGTCTACTATGCAGTTATTATATTAGTGCAGATTTCCTTCACCTCCCTTCTATGATGGAGTCTCTGTTTCCTGGACCATACATCTTCCTCTTTTAAAATTTTACTCCTTTTTTATTTAAAAAAAAAAAACTTCCAATAGCTTTAGTATAAGGCCTGGAATGTCTGAAAACCTATTTTTTATACCCTTACATTTGATTAATAGTTTTGCTGGGTATAAAATTCTGCCTTTAGAAATATTTTTTCTTCAAATAGTGAAATATTTCTCTGTTGTCTTCCACCATATTGCTTTGGAGAAGTCCAATGACATTCTGATTGTTGATCCTTTGTATAAAGCATGTTATCTTTTTTCTCTCTGGAAACATGTAGGATCTTCTCTTTATTCTCATCATGATGAAATTTCACAATGATTTGTCTCAGTGAATAAATTTTCATCCATCCATAGTGCTAGGTACAATTGTGAAACTTGATACCTTGGGAACTTGATTCAGGAACTTGATACCTGGGAAGTTTTCATGAATTGCTTCTTTGGAAAATTGCCTTCCATTGTCTCTAAATCTACTTTCCATATTTGGATGTTTGACATTCTGGTGTGGTTCTATAAATTCATTATTTCTTCTCTCCTATTTTCCGTGTTTTTACTCTATATCCTGAGAGATTTTCTTAACTTTTTTACTTCTCCTGTTTCCAAGCACTTTTGTTTGTTCTCTGAATGTTTGTTTAAAATTAGTATCTTACACAAGCAACAAAAGCAAAAATAGACAAATGGATTGCATCAAACTAAAAAAACTTCTGCAAAGCAAAGGAAACAATTAGTGGAGTGAAGAGGCAACCTACAGATCGGGAGAAAATATCTTCAAATTACACATTGCATAAGGAGCTAACATCCAAAATATACAAAGAACTCGAACTACTGAAAAACAAGAAAACAAATAACCCCTTTAAAAAATGGCCAAAGACAAATAGACATTTCTCGAAAGAAGACATACAATGAGCAAAAGATATATGAAAAATGCTCAACATCTCTAATCATTAGAGAAATGAAAATTAAAACCACAATGAGATATTACCTTATACATGTTCAACTGGCTATTAGCAAAAAGTTGAAAGATAAGTATTGGCGAGGATATGGAGAAAAGGAACCCTTGTATATTGCTGGCAGGAATGTAAATTAGTACAGTTATTATGGAAAACAGTATGGAGGTTCCTGAAAAAACTAAAAATAGAATTATCATATGATCCAGCAACCCCACTTCTGGGTATATATCCAAAGGAACTGAAGTCAGTATGTTAAAGAGATGTCTGCACTTCCATGTTCACTGCAGCATTCTTCACAATAGCCAAGATATGGAAACAACCAAAGTGCCTGATATAAAAAATATTTTATACACACACACGCACACACAAATGCAATACTACTCAGCCTTAAAAAAAAGAAGGGGACATCTGTCATTTACTACAACATAGATGAACCTGGAGGACATTTGGCTAAGTTCGAGAGAACTGGTTTGGAGCAGAAACACCACATGATCTTATTTATATGTTGAATCTTAAAAAGTCAAATTCATGAAAACAGGGAGAAGAATGGCGATTGTCAGATGCTGGGGCAGGGGAGAAAAGGAGAATGGAGAAAGGGGAGATACTGGTCAAAGGGTACAAAGACAGGAGAAATAGGTTCTGGTTATCTGTTGCATAGCATGGTGACTATAGTTAATATACATTATATTTAAGAATAGGAAACAGAGTAGATTTTAAATGTTCTCACCACAAAGAAATGATAACTATTTGAGGTGATGAATATGTTAATTAGCTTGAACTGATCACTTCACAATGTATACATGTACTGAAACATCACCTTGTAGCTCATAAAATAAATACAATTATCATTTGTCAATTAAAAATAAAATTAGTATCTTATTCTTATTCCATGGATGCAATAGCTTATTCTTAGAATAGTAATGATTAATAATTTTTAAACATTTCTTCTCCCTTCATAGCTTCTATAACTTATGTTAGCTCTGAGTTACTTTCCACCTTTCTCTGGTTCTGCCTTAGAGGCTGTTCTCAAATACCAAATGGTCTTTAACTATCTCCCCGTATTGAATAATGGGTCACTAACAGCTGATGGTAAGCTCTGTGCATTTACATGGGGCTTGTCTGGGCTTCAGCACAGTGACCTGCTTGGGCCGTTTCCCTGGGGAATCTTGGATGGCAGTATGTATGACTCTTTCCTCTCATACTATTGGAAGAGCTGCAGTGAAGGCTTCACGGCTCTCCCATGGAAGCTATAGTCCTTATTACCATTATTCTGGAAACATGATCAGGAAAATGACCAGTGATCTCAACGTTTGGAATGCGAACATTTCTCTCGCCTGACATCGAAGAATAAGCGAGGAAGGCTGGAGATCTAACTACTTCTTAAAAGGACCTGAAGGATGTTTAATCTGTCCTTCTGCTTGTAGATCCACCTTGATTCCCACTTCCATAGGTCTCTGGTGTCACCAGTTTATGAGCAACTGGGTTGACTTTAGCTTGCCCCACTGGCTGCTTATGGTTCCGCTTTCTCAGCCCTGTTGCATCAGTTACTGTATTAGTCCAGGTTCTCCAGAGGTCAGAACCAATAGGATGCATGTATATATAAAAGGGAGTTTATTAGGGAGAATTGGCTCACATGATTACAAGGCAAAGTCCCACAATAGGCCATCTGCAAGCTGGGGAAAGTGAGAAGCTGGTAGTGGCTCACTTCAAGTCCGAAAACCTCAAAGCCAGGGAAGCCAACATTGCAACCTTTAAGCCAAAGGCCTGAGAACCCTCAGGGAAACTGTTGATGCAAGTCCCAGAGTCCAAAGGCCAAAGAACCTGGAGTCTGATATCCAAGGGCAGGAGGAGCAGAAGCAAGTGTCTGGCATGGGAAGAAGAAGGAGGGCCAGAAGCTTCAGCAAGCCAGCTCATTGCACCTTCTCCTTCTGCGTCTGCTCTGCTCTAGCCTTGCTGGCAGCTGATTGGATGGTGCCCACCCACATAAAGGGTGGGTTTTCCTCTCCCAGCCCACCAACTTCAATGTCAATTTCCTCTGGCAATACCCTCACAGACACATCCAGAAACAATACCTTACCAGCCACCCTCAATCCCATCAAGTTGACACCTAATATTCACCATCACAGTTACCAAACTTACATTTGCTTTCCAAACTTTCAGATTTTATTGCTATTATCATTGCTTCTGTTCTCTTCATTCCGTAGGTTTATATGTCTTCCAAAATACCTCCCCTGTTGTTGCTTTAGTGGGGTTTCAGGAGGGACTGGAGGCTAACCCCTGCATTCAACTCGCCATCCTTGAGTGGAAATCCCCACTCATCTCCTCTCAATGGCCTTGGCTTTGGGACTCTTCCTTTCCTATCTTTATCATAAAAATGATCGCATAAACAAAACCAAAGCCAAAGACTTCTCCAGTGCCCATGACCATTTTATTAACTTTGCTTTAATGTGGGAAGAGAAATCTATTTCCTCATTTCTTCACTTGTTGTGGAGCATCTAACAGGAGCAATGAAGGGAAGAAGACTTCAGAGCAAATTCCAAAGAAGGACCGAAGCGATTCTTCCCAATCCTTGGAAAACAACCCTAGCCAGATAGATCTTGATAAGCCCAGTGAACAACCTCATGGTGCGTGCGCTGCCCCCTGGTGGGCAGGCTGGTGCTGCTTTTAGGGTTCTCAGCTCTCCAAGATGGTCCAGGGAAGACCAAACATTGCCAGAAGAGGAGAGATTTGAACTCAGACTAGAAGAGAAGAGGAGAAAAGACGTTCTATATCTAAAATTCTTTTTCATTTTTTACCTATCAGTGTGTCTATGCCAGCATCAATCAATACACCCACTGTGTGTGGCCTATGAAGATAGTGAGATGTTGGTCAAAGGGATATAGCATTACTGAAGGAACAGCTATTTCTCTGGCTTCTAGGATGTTGCTACCCTTGCACAGAAGGAAAGTGCCCTTTGTAAGGAAGAAGACATGTCATTCCACATAAATCGCACCACCAGTCATGTCATCTGCACTACCATTTTATTAACCATTTTACAGCTGCACTATCCAATATGGTGGCCACTAATCACATGTGACTATTTAAATTCCAATGGATTAAAATGAGGAATTCAGCTTCTCAGTCACTCTAGCCACATCTCAAGTGCTCAACAGCCATATGTGGCTACCACACTGGACAATGCAGGTAAAGAACATTCCTGTCATTCCAGCAAGTTCTACTGGACAGTGCTGCTCTAGAGCCCTTGAAGGTGCCTGGAAGTTTCTGTGATTCTCACAGACAGACTTAAGCACACCCTTATCTGTGTTCCTACAAGTCTCTGTTCCCACCTTGGCCACAACATTCATCACAGTCTGACTTGAAATGGAGTTAGTCAAATAATATGCCTGTCTCTTCTCTTTGACCATAAACTCACGAGGGCTGGGACCAAGAAACCATTATTTGCCATTATTCTTAGCAGAGCCTGGCAAAGAGAGGTCCTTGAAGAAATATTAGTTGAAGGAATGACTCGATTATAAACTCCCTGAGGGCAGGTCCAGAATATTCTGATTTTTGTATTCCCCACAGTTCCTCAAGCAAAGAGGGAACCTCAGTAAATATCTGTCGAGTGATGGCATGCTGTCACATCCATCAGCCTGAAGACAGACCTTAGAGTCACTGAGATAAAAAGCCAGATTGCTGTGGCCTCTGCACTCACCAAATGTCTCTTGCCTCTGCCCCTGCACATCTGTCTCCTCTGGCTTTGCACCCCCCAGCTTGCCTCCATGTAGCAGGTCTGATCACAGGTAGCTCCCATCCCACTGTCCACATACACCCAGACGCATGCAGGCCCCATGCTCATGCCTGCCTTTGTCGCTTGGACCTCCTCCTGCCCTTCCATCCTACTCACTCTGCAAGGTCGGCAGAAGCTCCGCCCTCTCCCTGCGTCTGCTCCACCCACTCAGGCCCAGCTGATTTCAGGGAATTGGCCTGGAGCCCTTACAAATCCCCAATGTCTCCCTTTTTTAAATTCTTCTTATAATTCTAGGTAACACACTATACTGTGTTCTTGAATTCTTCGTGACTATTTTCAGCCACTAGTTTTTCTTTTCAACCAGATGGCAAATTCCATGAGGATTTTACTCTTATTTTGTGCTGAAGTCCTTTCTAGAATGGAAAAGGCAAGGCGAAATCCCAGTCCAATCACATTTTATAAATAAAGAGCTGAGTGCAGTGGCTCACGCCTGTAATCCCAACACTGTGGGAGGCAGAGGCAGGAGGATCACATGAGCCCAAAAGTTCAAGACCAGCCTGGGCAACATAGCGAGACCCCATCTCTACAAAAAAAATTCTGAAAATTAACCAGCCATGGCAGCACATGCCTGTGGTCCCAGCTACACCAGTGGCTGAGGCCAAAGGATCACATGAGCCCAGGAGTTTGAAGTTACAGTGAGCCATGATCACACCACAGCACTCCTGCCTGGGCAACAGAGAGAGACTCTGTCTCTAAAAATAAAATAAATATGAATAAGGAAACAGAGCCAGGGATTAAGGGGACCTGCTCAGGGTCACTCAGGTGAGAGCCTTATCTGCCTCACTCATAGATTTGGACCATAGATTTGTGCAGAGAAAGTTCAACCAATATGGAAAGAACCATGCTTCCGAGGGACTCTGCGTCAGCTCCTTAAGCCCAACTGCACTGGTTTCCTGCCTGCCTTCAGCTCACCAGCTTAGCTAGAGGAGCAGCATCTACCTTAGGCCTAGAAGAAAGTCTACATGCAGAGGAGGTGTCAGCTGTTAACTTGACAAAAGATAAGAGCCGAGGTCGTGATCTCCTAATGGCCAGCCAGCCTATTAGTTTAGCAATATATGTCTCCAATGTCAGAGCCATGCCTGGCGGAGGTTTGATTTTTTATTATTCAGGAAGCGCCTTACTTGAAAATGAGAGAAACCTCTAGCAGCTGCTGGAAGTCCCTTCTCTTAAAATAATGACAAGCAGAATCTTCACCTAAGAAATTTGGCTACACGCTCCTTCCGTTCCACTGTGCCCTTCTACTGCCTGGGTACCAGAGCAGAGAAATGGTTCAAACCTGTGGGCTTATAAAAAGAGGATGCCAATCAAATGTAAATAATGATCCCATTAAATAATGATTTTCATTTAAACCCAGCAATACAGATTTCTCAGACTTCGTGATTAGCTCCGTGTCAAATAAACTTTGCTCTTTTTCATTTTTTTAAAGCAGTTAATTTGCGATATTTTGCAATAATTTTAGGGTTGGGTTTGGGCTTTTTTTTTTTTTTTTTTTTTTTTTTTTTTTTAGTAGTGACCAAAAAAATCTTGCTGCACTCAGTCTCCTGAGAATGTTGGGTCGAGTTTTTTGATCCCGGTGACTCATTGATTTGCGGGCTGATGTAGTGCGAGGGGTCCTTATTAGTGGCGTCTGTCCCTGCTGTAATGTTTTTGTTATTTTTCCTCATTTGTTCACTCTGACATCATGTCATTACAGAATGGTGCTGTTCAGGCCCTGCCTCGGCTGTTCGTTAGCGTGTGTTTAATGAGCAGCTTAATTGAGCTGTCTAGTAGGCCACCTGTCGCCCTCCGGACTTATTAACATACTAATGGCCTGACATTGTATTCTCTGACAGGCAACAGGGCTTACTGATTTGATGTCTGGACATGGGGATTTTATGCAGGAATGAGAGCAGGCTTTGGGAAGAAGGTTTAAAAAACGCAAATTAACTCTTTGGTATCTATGTGTTTATGGCTCTCTTGTGGAAAAAAAAAAAAGTTCAACCCCAGGCAGGCAAGGCAAGCATGTTATGGGAAGGAGCCTGGCTCTACCCTTGCAAACCCAGTTGTGGTTCTCCAGGAGAAAATATGCTCCGCATGAGAAGAGCAGGCTTTGTTTCGATTACAGTGTTACTGTGAGGAACTGCCTCAAAGGAGAAATCTTCCGCAGCCCCAGGGAAAGTTATGTGATTAGACTTTTTCTACTGTAGCTAAACAAATGAAAAGTAGCAATTCTCCTTTTGATGAATTGAGTGTGGTCTGTCTGCTCCCCCCACCCCCCCCCCTTTTTTTTTTTGACAGGGTCTTTCTCTGTCACCTAGGCTCTAGGCTGGAGTGGCACCATCATAGCTCACAGCAGCCTTCAACTCCTGGGCTCCAGTGATCCTCCCATCCTCAAGCAAGTAGTTGAGACTATAGACGTGTAACACCAAGCTTGCCTAATTTTTGTTTTTTGTTTTTTGGGTTTGTTTTTGTTTTAGAAACAGGGTCTCGCTATGTTGCCCAAGCTGGTCTGGAACTCCTGGCCTCAAGTGATCCTTCCACCTTGGCTTCCCAAAGTGTTGGGATTACAGACATGAACCCAGCCTGTTCCCACCTTTGAAATCCAGCCGAGGGCTGGATTGTGAACCCTGGGCTGATGGGAATGGCTTAGAGAACTGGTCGGAGCTATCACATGCACGTTTGTAGAGAAAATTGGTTTTGTTGGTGTTTTTCTTCTGGGGTTGTGTGATTGGGTCTTTTCTGTCCTGGGAAATTTCAGGGATGTGAGCATTAGTCACAGGCCACAGGAAGACTCAAGTCCAAGGACAACACAGAGAGATAGCTTTTACAGGAGGACTGGATGTTCCTTTTCTGTCCCTTAACCTTTCATTCCTAGTATCTCCTCCTCCTTCGGTGCCTGCACACAGGACAGGCATAATCATAATTGTAAAGAAAAGGCTTCGTGAATTTTAAAGAAGTCAGTCTATGGAAGGGTCATGACTAAGGGCTGAGCCAAATCTCACCAGCAGCTGTGGAGGTCGGGGTGGAAGCCCATCAGGGGGCTCGGGTTGGCTGCAGCCTCCTTGGCCTGGGCTGAGGTTCCTGCCAGGTTAGCCAAGGAGCTGCAGGAGGCTGAGTCTGCAGAGAGAGCCAGAAAGCATTCCAGAGGCCGCTGCCCGGAAGCTGTGTTCCAGAACTTGGCTTGCAGCTGGCAGACTCTCTTTATGCAAAGCTGCAAGTGAGTTCCCTTCCTCCTGGGCTCTGAGCAGGGGGAATGCTGCAGTGGGACAGTCACACTTCCTTCTCCTCGCTAGTCCCCAGCCATGGCAGGAAGAAAGCATGGGGAAGAAGAGCAGGAACCTACCTACTGTCTATCTAATCCCTCTTTCTTTCCCCCCTCCATCTTTTTTTTAGAGACTCAGTCTCACTCTGTCTCCCAGGCTGGTAGTGGCACAATCATAGCTCACTGCAGTCTCCAACTCCTGGGCTCAAGCAATCCTCCAGCTTCAGCCTCCCAAGTAGCTGGGACTACACGTGCACGCCACTGTGCCTGGCCTAATCACTTTCATGGAAGGAGGAGGTGGAGAAAAAGGAGGAGGATCATAGCCTTCATTTTTATCTCTTAAGCCGAGCCTTTTATAAACATGATCTCATTTAAGTTTTTCACCCCAGGGTTTCTCAATTTCAGCACAACTGACACATTGGCCTGAATAATTCTTTGTTGTAAGGGACTGTCTTGGGTAATGTGGGATGCTGAGCTGCATCCCTAGCCTCTACCTACTAGGTGCCATTCACACCCCCAACCCAGCTGTGATAACCAAAAATGTCTCCAGACATAGCCGAATGTCACTGGACATCCAGCAGGGGGAGTGTCCCTCAGTTCAGAAACACGGGTCTGGAGGTAGGTGTACCACCCTCAGTTTGTAGATGAGAGGCAAACACCCTGTGAAAGAGGAATGGAAGCTTCACAGCTAGTAGGAGGCAGAGCAGGACTTAGACCTGCTGTCTGTTGGCTCTTATGTCCTGGCTCATTCCTCTTCACAGTCCTCCCCAGTCATGGTGTCACCAGTGGTGGCTCAGCTGTCCACATTCCAGTGCTGACCATCAGAGATCTAACATATGTCAGATGTTTGCTAAGGATTTTATATATCATCTTTTAAAATCCTCTCAATATCCCTTTGAGATAGGTACTATTATTAGTCTCTTTTAAAAGATGAGGAAACTGAAACTCAGGAATTAAGTAACACATCCAAAGACAAACGGCTGATAGGAGAGAGTCTCACTCAGGCATCTCTGGCTTCAAAGCACAAGTGTTTTCTAACACAGCACCCAGAACTCCAGCCATCTGCACCTAGAGACCTCCATGCTTAGGATCTATTCTCTTTTCTTGCCAAGAAGGAGCAAGCACTTCCTCCCTCTATTTCCCTGGCTGACCAGGGTGCTGTGCCTGTTAAGTTCCCCAAGGCCAATTGTGATGGTTAACTTTGTGTGTCAACTTGACTGGGCCACAGGATGCCCAGATATTTGATTAACATTATTATGGTTTTTTATGTGCGGTTGTTTTTGAATGGGATTCATTTTTAAATCAGGAGACCCAGCAGAGCAGATTGTCCTTTCTCATGTGGGTTGGCTTCATCTAATCAACTGGAGGCCTGAATAGAACAAAAAAGCCAACCCTCCCCCAAGTAAGAGACAATTCCTCCTGCCTGACTGCCTGCAAACTAGGACATCAACTTTTTCCTCTCTTCAGATGCAAACTGAAACATCAGCTCTTCCTGGGTCTGGAGGCTGCTGGGGCTCCACTGGGTCTCCAGCTTGCCAACTCACCCTGCGGATTTTTGAACTTGGCTTCCATAATCATGTGAACCAATTCCTTATACGAAATCTCTGTCTATCTCTGTATACATTGTATTAGTTCTGTTTATCTGGAGAACCCTGACTAATACAGCATTTGTTCAGCTTTTACACATGGCAGCTTCTTATATCCCCACATTTTCAGCATTTCTGTTTCATTTTGCTTTAGGACTGACTTGTAACCAATATGTATGCAACCAATATGTATGTTTCTTAAAAATGTAATCTGAGACTAATGATGTCAAACATATTCTTTCATTGTTGGCCTTTTGGATAATTTATCACTCTGTGCTACATTCTAGATGAGTTCCTCCATAATCATCTTCCAGTTTGTCAATTTTCTCTTTAGCTATCCAATCTAAAGTTTATCCCATCTATTGGGCTTTGTAAATTTCAGTAATTAGCTGCTTTCGCCTTTTAATCCAAGATTTCTAAATGATTCTTTTTCATATCTATCTGTCTTTTTTTCATTTCTGCCTGGTTCAAGTTCTTAATTTCTTGTCCTTTTTTTAAAAAAACATCCTGTTCATCTTTCCTTTAACTCTTAGAAGATATTCAGCATAGTGACTTTTTAAATCATTTTCAGATTACATCATTGATTTCATTTTCTCTTAAGTGATTTCATCTCTTGACTTTTAATTTTTTTTAATTAGTTTATTTTTGTTTTATTTCATTTTGTTGCAGTGGCCCTGTACTCACCATTCCTTTTCTAGTGGTTTCTTGTGTCTATGTGCCCTCTTAGAGTCTCTGGTTCAGAATCACATCTTACAGTGGGCTTTCAGAGTGCTCATCTTACAGAGATAACTGGGGATATTTTAGTTCTAGTCACTGAGCCACTTAGTAAAATGGCCAGATGCTGGATGCAAGGCTGTATTTGCCTTCTCTCATCTTGTATTTTCAGTTATGCAGGGGTTGATGTAAGCATTTTATATTCTCTTATAAGAGGGAGCCACATTCCACCCTGGCTCTGTTCTTCTGCCTTCCAATCACTGCAGAAAATGAACTCTCTGCTTCCTTTGACTGCTTGCAGATTCACAACCCAGTAGGCTGCTAGCTTCAGTAGCTGATTTCCGTTTTGAGTTTCTAGCCCACAGAGATGTTATCTTTTTTTTCAGCATGGTCATTTTTAAAAACTCTACCATTACTCTGCATTGATACAGATGGGGGGCTCAAAGCATAAATCTTGATGGGGTTTAACTTTCCCCGTTGTGTATATTTCTCATGACCATTCTGCAATATTTTATCAAAACAATCTCCCTACAGGAAATAGTCGCCTAGTTGTTACCTTGGCTTTACAAAGTGCTATGATTAGGAAGTCAGAGTGCTTAGTGGTCTAAAGACTGCCTGGGTTCAAGTCCCAGATCTATTACTTATTTGTTATGGAAACTTGGGCCAAGTTATTTAATGCTTTAAGCCTTATTTTCCTCATCTGCAACATACATCAATAGTATAACTTCCTGCAGTTGTTCTGAGGATTAAAGAAGATAAGCCATGGGAAAACATGTCCCACAGATTCTCTGTGAGAATTGACTGTGAGGGCACACAGTCAGCCCTCAATAAATGTCTTCCATTATTATGATAGTTATTACTTCCTGGTTAGAACCAAATATCCAACTTTAGAATAGCATTATTTTTTGAAAAGTGCTCCAGTGGCCTGAATGGCAGAAGAGAGAAATGCCAGTAAATCATTCACTTCTTACATTTTTCAAAGTACCTTCATATCTTTTATCCCTAATCCCTCAACAAATCTGTATTTTTTTTTTTTCATTTTACAGATGAAGAGAAAACTGAGCCATAGGATGAAGAGAAAACTGAAGCACAAGATGACTGCATGCTTTTGGCCATAGACACAGGGACGAAAAGTCGCACTCACTTGACACTCTCTGGGATATAAGAAGTGCTACCATTTCTTGAAAGGAGATTAGGAAGCAGCCCTGGGAAACCCTGGTACCTCTGTGGAAATCGGCACTCTCCATTTCCCTGCTGAACTGTCAGTGTTGCCGTGCTGTTGGTGGTCTTGGACCACCGAGATCATATTAATACCAACAACAAGCCAGCAACTCAGAGGGCTGCCATTTGCTTCTCCAAACCCATTCTTCACTTACCTCTGCTCTGTTCTGTGTCCTTTATCTGCATGGGTTATAGCAACAGGTTCCCTACTCTCTGGCTCCTGGCTATGTCTGACCAATGGCAGAATGACCAATGATTTAGAGAATCAACCTGGGACAGGGCCATATAAGACTATAAAACAGGCTGGGTATGGTGGCTCACACTTGTAATCCCAGCACTTTGGGAGGCCAAGGTGGGAGGATCATTTGAAGTCAGGAGTTCCAGACCAATCTGACCAACATGGTAAAATCCCATCTCTACTAAAAATAAAAAAATTAGCCGGGCATGGTAACACACACCTATAATCCCAGCTGCTCGAGAGGCTGAGGCAGGAGAATTGCTTGAACCTGGGAGGCAGAGGTTGCAGTGAGCTGCTGAGATTGTGTTGCTGCACTCCAGCCTGGGCAATAGAGCGAGACTGCATCTCAAAAAAACAAAAAACAAAAAACACTAAAAATAAGGGGAAGGGGGTTTGGGGGTAGGGAGAGCATTAGGAAGAATAGCTAAGGAACGCTGGGATTAATACCTAGGTGATGGGTTGATCTGTGCAGCAAACAACCATGGCACGTGTTTACTTATGTAACAAACCTGCACATCCTAGACATGTACCCCAGAACATCCTAGACATGTACCCCAGAACTTAAAATAAAAGTTGAAGAAAAAATAAAATAAAATATTTTTAAAAGACTAAAAAACAACCACCACCCCCCGCAGTAACATAATATATGATAAGTACTTATATACACGTGTTATTACTTTAACATGAAGATATGAAAAATAGGTATTTGTTTAAAATTTATATATGTTACTCAATATTTTCTGTTATATAAATGCTATTATTTAAACAAAATAATAGTAGTACTAGGTAATAGTGGCAATTAAGAGTAATTCATAGCAGGATTAATTAACAAATAATATATGAGAAAACAATATTTTTATAATGTTTCTTTCTGTCCTCTGATACCAGAAATTTATTTTAACTGTTTATTGGATTCTTAAATTTTGTAAGCTACATTGTTGTATATCTCTAAGATACATAAATGTAAGCCCTTTAAAAGAAAACATAAATACAATAGGACTAATTAAGTAGATATTATCTAGATTTAATAAAAAATAGCAATAATATGTTTTTTTCTATTCAATGATACAGTAGGATATTTTTGCTCCTTCTGTTTCCTTTTCTGCTAATACTTCTCTGAACTTTCAAGAGCCTTTAGTACATCCTTATTTCTCTTGCATGTAGTAGAAAAACTCAACATAGTCAAATGTAAAATTCACTTCGTCTTAAAGCTGTCTTCTTTTTTTTTTCTGAGATGGAGTTTTGCTCTGTCACCCAGGCTGGAGTGCAGTGACGTGATCTTGGCCCACTGCAACTTCTGCTTCCTGGGTTCAAGCAATTCTCCCGCCTCAGCCTCCTGAGTAGCTGGAATTACAGGTGTCTGCCACCACGCTTAGGTAATTTTTGTACTTTTAGTAGAGTCGGGGTTTCATCATGTTGGCCAGGCTTGTCTCAAACTACTGACCTTAAGTGATCTGCCTGCCTCAGCCTCCCAAAGTGCTGGGATTACAGGCGTGAGCCACCGCACCCGGCCACAGCTGTCCTCTTATCAAGCCCATATTACACTGAGCCCTGGTGTCAGCCCAAGGTGATGACATTGAGCTAACAATGTTCTCAAAAAAAGCATTTTAATGTGGCGCCCCTACAGGAATTAATGGTTAATTATATGTGTCATCCAGGCTACGGTGCCCAGTTGTCTTGTCAAACACTACTCTAGATGTTGATGTGTAGGTATGTTTTAGATATGATTAACACATAAATCAGCAGACTTTGAGTAAAGCGGATGACCTTCCTTAATGTGAATGAGCCTCTTCCAAACAGTCAAAGGCCTTCAGAGCAAAGACTGAGGTTTCCCAGGGAAGAAGGAGCTCTGTTTCCAGACTGCAATATAGAAACCCTGCCTGAGTTTCCAGTGGATTTTGGACTCAGGTTTGCAACATCTACTCTTCCCTGAGTCTCCAGCCTGACACCTGCCCTGCAGATCTCAGCCTTGCAGCCCCAATTGTGTGGACTAATTCCTTCAAATAAATTTCTCAGTGGATGGATGGATAGATAGATAGATAGATAGATAGATGATAGATAGACAATAAGATGATAGCTTTTTTATTGCTTCTGTTTCTCTGGAGAAAGGGTAATAATAATGTATAGTAAACACATACATTCTGTGAAACCCTTTTAAAATTTTGCCATGTAATCCGCTAGCAAGAACAAGTTTTTAGACAAGCAAGAATTAGTTTGCAGCTCTCCAAGATTGTCCATCCACTTTGTATCTAAAGACTTATTTTGAAAAACCAGATGTTTCTCAGTGAGATTCTTTGTATCAATAAATTAGTTATATGAGTCAGTCATGTCCAAAACGGCCATCATTTTACCTAGTCTGAAGTACATTGGATGGCATTATAAGTTAAACCTTTGTTTCTCACAGAAAATGGTATTAAAGCACAGAGATAATTTTAAGTTTTAAAATCTTAAATTGGATTACAAATAAACTACCAATTTAGTAGAGAAATTAAGAAAGCTCTGTTGCCATTTTCTGTTTTTTATAGTTTTAAACCTGCTTTATTATTATTTTTTAAAGTATCACTTTTTAGAATGAATCTAAGCCTTATTGTCCTCATCTGCTAAGTCCTTTTTTTAGTGAGTTTTTTCACAATGTCCACATAACATCAAATAACTGAAGTCCAGTCTGCCCATCCTTTTCTATGCTCCTTATGGGCTCTTCAAATACCACCAAACAGTTTTGGAGAAAGAGCACATAAGTTCTGTCCTTGTCTCCATTATCAGCCTCAGTGTATTTCCAAATTAAACAGGGACATCCTTCTTATCCCAAACTTTGAAAATATTACTTTGCAATAGACCAACAATTTAATATTTTCTCTATGGCAGGCAATGATAATAGCCACCTTGTAGGCATGCGTCTAAGGAGACTACCTCCTACCATTTCTACAAAGTCAAAAGTCTCATTGTTTCTACACATTTTGAAAGAAATGAAAGCTGACCAAAAGCTTTCATTATGAAATCATCAATATCCCAGATAAGCAAATCACACCCCCTAAATATATGACAATTAGCAGATAAGAGTTTTCCATTTTCATTGGTAAGAAGTTTATAGACTGAAAATAATTTGCCAAAATTTACCTTTGCATTCTCAGTCATATCTGTAGGTAGATTAACAAAGTCTAGTTTTTATTTTTATTCTTTTTATGTATTTATATATATATATTTTGTAGTGATGGGGGGTGATATGGTTTGGCTGTGTCCCCACTCAAATCTCATCTTGAATTCCCATGTGCTGTGGGAGGGACCAGGTGGGAGGTAATTGAATCATGGGGACAGGTCTTTCCCATGCTGTTCTCATGATAGTGAATAAGTCTCATGAGATCTGATGGTTTTATAAAGGGGTGCTTCCCTGCACAAGCTCTTTTCTCTTGCCTGCTGCCCTGTAAGACATGCCTTTCACCTTCCACCATGATTGTGAGGCCTCCCCAGCAACGTGGAGTTGTAAGTTCATTAAACCTCTTTCTTTTGTAAATTGCCCAGTCTCAGGTATGTCTTTATCAGCAGCATGAAAACAGACTAATACAGGGGGTCTCACCATTTTGCCCAGGCTTGTCTTGAACTCCTGGCCTCAGGAAAGGTTCCCACTTCAGCCTCCCAAGGCACTGGGGTTAGAGATGTAAATGTCTAGTTTTTATTCAGATAAGGTATCAGTAATCTTTTGGTTTACATTTTCTGAGTTTATAAACTGAGTGCTGCAGAAACACTGTTTATATTCTGATAAGTGCTGTTTATATTCTGAGTTTATAAGAGCTTATAAACTCAGAGCTGCAGAAAGCATGATTGTGGGGAAGATAGGAAAAGATCAGTTCTACCATGTAAGGGACCAACACATCTCTTATTGTTTTTATTCATCTCTTTTGTTTGTTTGCAAGACATTTCAGTTGTAACCTCTGAATCAGGAAATATAGCCTTACTGAATCCTATAAAATGATCAAAAGAGTGATTTGATAAAGTGATTTGTGTGGTATGACTGAGCTAATGCAGCAGCTGCTATTTTTGACTGGACATTTTTTGGTAGACAACGTTTTTTGATTGACTTAGGGATATCGGTTTCATCTTAGAATTGTGAGATGTCGTCTCCACATGCACTTTCACATCCCCTTCTCCACTGTGCCTGGCTCAAAACTCTTTTCTGCATATTGAGCAGCGTGCTCTGTTTTGATTATTTACCTCTCTAATCTGGTTGTACATGTCCTTCCATATGTCATTAAGATAACACAGTTGGTTAGCCTTCTTTTCCAGTGATGCCTTGGTTTACGCCAGCATTGGTATTGTAATCACTATCTTTTTTAATTATCTGAACTCTTAGAAAATATGGCCACAATATTTACAACTGCTAAAAATTAAATGAGCACTATCTTGATACAAAGGACAACAGTTAGTTCACAGGTAAAGTCAAAGACAGACTCTTAATGCCTGTGATTGCAGTGTACTTGTGACGCACACTTAGTTGCAACCTTGGGAAAGTTGCAACCGTGGATGATCCACTATTCTGAATGACAAGTTGTGGTCCCCAACCTGAGCAGTCAGGGGAGAAACAGCAACAGGGGTTATGGAAGGTGGATCATCTGCACTGTACCCATTTACAGCCAAAACAGTATTGCATTCAGCCCCTATTTTTTGGGCCACCATATGGTTTTTACACATTTCCCCCAAGCTTCTGTGCATATCACCGAATTGATTTTCCAGGATTTAGGACTTTAACTGCTAAAACCAGGATAATCCCAGGCAATCTGAGACGATTGGTCACCCTACCAACGAGGAAAAATTGTAGTTTGGAGGGCAGGAGGAAAAGAAATTACAGCTCCCTCCCTAAGGAATTGATATAAGGCTGGCTTCATTCCTTGACCAAAGCACCCAGGACTTGTCACGTGGCTTTCTCTCTGTCTCCATGTTCCAGTAACTGCTCTTTCCCTCTGCACTTCAGGCCCAGGGACTGTAACAGAGCCCTGCTCTTACTAGCCCAAGAAACCTTCACTGTCCTTTGTGGTTTCTCTAGACCCTACCCACTCTTAACTCGTAAATAATAATTAAATAATTATTAAATGAATAATTATTTATTATTTATATTTTCATATATTTTCATTATAATTATACTATTTATATGTTATAATATATAAAATATTTCCATATATAGATAAAATATAATTATAAGTTATATAGTTATATTTGTTATAATTATATAAATATAACTATATAAATTAATTATATAAGTGTAATTAGGCAACTAATAATATAATTATATAATTAATAAGATAATAATTAAGTATATACATTATAAATAATGTATATAAATTTATAAATGCATACTTATAAATTATAAATATAATTAATTAATTTATATATCTTATAAATCTCATTTAAATTTTATATAATATGCAATTTATATATTAAATATTTTATACATCTATATATACAATATAATATAAAAATATATTTCTATAATTATTAATTATAATAAATATATTATATAATTTATATATTATACATTGTATATATTATTAATTATAATGAATAATTATTAAATTAACTGATAATTAAATAATTATAAAATACTATTTGTAAATAATTACTTTGTTAAAATTTTCTCAAATTACTCCCTATTAGTGGGCCATCTATTTGTTGCTAGGTCCCTGACTGATACAGTAATGGGTTCCAGGAGTAGCCCCAGGAAACAGACCCTCAGAACAGACTCTGAAGATTGAGATAGCCACGTGGTGTGCTGGAGCCAGCTATGACTGGCTTACAAGAGCTGACTGTGTACATCTCTTTCCAACTACGTGTTCAGTGAAATTATGTTGGTAGATTGAAATCAGCCATAGTAGGGAATATTTATACCATAGAAATTTGCAAATGCTACCAATGAGGGCTTCTTTCTTTTCTCTTTTTTGTTTCTTTCTTTGTTTCTCCCCTCCCTACCTTTCTCCCTCCTTTCCTTTCTAACCTTCCTCACCTTCCTCCTTTCTTTTTAAGAATCAGTTGTTCAACACTTACCAGCAAGCCACTAGTTGCTCATCTATTTGCATTGCCCCGTAATACCTATCTTGCCAAGGGGAAATGGCACACAGGTAATCCGTGGCACACTGTGATGTGTTATTACTCAAATTATGAACAGTGCTGGCATGAGATAAAGTTCAAGTTGAGGGCAAAGTGTAAAGAGACTTTGATCCTATAGTGATTCTAAACATTTGGGAGCCAGCTGGCTTCTGATGGTCCTATGGCACATGCTTTGGGGAATGGGGGCTAAGTGAGGACGCAGCAAAGAAGGTAGCCATCTGCAAGCCCACCACTGGGCTCCTGCCTATTCACTCATTGTTACTCAGGGAATCCTCATTAGTTTCTTTTGCTCTGCAAGCTTACACTTAAATTCAACATCTGAGCTGAGGTCATAGCCTAGGCCAGAAAGCTTGAAAATCAGGCGGTGAGGAAGGCTGAGGATGAGGTGCTGATATCTATGCAGATCCAGGAAGCAATCAGGAAAGGTGGCCAGAGGTGTAGATCCAGTCCAATCCATGGTGAGTGACTGACGGATTGGTTAGCCAGTCAGTGACTTGGAACAAGACTTGAAAATTGATGATAAAGAGGTCTGGGAGTATGTGGATGGATCTCTTAGAATGGGCATGGATATTCATGCCTTCTTCACTACAGGGCATTCACTGTGGAGGAGGTTCTCAAAAATCAGGTGGTGTTATGGACTGAATTGTGTCTAACCCCGCCCCCCAAATTCACATGTTGAAGCCCTAACTCTTCAATGTGACTATATTCAGAGATGGGGCCTTTAAGGTGGTAATTAAGGTTAAATGAGGTCATAAGAGTGTGGCCCTAATCTGGTAGGACTGGTGTCCTGATAAGAAAAGGAAAAGACACCAGAGAGCTCTTTCTCTGCACACACAGAAAAGAGGATAAGTGAGGACACAGCAAAGAAGGTAGCCATCTGCAAGTAACGAATAGAGTCCTCACCAGAAATTAACCTTGCTGACACCTTGATCTTGGACTTCCAGCCTCCAGAACTTTGAGAAACTAAATGTCTATGGTTTAAGCTAACCAGTCAGTGGTATCTCGCTACAGCAGCTTGAGCAGAATAATTGAGGTGGTTAAGTTGACCTGTCCTGTAGAGGTTGACTAACCATGTGGCTCACTCAATGGGCTCAGATACAAAGTGGCCATATGGCAGGGGTGGAGGTTTATACATGGGTTCATCACTATGGACTTTTCCTCGCCAGGGCTGATTTAGCTACAGCTATTGATGAGTTTCCAATTTGTCAACAGCAGAGACTGTATCTGAGCCTCTAAGCTGTTACTATTTCCCAGGGATACCAGCAAGTTGATTATATTGAACCCTGTATTAATGGGAGTTCTCCAGAGAAACTTAACCAATAGAAGAGAGAGAAAGAGATTTATTTTAAGGAATTGGCTCACGAAACTGTGGAAACTGGCAAGTCCAAAATCTGAACCTATGTAAGAGTTGATGCTGCAGTATTGAGTATGAATTCCATAGGGCAGCAGGCTGGAAACTCCTTCTTCCTCAGGAAACCTCAGTCTTTGCTCTTAAGGCCTTCAGTGGACTGGATGAAGCCAACATGCATCACGGAGAACAATCTGCTTTAATAAAGTCCATGGATTTAAATACCAGTCGTATCTAAAATATCTTCTCACCGGAACATCTAGTCCGGTGCTTGACCAAACAATTGGCCACCATGTCCCAGCCAAGCTGACACATGAAAGTAACCCCCACAGGGCCCTTCCATCATGAAGGTGGTAGAACTTATTCTTCACAGAGATAGATATATCTCTGATACAGATTTGCCTTCCCTATTGATATAGTTTGGATGTTTGTCCCCTCCAAATCTCATGTTAAAATGTGATCTCAATGTTGAAGGTGGGGCCTAGTGGGACGTGTTTTGGTCACGAGGCAGATCCTCATGAATGGTTTGGTGCCCTCCCTGAGGTAAGGAGTGCACTCTTGCTCTTTTAGTTCACGTGAGATCTGATTGTTTAAAAGAGCCTAGCATCATTCTCTCTCTCCCTCTCTCTCTCTCTCTCTCACCCCCCCACCCTTTCCCAGCCTGTGACACACTGGCTCACTTTCCACCTTCTACCATGAGTAAAAGCTTCCTGAGGCCTCACCAGAAGCAGATGCTGGTGCCATGCCTCTTGTACAGTCTGCAAAACCATAAGCCAAATAAACCTCTTTTTAAAAATAAATTACCCAGCCTCAAGTATTCCTTTATAGCAACACAAAATGGACTAACATGCCTATTCATAATGCTTTGATCAGTACCACTATTCCCGCACTTGCAGAATTCCTCCATCATTGCCATAGTATCCTATATTATCACCTCTGATCAGGTGACATATTTTAGGGCAAAGGAAGTGTGGCAATGAACTCATGCCCAGATTAACCCAAAGGGCCACATCACCCAGAAACTTCTGGTTTAATAAAAAGTGGAGTGGCCTGAGGATGGCTCGGGTATAGTTCTAGGTGGGAGACAAGATGCTGGGAGGTCAGAGAGCTGTCTACCTCTGCCCCATGTGTCCTTAAAGATATCTAAGGTTTGGTGCTGTCTTTCCTTTAGTCAGAATCCATGGGACTGGGGGGTGAGTGGGGGAGATAAGAGTATCCCTGTCACTATCATGTCGTGAAACTCTTTGGAGGGATGTTTGCATCCCATCCCTATCTTCTTAGACTGGGAGGGTGTGGAGATCTTAGTGCCTGTAATGGTCAGTTTGAAGTGTCAACTTGGCAAGGCTGTAATACCCAGTTATTCAATCAAGTATGAATCTGGGTGTTGCTGTGAAGGTATCCTGCAGATGTGATTGGCATCTACAATCACTAGCTTTAAGGAATGGAGATTGTCCTCTACACTCTGGGTGGAGATTTCCAATCAGTGGAAAGGCCTTAAGAGCAGAGCTGAGGCTTCCCTGAGGAAGAAAGTCTGCCTTTGACCTGCAGCATCAGCTCCTGCCCTAGAGTTCCAGGTGGCCCTTCCTGATGGCCTACCCTCTGGATTTTAGACTTGCCTAGGTGGCTGCCACAACCTCATAAGCCAATTCCTTGCAATATATCTCTTGATGTATATATGCTACTTGTTCTGTGTTTGTTTGTTTTGTTTTTTGCTGGAACCCTGACTGATACAGTGTCCAAGGGGAACATGCTTTCCAAGTCATGCGTTTTGGGGAGAAATCTGCCTGCTGCTTAATCAGCAAGCAGAGAAAGGGTCACTGTGTTGAACACAGTAGTTGATTCCAATAACCAAGGAGCAAGTTACCTAATGGGGGAATGGAGTTCTATGTGTGGATCCCCAGAGATACACTGGGAACTTTCTTAGTACTTCCTTGCCCAGTAGGCTTAGACAATGGAGAAAAGATCTCCAAGGACAGAGATACTTCCAGAATGAAGGCTTAGCTCATCCCTCTAGGTAAAGAACTTAGGCAAACCGAAACTGGCATAAGACAAAGGGAACTGTAGAAGGGTGGTAGGAAGAAGGCAGCTGTGATGGCCAACCTGGACTTGTAACCTGCTCCATCAGGTACTATGGTGGTTATACACATCAGCCATTCCTTTCCCTTTCCCCTCATTACCTTGAATGAAGGTGGCTAATATTTTAGGTTTTGGGACTTTGAATGACTTTGTCCTTTTTGGGGACACACATTTATAACCTGGGTAAAGGACAAACATAAACACTGGGGGATGAAGGGTACCCTGTGCTGGATGTCTCTCATTTGCCCCTCCAGCCCTGCTTCCACCCCTGCTCTATGCCATGGGTCTGACCTCAAAGGGCCACATCAATGGGCTCCCCTGCTCTCCAACTTCTGGTTGTCTCCAGTCAATGGGGACGTCATGGGCTGCAGAAGAGATGGGGATAGAAATGTGAGATCAGTCCATGTCCTCTCCTGATCCCTCTCTGGGGTCACTGCAGGCTGGCCAAATCCCTCCAACCCCAGCCCTCTGTGTCTCAGGCTCCTGCGCTCTTAGGCCTGAAGAGGGTAAGTGCCCACCATGATTACTAGCCCAGAAACACCACAGTACTCCTTGTGGCTGCCCTGTAACCTGCCCACATCATTGTAAAGGGTCCCTTTATTACACTTTCCTCAAATAACACAATTTGAGCATGCTGTCTGTTGCCTGCTGTACCCTGAGTGATAAAGGACTATTTGGGCTTATTGAGCTCTGAGCATCTCTCCAAAGAAGATAATCAGAGACTCATGGATGAGAAGGGACTGTGGGTAGAGTTGAGACCACTTTCCAGCCAACCTAGATAACAAACAGAGAGAGGCTCTGTAAAAGAATAAGATATTGATTTGGGAACACAGCATTGCAATGAGAATACATGTGCCACAGTAAATTACATGCATAGTTAGGGAGGTGAAGGAATACAAAGGTTTTTAGAGGAAGAACTGAGGTGAGCACATCATTGTTTTGAGGTAACTATCTTTGGCTACAAATATCAATACCAAGGGTGATTCCAGTCAAGGTTGGGCAGACAGTTGCTGCGCAGATGTTCCTGCAGAAGTACTCTTTGTGTAAGGTTGTGATGGCCTCTGTGCAGGGTTGCGGCTTTTGCAGTCTTTTGTGACAGTTTGTGTTATCAAGCACACAAACGTAAGAGCCCTCTCTTCATGGCTTTCCCTGGCTCTATTTGTGAGGTTGGGTTTTTAACATAGTGACTCCATTTTAATTCTGACAACTCTCATGTTCCATTTCCAGATGAGACAAGCCGCCAAGGTCGAGAGTGGTGAAGTGAGAAATCCAAGGTCCTTTAGCCAAGCAGGGGCAGGGCAGGGACCCATCTCAGATCTCCTGGGCCCATGTACTGCAGTACCTGACCCTTCCTTCTGTCTGTCTCAGGCTCTGTGAATGACTCTCAGGCCATCTAAGTGTAAGGAGTCCTTTGTAAATCCTTCCTGAGGTGAAGAAAGTAACACCTGCCTTGCAATCCCATAGCAAGGACCTTCAAATCATACCAGGAATAAAACTATATATGCAGGGCCCCATCACGGAGGTGCTCTGTGGAAGTCTGTGGGTTCTAAGTCAAGCCACGCCCAAACTGCGAGGCTGGGGAAGCTGTCTCCTTAGCCCTCGCCAGCTGCTGCTCAATGCCCCATTCTTAAGCACCCCTATTCAAGATGTCACCTGACAACTGGGAAGTTAACAGATTTTCTAAGGCATTATCCACGCTGTTTACAATAAGTGAGAAACTCTGTCAAGCATGGGTTTCTACAAGTAATTATGTAATGAGAGTGCAAAGAAACAGCAGGCTTCCTTAACTAAAACGACCTCTTTCTCCCAGACTGGCAACAGGAGAGAACTTTACTTATGGGACACGATTAAAGATGAAACTGTATTTCTGGCCTCTCACCACTTGAATATTCAGTGGTAATCATCTTCCCCTGCTTTAGGTAAAAGTTTCCGCAGGTCTCAGGAGTTCGACATGCACTTTAAGTCAAAAATACTGTCTTATTTCTGATATTAGGACATCTGTGACATATATAGATAACAGTTCCAACCTGGAAGTGGTGTTCATCTTTCTCCTCAACCCCAGCTCAGACCTTTTTCAGGCTGGAAGCCATGGTGGGCACAAGGACTTGGCTGGTTTCTTTTCTTTTTTCCACCTTATACTTTTATTCCTCTCCATCTCCACCCTCTTAGCGCTACTCCATTTTTGTCCTGTCAAGTGCGGGGGCAACACAGTAGAGAGGAAACCATACAAACATGGGAAATGTCTTAAGGCTGCTTGCATCTTTCAGCCCCAATTCTTTTTTTTTTTTCATGTTGTTTACTTTGAAATGATTCCAAATTTCCAGAAGAGTCGCCAGAATAATACAAAAACTCTCATAGTATAAGTCCTCTCCCCCATCTCTCTCTGTCTCTCTTTCTCCCACAGTCTCTCAATCTCCCTATCTCTCTTTCTCATGTGTATCCTGAGATTCACCTTCTCACTTTATTTTCCTAAACTGTTTGAGAGTTCATTGCATCCTCAACCCCTTTCTTTCTTTCTTCTTTTTTTTTAAACCTTCAACTTCTATTTTAGATACAGGGGTGGGTACATGTGCAAGTTAGCGACATGGGTATATTTCATCCAGGTAGTCAGCATAGCACCCAGTAGGTAGTTTTTCAGCCCATGCCCCCTCCCTCCCTCTCCCCTCTAGTATTCTGCAGCATCTATTATTCCCATGTTTATGTCCCTATGTGCTCAATGATCAGCTCCCACTTATAAATGAGAATAAGTAGTATTTGGTTTTCTGTTCTTGCATTAGTTTGCTTAGGATCACACCCTCCAGCTCCATCCATGTTGACATAAAGAACATGATTTCATTCTTTTTATGACTGCATAGTATTCCATGGTACCACATTTTCTTCATCCAATTGCCTATTGATGGGCACCTGGGTTGATTCCATGTCTTTGCTATTGTGAATAGCATGGCGATGAACATATGAGTATATATATTTTTTGGTATAATGATCTATCTTCCCTTGGGTATATACCCACTAATGGAATTGTTGGGTTGAATGATAGCTCTGTTTTAAGTTATTCGAGAAATCTCCAAACTGCTTTCCACGGTGGCTGAACCAATTTACCTTTCCACCAACAGTGTATAACTGTCCCCTTTTCTCCACAGCCTCAGAAGCATCTGTTGGTTTTTGACTTTTTAGTAACAGCCATCCTGACTGGTGTGAGGTGGTATCTCATTGTGGTTTTGGTTTTGCATTCTCTGATGGTTAGTGATGATGAGAATTTTTTCATATGTTTTTTGGCCACTTGCACGTCTTCTTTTAAGAAGTGTCTGTTTGTGTCCATTCCCCATCTGTTAATGCGGTTATTTGGTTTTTGCTTGTTGATTTAAGTCCCTTATAGATTCTGGATTTTAGACCTTTGTCAGATGAATAATTTGTGAATATTTTCTCCCCCTCTGTAGGTTGTCCATTACTCTATTGATAGTTTCTTTTGTTGTGCACAATGTCTTTAGTTTGATTACATCTCACTTGCCAATTTTTGTTTTTGTTGCAGTTGTTTTGGGGGTCTTGGCCAAAAATTCTTTGTCAAGGCCGATGTCAAGAAGGGTATTTCCTAGGTTTTCTGGTAGGATTTCTATTGTTTGAGGTCTTACATTTAAATCTTTAATGCACCTTGGGTTAATTTTTGTATGTGGTGATATGTAAGGGTCCAGTTTCAATCTTCCGCATATGGCTAGCCAGCTATCCCAGCAACATCTATTAAATAGGAAGTCCTTTCACCATTGCTTGTTTTTGTTGGCCTTATCGAAGATCAGATGGTTGTAAGTGTGTGGCTTTATTTCTGAGTTTTCTATTTTATTCCATTGGTCTATGTGTCCATTTTGGTGCCAGTATCATGCTGTTCTGGTTACTATAGGCTTATAGTATAGTTTGAAGTCAGGTAGTATGATGCCTCCAGCTTTTTTTTTTTTTTGTGCTTAGGCTTGCTCTGGCTATTCTCAACCCCTTTCTTTACCCCCAAACACTTTAGTGTATGTTTCCCAAGAACATGGCATGGAGAGTCTCTGATCATAGCACAATTAATCAAACTCAGAAAATGTAATGTTAATATAATACCATTATCTAATAGATAGCCCATATTTAATTTTTGCCAATCATCCTAAAAATGTCCTTTGGGACAATTTTCCCCTGACCCAGGCTCCAATCTTGATCACGTATTGCAGCTTGTTGCCATGTCTCTTTAGTCTCTGTTAATCTGGAAAAGTTCCTTAGCCTTTCTTTGTCTTTCAAGTCATAACATTCTTGAAGAGTGCCGGCCAGTGGCTTTGCAGACTATTCCACAATGTGAATTCAAGCTGCTTAATTGTGCATTTGACAGGTGTATTACATAAGCAATGCTGTGCCCTTCTCAGTGCATCATATCAGGAGCCAAATGATGTCAGTTTGTCCCATTGCGAGTGGTGTCAACTTTGATCACTTCCATAGGGTGGGGTCTGCCAAGTTTCTTCACCTGATTACTATAATTCCCTTTGTAATTAATAAATAATCTGTGGAGAAATACTTTCAGAGAATTTAATACCTTGTCCCTCTTCAAACTTTTATCCAATAGTTTTCATGTCCATCAGTGTTTCTTGTCTTCAGCTCCAAGCCTTATTGCAAGTCAGTCTTGGACCGATTCACCTTCCCCAGTGGAAAGTTCTTATGAATTATAGCTGCCACTCACCCCTGGGGGAGGGAGTCACTGCTCCCTTCTAACATTTGATTCTGGTATCTAATGTTAGATGGGTACAGGACCCATCACCTAATCTGCCCTAGTAGAACTAAGTTGGTATGTTTAAGCCAATCTTTGTTTATGGGCACCACAGAAGAAAGGAGACATGAAGGTCTGATACCATTCCTCAGAAGCCACCTTTCTTCCATCACCTGGGACTGCCTGACCTTGACCACCCTCTCTTAGACTCCTCAATATTACCTTGTCAAGAGACAGAAAAGGTTCCTGATCTGGAGGAACTTCTACTTGCGCAGTTCCCACCAGAGCTTTCCACTGTTCTTCAATGACCACAGTGGGCTTCAGTCCTTTTCAGGGAAGGTCCCTGGATCCATGGGGTCTGGCCTCACTCTAAAGCCCTCCACAGTATATTCACTATCTTGATTGGGAATGTTCCTACTCCATATGCACATGCAGTATGTGTGCGATGTCCATGTATTGTGTATGGTCTGGGAGAGGACGGGGAGAAGACACCTTATAACCGAGGACTTAAAGTGAGAATTTAACACAAATAGCTGTTAACTAGTTATAAAATTGTTTAAAAGTTAACTGGAAAGTCACAGATGGAAGTAGCAACTACAAGAAGCAGCACCACCTTAGGGCTGGCAGAAACAAAGGGAAGAGCTATTTTTAAAACATATAATGTAATGACTCTGAGGAACAGAAACTCAGATCTCAGAGGACAGGGCCCTGCCCAACTGCTGATGATGTTTCTGGGCTAACAAGAGGGACCTTGTAGGGCTTAAATTCAGTTCTGTGAGGAAGATGCTCCTGCCAGCTAGTGCTGGTCCTCAAGGTGGGGGAGTGGTACAATGAGGTAGGATCTATAACTGTTGGAAACACCGCTCACTGCATGCAGCTCCTACTGTGTGAAAGAACTGCTGCTGCTGGGGTGAAGAAGCATGCTTGGGTGATGCAGAGAGGGACAGGAAGCAAACAAGAAGGAGCAGGTTCCTTTTTTCTGCTCCAATCTTTTAGCTTCTCTTCAGTACACCCTCTTGGCAGAGCCTAACATGGAGCCTGCAGGGAAAGTGAACATGTGGTTTGTAAAACCTCTGCTCCAATCCAATAGCATAGAGCAGAATTTAGAAGGGTGAGTCTGGAGCTGAAAAACAACAATAAATAGCACATCTTCAAATTTAAAATGATGGTGTCTCTCAAAAGGATATAGCCCATGAGGATTTATAGTGGGTGCCAAATAGCAAGAAAGATGGTCTCTCAGGACAATAGTTTTATTTTCTATATAGTCGTCTTGAAGGGTGGGCTCCCATCTGAATGGAGGACAGAACAGACTTAGATAAGTTGGGTGTGGCCAATTGTTACCCAAGCCTCTGGTTGAGCAGCTTTGGGGAAGAGGAAGGGAGGGAGGTAGATCTGAGGATAGTATGTGTCATATCAAAAGACAATCTGATGGAAACAACCCAAGCATCTATCAACAGATGAATTGATAAAGAAAATGTGGCATATCCATACAACGGAATATTATTCAGACATGGAAAGAAAGAAAGTTCTGTGCATGCTACAACATGTAACATGTTGGAAATATTATATAAAGTGAAATAATCCAGGCACAAAATGACAAATGTTGTATGATTGTATTATTCCACTTGTATGAAATTTTTAGAATAGGCAAGTTTCTAGAGAGAGAAAGTAGGTTAGAAGCTACCAGTGGCTTGGAAGAGGAAGAGTGGGGAGTTATTGGCTAATAGTTACAGGGGATGCCCTCTGCCTTCTGCTCTAGCTCTTCAAACCCTCTTATAAGCATCATTCCCTACATTAAATGCCTTTCCACATTTCAGGGTCCTGCACTCATCCAGTTCCCCTACTTTGAGTGGGAGAGTGACATTTCTCATCTTTTTAGAGTAGTTCATATATTCACAATAACTCACCCTTTATTTTAATTTAATTGCCCTCTTCAGAGCCCCATAGTCTTTCCAAGCACCTCCCTGGCTCAAACATTTGTCTCAGTAACAATGTCATTTGCTGAGCCTCAGTTTCCTCATCTAGAAAACGAGGATGGCTGGGTGCGGTGGCTCATGCCTGTAATCCCAGCACTTTGGGAGGCTGAGGCGGGTGGATCACAAGGTCAGGAGATCGAGACCATCCTGACCAACATGGTGAAACCCCATCTCTACTAAAAATACAAAAAAATTAGCTGGGCGTGGTGGCATGTCCCTGTAATCCAAGCTACTTGGGAGGCTGAGGCAGGAGAATCACTTGATCCAGGGAGTCGGAGGTTGCAGTGAGCCGAGATAGTGCCACTGCACTCCAGCCTGGCGACAGAGCAAGACTCCATCTCAAAAGCAAAGAAAATGAGGATACTGATCCCTGATATGCAAACTTGTCCTGAAGATAAAATGAGTTATTATCCAATGGAAAAGCTGTGTTATAGATGAATGCATAAAATGTTAGATCCATGAAAAGTTGATTAGTAAGCATGACTTCCATGAGTTGACCAGTGAAGAAATGATGGTATTTGCCTATCTTTTAAAAGAAATATGTGTTTATATGTATTGGTATAAATGCTATATATTCATCTATATATTTTTCAAAATGTGTGTGCAGTAATACATATTAAGATTTAGAAATTCTAAATGCAGGCTGAATGCTTAAATGTCAAGTTTAAGTTACAACACAAGGTCTGCAAACTGTGGTCATAATCATTTAAGACATTATGACTCACTCAATATTTATATTTTAGAAGTAATTTATTTTATTGCAACCACCAATAACCAACTGAAAAACTTCTAAAATTCAAGATAAACTTTCTGTGGCCAAGTCCACGCTCTGATCAGCAGCCATTCTCTCATTAACACTTGTGGCCCCGCTGATTTCTGCTCTCATTTGCACTGTGTAAAAGGCCTCTGACAACCTCCTTTCCACCCTGTTCAAACAAACAATAGTCTTTGGAGCAAAGAAGGAGATCTGTAGCAGGTGAAAGTTTAGTTTTAATGATGGAGACACCAAATTGTTTTTAAAGTTGAAATATATAAAAGGCTCCAAACACACTTTAATGTCTCATTTCTCACAATTACCTCATTATAGTTTACCAAATATTTTACTTTGAATCACAGGATCTTTGAAAGAAATTCCAAAACTAACCTTTTGCACATACGTAGCTTATTAGTAACGGAAAAATTACTTTTCTCTCTGATTGTGAATTTTTTTTTCTCTCCAGAACATAAAATAAAGACATAAACTTATAGGGCTTAGAGGTTGTGACCAGTGACATTTTCACATTTTCTTGAGGAAAGAAAATCTAGCTTGAGAGGGTAAAAAAAAAAAAAAAAAAAAAAAAGTGTAAGATTGGTCATTTGTATCTACATGCAGCAAAGGAGCTATTAGGCACTGACAAGCTACTCAGATCAGAACACCCAAGACTGTTGTCGTTTCTCTTCATGCCCTGCAATCATTGAATCAGGTTATTTAATTGGTGTATAAAAAGTCACCTTAACACAATTCATGGTCACCTTTCTCTGAAATCTTCATGACAAAGGATTTGTGAAAACTTTTCTAAACAAACATAATCTCTCCAATGTTCAGCTATATATAGGAAGAAGAAATGTCAACATTGATATACAGAATCCCTTTCCTTGAGGCCTCTTTCCCACTAAAACCCAGAGGTAGCATTAGATAGAAAGACCAGATATGCCCTGGCAAGGATGGTAACAGAGTATATTAGTCAGGGTAAACTACACAAGCTGCAGTAACAAACATCCCCCAAACCTCTGTGGTTTAACACATGACAGGTTTATTTCTGCTTGTACCACAATCCATTTTAGATTGAAAATTTCCCTCCCAAGCAGTAACTCAGGATCCCAGACTCCTTTCATCTTGTATAGCACCATTTTTAACACATGGCCTGCAAGGTTGCTGTGAAATAGAAAGAGCCTGTGGAAAGCAGATACTCAATTGTCTAAGTTTGGTCAGGGTGCATATTTCTTTGGCTAGAACTAGTTTTTTTGCCAGATCTAAACACAAGGGATCTGGGAAAGTAGTGAAAACTGTACATAAGAAAGGGTCAGTGAGTCTGCTGGAATAATGAAGTGGTCTTGGTTGGAGGAGGTTCTAAAAACTGGGCTCCTGGATCCCAGAACACAGTAAAATACCAATGAGTTGCACTCACTTCAATAAAACAAATTACTCTTCAATTTGTCTCAACAAATTCTATTCACTTCCAGTGATATGGTTTGGCTGCGTCCCCACCCGAATCTCATCTTGAATTGTAGTTCCCATAATCCCCCCATTTCATGGGAGGGACCCAGTGGGAGGTAATTGAATCATGGTGGCGGTTACCCTCATGCTGCTATTTTTGTGATAGTAAATGAGTTCTCACAAGATCTGATGGTTTTATAAGAGGCTTTTCCCCCTTTTGCTCAGCACTTATCCTTCCTGCTAGCATGTGAAGAAGGATGTGTTTGCTTCCCCTTCCACCATGATTGTAAGGTTCCTGAGGCCTCCCCAGCCATTCAGAACTGTGAGTTAATTAAACCTCTTTCTTTTATAAATTACCTAATCTCAGGCAGTTCTTTATAGCAGCATGAGAATGAACTAATACACCCGGTTATTCTTACGTGTCCCTCATTTTACATGATTAGACATGCATTTGATTTTGTAAGTATTCTCTAGAATTTAGCAAAGTCCAATGCATTATCAAATACAATTTAAAAACCAACAAGTTGGCTTGATCTAAGTGCTCCTTGAGGATGAGGGCTGAGTTTTACTCCTTTTGATGGGACCAGAAGGTAGGATATGGCACTCAATGTTTGTCAAACAAGTTAATTAATGAGCAATGTTGCTGACATTTAAATCTCAATTTTTGAAAATCTGTATCTATCCTAGGCTGTCCCCTGGAACCACTTTCCAATTTTCCATCCTAACTGCTTTCATAGTTCTAGCCTAAAGGCTGCCTCCTGTGGATATGTGGTAGAACAGTGATGAGTCACATGACTAAATATCTCCTCCTACAAATGACCCCTCCCCACCATCACCAACAGTTTCCAACCAGATGAAGGTGGACTTATGTGTTGATTACTGATCCATGAAAGGAATTCCTGACCACACAATGAATTAACCTCCTCCCCCCAATTAATACTTAGTAAGCCATGAGTATGGGAACCTGATTTATCTTTTTCCAATGATACTAACTTTAGACTTCATTTTCTTATTTAATCCTCATGCTGACACCAAGGAGAGGTAATTTTGCAGATGAGGAAAATGAGGCACATAGATGTTAAGTAACTTGCACAAGGTCATACAGCCAGGACATGCAAGAACCAGAATTTGAACTCTACAGTAATTCTATATGGGCCAGGGGTGGTGGCTAACATTTGTAATCCCAGCACTTTGGGAGGCTGAAGCGGGCGGATCACTTGAGCTCAGGAGTTCGAGACCAGTCTGGGCGACACGGTGAAACCCCATCTCTACTAAAAATAGAAAAATTATCTGGGCGTGATGGTGTGTGCCTGTAAGTCCCAGCTACTTGGGAGGCTGAGGCAGGAGAATCACTTGAACCTCAGAGTTAGAGGTTGCAGTGAGCTGAGCTCACACCACTGTATGCCAGCCTAGGCAACAGAGCAAGACTTCGTCTCAAAATATATACATACGATTTTACAAGGCCAAGAGGGATAGGGTGTAATTCAAATTTAGTTGGGTCAAGCATCAATTTTAAGAAGGTCCTTACCTGAAAGAGGTGGGCCAAGATCTGATTTCTAGAGTTCTGAGGAGAAACAGCTTTTGCCAAGTAAAGCACATTTTCAGTCACGGAGCCTGGAGAAAGGACTAGCAGCATCCAGGTGGGGAGCAGATTCATCCACCTGCCATCAGGGATCCAGGGCTGTGCTCCAGAGTCACCGTTTTCCTAAAGACCTCGAGGCTGTCATAGAGGAAAAGCAGGAAGTTAGGTCTAAGGGGGGTTCTGCTCATGCTCAGAACAGCAGCCCTTTGCTATGGTGTTCTCAGTCCTCCTCTCTGGCCAGGAAGGAGCTTCTAGGTAGTCTTCTAGGCTGGGATTTCCTGGTCCTCCAGACACAGGAGTGCTAACAGAAGCCAGGCTGACAGTACAAGAGAGGAAACGAAAATGCAAAACACTCACCCCTAGCTCCCTAAAGAAAAAAAAATGGGCCAGGCAGGGTGACTGTAATCCCAGCACTTTGAGAGGCTGAGGCAGGAGGATTGCTTGAGGCCAAGAGTTCAAGACTAGCCTAGGCAACATAGTGAGATCCCATCTCTACAAAAAATTTAAAAATTAGTCAGGTGTGATAGCGTAAACCTGTAGTTCCAGTTACTCAGGAGGCTGAGGTGAGAGGATCATTTGAGCCCCAGGAGTTTGAGGCTGCAGTGAGCGAGGATTGCACCACTGCACTCCAGCCTGGGTGACAGAACGAGACCCATGAAAGGAAGAAAAGAGAAAAGGAAGAAAAAAAGGGGGAGACAGAAAGAGAGGGAGAGAGACAGAGAGAGACAGAAAGAGAGAGACAGAGAGAAATAAAGAAGGAAGAAAAGGAAGGAAGAGAGAAGGAAGGAAGAGAAAGTAAGAAAGAAAGAAAGAAAAAAGAAAGAAAGAAAGGAGAAAGAAAAAAGAAAAGAAAGAAAGAGGAAAAGAAAGGAAAGAAAGAAGAAAGAAAAAGGAAGAAAGAAGGAAGGAGGGAAGAAAGGAAGTTAGGAAGGAAGGAAGGGAGAGAGAGAGAGACAGGGAGCAAGAAAGAAAGAAAGAGAGAAAGAAAGAAAGAAAGAAAGAAAGAAAGAAAGAAAGAAAGAAAGAAAGAAAAGAAGAAAGGAAAGAGAAAGAAAAAAGAAAGAAGAAAGAAGGAAAGAAAATACAAATAGTATAAAAATTTGAAATTTTTATCCAGGTGAAAATAACATTAAGTCAATTAAAGACAGTGTTCTTTCCAGGAGACGCCTACCACATCAGCATTCAGGTAATTTGTGCTCACCCAGACACACACCAAAACCGTCAGTCCCCCATGCCTGAGACTCACAGCCGTCAAGCATCCAGTAGCAGCAATACGTGGGAGGCAGAACTAATATCTTAGAAGGAAATGCCCATTAGACAGAAAAGAGAGCAACAGTGTCATTCCACCAAGCTAACTGACACCAGAGTTGTACAGCTTTGTAAATTCTTTTTGATTATTTGAGGCTATCTATATCACTGATATGCTTTAATGCAAAGTCTTCTGATTTTTCATTGAGAAAAACAAAACTTCTCGGGCTATGGAAAAATCTGTGGCTTGGTTGTCCATGTTTGGCATTAGCCAGCAAAACACTGCTTTTAACTCTGTGGTGCTGGGCCTCTTGTTTTTCCTGCACCCCTTTTTCTTTATCTTTCTTTCCTAGGCATCATTACCATTTGTCAACTTTTCTTTTATGGTTCTCACTTCATGTGCCATGTGGCCTCTGCATGGACAATTCGCGACATGGCAGCCTGCTTCTTCAAGGCCAGCAAGAGCACAAAAGCAAATCTGTTTGTAAGTCGGGTTTCGCACGATGTAACGTAAGCCCAGGAGTGACAGCCCATCATCTTTGTCACATTCTACTATGAAGCAAGTCACAGGGTCTGCCCACACTCAAGGGGAGGGCAGCACACAAGGGTGTGAATACCAGGAGGTGCGGACCGTGGGGCCACCACAGGGTCTGTCCCCCACACCAGGTGACTATGAGGCATCCAAAAAAATGGAACATTCTCCTGTGGATAGATGGTGAGGGACTTTGGCACATCTCTGAGAAAAAAAGTAATTTTTATTATTAGGACAGGGTTTATATTTTGAAATCAAACAAGCCACTTCTAAATGGAAAAGGGGAGCTATTTTTCCATCTGGTAGTCCCTCCAATGCTAGGATGTTTTCTGCAAACACAGCAAGATGTTGACTTGTTTGGGGAAAATTCTGGTCTCTAAAAGTGGGAACAATGGAAGTAGAAGGTGAGGGGGCAGAGCTGCCCCTGTGGGCTTCTCATGAGTGGTCAGAGGAACGGCAGGTCGGGGGCATCCAGAGCTGCATAGTCCAGCACTGGCCACAGCACAGAGCCCCCAAGGCTCAGGCAGGGCTTTCAGCTATTGGGGTAGAACCCTCCCATTTAGGTGATGCCAGGATGAGGTACTATGGAGAGGCCATTTATGGCAAGGCATCCCAAATTCTATGTAATTTCACTTCTGACTAAAGTTTTTTTTTTTTAATTTGTTGAATAGAAAATATTTTCACAGGGAGTTACATACACATAGTGCATATGTATGTGTGTGTATATATATGTATATATGCATGTGTGTAGATAGATAGATAGATAATCATATGTCCTCCCTCCTCTTCCTGATCCCATCTTCTCAATTCTTGTCCTCCCATCACACATATGCTCACAGATAGATAAGCAAGTTTCGTGTTTTTTTTTTTTTTTGAGACAGAGTCTCACTCTGTCACCCAGGCTGGATGGCAGTGGCACGATCTCGGCTCACTGCAAGCTCCACCTCCCTGGTTCACGACATTCTCCTGCCTCAGCCTCCTGAGTAGCTGGGACCACAGGTGTCCGCCACCACAATCGGCTAAATTTTTTTTTTTACAGGGTCTTGCTCTGTCGCCCAGGCTGGAGTGCAGTGGCACAATCACAGCTCACTGCAACATCTGCCTCCCAGGCTCAATCAATCCTCCCACCTCAGCCTCCCGAGTACCTGGGACCACAGGCATGTGCCACCACACCTGGATAATTTTTTGTATCTTTGGTAGAGACGGAGTTTCACCATGTTGCCCAGGCTGGTCTCAAACTCCTGAGCTCAAGTGATTCACCTGCCTCAGCCTCCCAAAGTGCTTGGATTACAGTTGTGAGCCCTGCGCCTGGCCAGCAAGTTTCTTATGTACATTTCAGGGTATGTGTAAGCAAATATATAGACATTATTTTTTCTTAATACAAGAGTTCACTCACATGGTGAACTCACTGTGCGAGTTAAGTACACATGGTACTTGCCTCTGCTTTTTTGCACATTACAACATATCCTAGAGATTATTCCACAGCAGTCCATACAACACTGCTCATTCTTTACTTACAGCCACATGGTCTTCCATTGTGGAGATGTACTGATCGATTCAACAGTCCTTTACTAATATTGATGGACAGTTGGGTTATTTGTCAATCTTTCACTCTTATCAGGGCTGTTCCCAGGATTGAGATTGTTGGGCAAAAGGATCTATGAATTTCTGCTTTCATATCTATCGCTCCACTACCCACTGTAGGGGTCGCACAAATTTACATTCTCACCAGCCTTGCATAAGTTTGTCTTGTTTCCCCCCAGCCTATCACCAAATTTATGAATTTTTTTTCAATCTGCTAAAAGAAAAGCCACCGATACCAAAGTTTCTGAAAATCAAGTGTGTCACTGGAATATTGATTTCTTCTTTGGCAGAACTTTTTTTTTGTAGTAAACTACACATAATGTAAAATTTGCCATTTTAACCATTTTAAATGTACAATTCAGTGGCATTAACTGCATTGACATTGTTGGGCAACCATCACCCCCATCCATCTCCAGAACTTTTTCATCTCACAGAACTGAAACTCTGTACTCGTTCAACACTAACTCCCCATTCCTCTTCCCCTAGTCCCTGGTAACCACAATTCTGCCTTCTGTCTCTATGAATTTGACTACTCTACATTCCTCAAATAAGTTGAATCATACAGCATTTGTCATTTTGTGTCTGACTTATTTCATTTAGCATTCTACCCTCAAGATTCATCATGCTGTAGCATGTGCCAAAATTGTAGTCCTTATTTAAGGCTGAATAATATCCCGTTGTATGTACATACCGTATTTTGTTGGATCCATTCATCCATCAATGAACCCTTGGGTTGTTTCCACCTTTGGCTGTTGTGAATAATGCTGCTGTGAACATAGGTGTACAACTATCTTTTTGAGTCCCTGCTCTCAAGAAGGAGGGGCATCTTCCCTCCTTCTCTAGCAGGTATAAAATGAACCTCACCCCATAAGTTGCTATGGAGGAGCCCTGGTCTTTTGTTCTCTTTACCTACCCGGGAGAATTCCATTCCAGGCTGCCTTTTCTCTAAAAGCAAGGTGCACACACACTGCAGTCCACTCCTTGGAACTATTTGGGACCTTAACATCACACTTTTCCAATGGACAGTGCCGGCCATGTGATTTCTTAAATTAAATATCATGCAACTGAAAGCAATCAATGGAAGTCAACAGACAACATCTAGAAGAAGGGGCAGCAATGGTCTTCCTCTCCTTTGTGTAGACCAGAGTGTGACATCCAGTGCTAAGGAATGCATCTGAACGGGGATGTAAAAGGAAAGGAATGTATTCAAAAAAGAGGAGCTGGGATGCTCAGGGGAATAAAATCCTGCGTTACAAGAGACACAGCTGAAAGGGCTGGGATGAAGAATTGAGAGAACAAACATATGACAGTATTTTTTAATATTTGAAACATATGACAGTGTCTGTTAATATTTGAAAGGCTGTCATGAGGAAGGCAGATTTGATATTGATGACCTCAAGAGAAGCAAATGGAGTCACTAGGTATGAGTTCTAAGGAGAGAGATTTGGGGTTTATTATAAAGAAGTGTCCAAAGATGGAATCAGTTTCTTCACAAGGCTGTAGAGTGAGTTTCCTGTTCCTGGAACTATGTAAGTCTTGACTACATAGTTTCTTGACTGGATTGAGAGGGAGGGAAAGCAGGCATTGGTCTTCCTTCATTTTACACATACAAATAGCTGAGGATCTCCTACGTGTTTAAAGGCTGGAGTTGGCTTCTATGTGTTCCCTTTTTCTTTTTTTCCTAAAGGACAATGGTTGCAGTTAGAACCTCTTCCCAAATATACAAGTACCAGAGATCTCGCAGCAATGAGTGACATTTCAAAGAGCTGATTTCATTTCATGGCTTCTTAAAAGGCCCTTCATTGTTGCTGACTTTAGGGTCAGCCCTTTGTTTCTATAAAAAGCCAGATAGTTTGATTTCTATAAAGAGTCAAATATTTTATGCTTTTCCAGCTATTTGAGGGTCTCTGTCACAACTACTCAATTCTTCCATTGTAGCACAAAAGTGGCCACAGCAATACATAAATCAGTGTGACTCTGTTCCAATAAAACTCTATTTGAATTTCACATAATTTTTACATGTCACAAAGTATTTTACTCTTCTGTTTTTTTTTTTCAACCATTCAAAATGTAAATTCTTACCCTGCAGGCCATAAAGAAAAGTAGACAGCAAACCCTAGAAAATCTCATCAAATCTAAGGAACTGTTGCCCAACCAAGATGCAGGAGGGGACAGAGCTTGGCCTCAGGAACACCTGCCTCCAGGGTCTCCAAAGCTATCAAGAACCTCTCTCTGCCTCTTGTCTCTGTGTCTTTCTTCTGTCTAGCTGTAAGCCATCATTTACCTCATGTAGACAACAGTGTCTACACTGTTGTCACATCTTATAGCTATGGCCGTTGAGACTTATGAGCCGACTATCTATGTCCCAGGTATGCACATCTTGGGACAAGGAGGCACTGGTCTAGCTGGGTCAGGAACCAACCACAGGAGCAATCATCTGAGGCTGACAGGTCTGGGAAGGTAAGAACATGGCAGATCCCATGGGAACCCCAAGAATGTGGAGGGCAGTTCCCAGACAGATAAGTGGGAGTTTGGGGTGGACCAAGCAATACTGTCTCCCTTCCATAACTCGCAAAAGAGGATGTGTTTTTGTCCATACACAGGTGTGTGTGTGTGTGTGTGTGTGTGTGTGTGTGTGTGTGTCTGTTGGGTGAGACAAAACATCTACACATTTTTAAAAATTCCCAGGATGTGTTCTAATAAAATATTTAGAACACTTGCTAGCTCAATAACTTTCTATGTTATTTTTAAGGATGTATAGGACCAATTAACAACACCACAGAAAAAGAGGTATCTGAGGCATGCAGGGAAGAGTGGTCACACTAATTATATTTCATTTGCAAATTTTAGCATTCTTCCTTGTTTTGAGCCAGGATTTGATAAGCATCTTTCATAGAAAAACTTTTTACATCACTTGCTGGTTTCCATTTCTGGGCCCAACACTTGCTCCCATTTTGGAGAGAAAATGTTAATGATTCTCCTGCTTTTCTCACAGGGAAGTTGCTGTTCTTTCAGCAGACATTTAATAGCTTCTCAACACAGTCAGAGCCCAGAGGTCACTATGATACCCAAAGGTCTCGTTCTGAGATATCACCACAGGGAGGATGGCTTGGGGACAGCTGGCTGGCTGTCCACCTGTTTCAGTCTGTCTGTTAGTTCCTGGAAAAGTGTGGGGTTTCACAGCCTGATCAGATGAGCAAACCCATATATACCAAACCCTCCATGTATGTAAGACACCCAGGGACACCACATGTCCCTGTGGGCCTGCAGAAGGGCTGAGAGTCTCATGGGCAAGAAGAGAATTGGGACCAAGACAAGGATGCTGCAGACTGTGGGAATCTAGAACCAGGGGCTGTCCCAGGGACCAGAGGCTTTAACAGCAAAAGCCACGAAAAAGCTGATGGTGAACTGTGAGGCAGTTTCCAAATCTGCGAGCATCTTCTTCATCCTTAACAGTAGAAATGGAATGCAGCCCTCATTCCTGGACTGTACCGAATGCAGGAAAAGAGAATGTCGGGGGCTCACAGGGCTCAGCACAGTGGGGTCCCTGTCTATAAAAGTTATCTGCTAGGTATTTTGGTAAAGGGGAAAAACTGAAAGATTAACCAGACCAACCCATGTCAAGACTATTAGGTGCCAGAGGAAGAGACTGAAGATGCATGAGAGGGAGCAAGTTGTGTTTATGGCTGTGTAGTACCCAGGAAGGTGCAACCCACATTTGTGAGGTTGTTGTTGGTGTGCAGGTTCAGGCTCTTGACTTCACGGCACAAAAGAATTTGAGAGCGAGTCCAAAGTGAAAGTAGGTAAAGGAGCTTATTGCAAAGCGAAAGTACACTCCGATAGCTGGGTTAGAGCAGGCTGACAGCGCCCACTGACGCTGAGGGAGCTCCCTTTATAGGAGTCTTACATGATTATTCATGAAGGATGGGAATGGGCATTGTTGTTAAGCATGCCGTGGGAGGTCTCCTGGATGCCCACGCACTACTGCTGTACACGCTAGCACATACATCCCATGTCTCATTAGCATCTGAAATCTCCACCCAGGGGTGTGTTTTTAGCATTAAAATGAGCATGGTTCAGCTTAAGGACATTGGTCGTGGACTTGTGCATCTGTGCGGACTTGGGGATTTTCCCTTTTGCCCCTGCTCCTCTCTGCTCCAGGATGTCCTAACCAAGAGCCTCAGATGCAGTTTGTGCACTGTCGGGTGGTTTGGTCTCTCCATAAGTTTGACAACTTTCCTGTTTCCTTTCAAGGAAGGCTGTGATCACCCTCTCCAACCTACCTCAAGGTGAGCACCATTTGTCTTCTGGGTGTCCTTCTTTCCCTCTTTTGGTATCTCCTCCCTCTTTTGGCATCCTCATCTATTCAGCAAACATCAATAGAGGACATCATATGTGCCGAAGACTCTCTCAGGGGTGTCTGGGGGTGGGTAGAAAGTACAAGATGATTAAAAAATGATGAGTTCATGTCCTTTGTAGGGACATGGATGGAGCTGGAAACCATCATTCTCAGCAAACTCTCGCAGGGATAAAAAACCAAACACTGCATGTTCTCACTCATAGGTGGGAATTGAACAATGAGAACACTTGGACACAGGAAGGGGAACATTACACACCGGGGCCTGTTGTGGGATGGCAGGAGTGGGGAGGGATAGCATTAGGAGATATACCTAATGTAAATGAAGAGTTAATGGGTGCAGCACACCAACATGACACATGTATACATATGTAACAAACCTGCATGTTGTGCACATGTACCCTAGAACTTAAAGTATAATAAAAATATATATATAAAAAAAGAAAGTACAAGATGATTAAAGGGAAGCTTATGGTGTATGCAGATAATCACACATATGAACCAATAATCAGGATACAATAGGTACTAAAAGAAGGGAAGCCTATCGGGGTGGGCTTCAGAGAGGAGGTGACATTTGCTAGAGGTCCTTAGGGTTGAATAATCTTTGCCAGGTGCAGGAAATGAAAGGCTGCTTTAGGAAGAGGGAGTAGGGTATTGAGTTCTGGGAGAATGGAGAGTTGGTGAGTAATTCAGTGAGATCAGACCTGGGGGTACCTGCAAGATGGTGACCTGAGGTGATGTGGAAGGTTGGATGGGAGTCTGGCTGTCCAGGGTGCTTGGCACATATTAGATGTTCAGTTAATGTTTACTCGAAGGTGAGAGAAAGAAGAATAATAGCAAGCATACAATATTGAACGTGATAATGACAGTACACATAATAGCTGTTTACTGATGGCCTACCCATTCTTTTTACTGTTTACAAAGTATTGGGAAAGAAAAAAATGACAGAATTTCAGCTACTTATTACTTTGCACTTCATGGCATTTCTCTACCTCTCTATCCACCACCCATCCATCCATCCTGTCTATCATCAGCCATCTATCTATCTACCTAGGAAAGAAGCAACACAAGAGGAAAAGACAGGAAAAGAGAACTCTGGACCCCTCTGATCTCGAGTCCCTCTGTGACAAGGTGATGGGAGCTAAGACGGCATGGCGAGACCATCTGCCCTGCCTGTCCCAGCATCTGCTCTGGAGAGTGGTCGATCTGAAGCTGGCGCAGGCCCCTATGGGATGCCAAGAGCAGCATCTTAGGGGGGCATTTTCCTCCCAGGGGTGTGCGCAATGCCATTCATGAAAGCCTTCATGCAGGGGAAGGGCACGACCTCTGACAGAGCTGCCAGAGCTCGTCAGCTCTGAGCCTTGACCCTTGGGTGAAGAGGGCATCGAGTTACCTGGCAAAGCGCAGCTCCTTTTTCAGAACAAGGGCTGAGTTAAAAGTACATATGTTAACATGGAGAACCTTAAAGATTTTCAGGGATGAGCAACAGCAGTAAGCATCTCTATTGATTTCCTGAGATGATCTTTTCACCTGTTCAAAGGGTCAGGTCACTGCCCAGGGCACCATCATCTGGCAGATCAGTGGAAGGGAGCGCTTTTGACAATGCATGGAACGGCGTGCAACAGATCCTGCATGTTGTAGAAACTCTATCTCTGGAGTAACTAGAGAGTTTATGAGGATGCAGCACTAGGGAGGGGTATATCCACTTCCATGTGTCGCTGGAAGGTGACATCATGCATGAGAGTGAAGCCCAAGGACGCCTCCTACCTGCCAAGCCTGTGCTGTCAGCTGCTGTCCTGGGAAGCCCAGCAGGTACTTATGCCACCGGCATTGACCTCGTGAAAGCCTTTTTTGGAGCCTAACAAAACTGCCTCGAGAGCTCGTTTATGAGCTGTAAAAGAAAATTTGTCTCATTGTAGTCATGTCTCAGTTTAGACTCAAAATGATATAGCTCAAATGGATTGCTATCTTATTCCCCAGACTGGGCTCAACAAGATGCATAGCTGACTTCTGTTAAATTCTTCTACATGCCCGGCACTGCACTTTGCATCATTTGATGCTTTCAAGAACACTGAGAAGTATAAATGATTACTATCTTCATTTTGCAGATGAGGAAACTGAGAATAAATTTGCAACAACTGATTACAGTCAAAAGAACCTGCTGCTGATTCTGAAGAGACATCAGAAGTAATGATACCCATCAGCTTTAAGTGAATTTATTGGCAGCTCATTGAAATAAGCATATTAAAAACATCTCAAGTTGACCTGTTTGAAAGGGATAGTGCCCGCTGTAAACTCTGACTTGCACGTGGCAGGTGCATATAAATGCACTAAATGTGGCCAGTCTGAGTTTAATGATGGAATATTACGATGGTAAAGAGAGTGTCAGCATCAGCAGCTCATTCTGTCCCCCAGTCATTCATTGTTTTTTGAAAGAATTCTTTAGAGATGGAATCTTGCTTTGTTGCCCAGACTGGTCTCAAACCCCTGGCCTCAAGTGATCCTCCTGCCTTGGCCACCCAAAGGCATGAACCACTGTGTCCAACCCATGTTCACCTTTGATGGGCTCCTGAGCTCTCAGTATTGCAATGTTGTTGATTTTTTAAATTATTTTTTTCTTTTTCAAAGTGAGGAAGTCAGTTTCCATCGTCATAGGAATAAGAAGCATAAACTTGCCAACAGAACATAATGAGAAGGAACTGGATTTGAAGTGTGGCCCTCAATTCCTAGCAGTGTGTGGGTGTTTGTCATGTTTTCTAGCTTCCTGGCTCCTTTTGAACACCTCTCTTATTATGGCTTGGGGGTTTCTTTCTTCCTAAAGTAGAGGCCAGATCCTCAATTCCCAGCCTCCTTGTTGGCTATGGAACAGGTACGTGGCTGGGGCTGGGCTCATGGGTGCACCCGTGTAATAATCTTGTTTGGAGGAAACAGGTACTGCAGAGAACCCACTCTCTGGCAAAGATGGTGGTTGTGGAGGCATCTGGTTTTGGGGGCAGCAGTGACAAAAGTCCTGGAGTTCAGTGTCTGCCATAATAAGCACCAAGTCTGTGCCCAGTGGGCCAGTGGTAGGTCTGTGTTTGGCTGTATGATTGGGTTTCTGGCTACAAGGCCTGTCTTCCAGGCCTCCTAAAGGCTCTGAATTACCTAAGGAACCATTTGATGGGTAGCCTTGCTCCCGAGGTTAGCTGGGGTGGGTTCTTCTGTTTGCTGCTAAGAACCCCAAGGCAGGCAAATAGCCAACCAGTAAAATCTGCAATTGTCAGAGGTGTTTGAAACAGATTGGATCCATCTTGAATAGGGGCTGGGTAAAATGAGGCTGAGACCTTCTGGGCTGCATTCCCAGGAGGTCAGGCATTCTAAGTCACAGGATGACATAGGAGGTCAGCACAAGAGGCAGGTCACAAAGACCTTGCTGATAAAACAGATTGTGGTAAATAAGTCAGACAAAAGCCACCAAAACCAAGATAGCGACGAAAGTGACCTCTGGTTTTCCTCCGTGCTCATTATACGCTAATTATAGTACATTAGCATGCTAAAAGACACTCCCTCCGGTGCCATGACAGTTTACAAATGCCATGGCAACATCAGAAAGTTACCCTATATGGTCTAAGAAGGGGAGGAACCCTCAGTTCCAGGAATTGCCCACCCATTTTCTGGAAAACTCATGAATAATCCACCCCTCGTTCAGCGTATAATCAAGAAATAACCATAAAAATGGCCAACCAGGAGCCCTCGGGACTGCTCTGCTTATAGAGTAGCCATTCTTTATTCCTTTACTTTCTTAATAAACTTGCTTTCACTTTACTCTATCGATTTGTCTCAAATTCTGTTTTGTGCAAGATCCAGGAACCCTCTCTTGGGGTCTGGATTGGGACCCCTTTTTGGTAACACAATGATAATCTTTGAAAAACGTCAATGATGTGAAAATTACTGCATTTTCTTTGAAGCAATTTGAAAGAACATTTGTTCTTATTAGTAATAATTAGTAATAATTGCCATCAATTTCTGAGCAATTACTAAGTGCCAGACACAGTGCAAAGTGCTTCATATCTACCATCCCATGAAATCTTACAACTCTATAGGGTGCATGTGATCAGCCCCATGTTACAGCTGAGAAACTGAGCCTTAGAAAAGTTAAGTGACTTGTCCAAAGCCACACGTGTAACCAAAAGTGGAGTGCGACTTGAGCCAGGTTTATCTGAAGCTGAAGCTCAAGTTCTTGACTACTGGGCTCCAGTCATGTGCAACTGTCAACCAAAAATGGAGCTTTGAGAGGCCAAAGATGTCACACACCTTCAAACTGCACATCACACAAGTCTTCATAAGCCTCCAGTGCCGCTGTTACTGTGCCTCTCTACAGTCAGGACCCAACCACTTATTTTTGCCTCTCCTTTTACTCCCAACATTCATCTTCTTACTCCGAATCTGGCCCGACCTCTAAGTTGCCCTTGTTGGACCAAACATTTTTCCTATTTGTTAAATATCCATTTGCAATTCTATGTCCTAATTCATATTTCAATGTTACCCTCTTTTCCTATTTATAAAATTCCAATTTCCATATCGCCACTGTCCTTTTTGACCTTACAGGAATTAGATATCCTTGACTCTTTACACGGGAGAACACCCCTTTTCTCCTAGAAACTCCATAGTTCCTACTGGACCATGGCAAACCCCCAACCCCCATTAGCTCAGTGGAACAAGAAAGGTAGGGGAGTCATCTAAATTCTGAATACTTGTAACTGTGGCCAATACATCATGAATAACCAGAACAAAGCTCTTAAAATATTCATATTTCTTTTCATTCCAAAATCATGAATATACCTTTATTCCTTACTAACGATGTATTTTAAAAGTAATTCTTTTACTACTTCTCTGTTCAAATGCTCCAAGTTTGGTGTAAAAAAAAAAGTCACATATTATTTATACTCTTTGGAACATCCTCAAATGGATTTTTTTTTGCTGGGGAAGAAAAATAATACTGATGTTAAGCACCCCTCCCACCAAGAATACGTTCATCAAGGTTGTGAAGCCCTTCACAGCATAAGAACACACCCGTGGCAGGTATCTGAAGTCTTAATCCCCTAACTTTGCACATGTTTTTAAAGCAGGTGACAAACAAATATTCACCCTTGGTGCTATTAGGTCCTTAGGCTACAGTCAATGGGGCATTGTTGAGACCAGATCTTCTCTTCCATTAATTCATGGTGTTATGTATTGCTGTGGTGTATCCTTTAGAAAACACACAGCCTCTCTGGTGTTTTGCTTTGTTCTGTTTTGTTTTGTTTTGTTTAAGGCAGGCTGGATTAAATGATTTAAGGTCATTTTTGATTCTAAGACTCTGTTTCTCTGATCGCTCTTCTCTCCCTGCCGTCTGTGGGGCGTTGTACTTGCAAAAGCCTTCCAGACAAGTTCTCTGGCTGAGACATAAATGCAATTATTGGGGGCTAGGGGGAGGCCATTTAACAGGTTATGATGGATTCTGTTCTGCCTGTTTCAGCAAAGCTGGCACCCAGTACTTACCCCCCTCCACTGCGGCATTTATCTACACGGTGAAAATCTTGCTCTGAGAAGCAATGTTGAATCCCACAGATGCTTGTCCCTGGGACTCATCAGGGGACAAAGACAGAGCCACACAGCCCTCATTAATCCACGTGGAAATAAAAAAGATTAAGCAGCATAGACCCTGTGACCACTGAGAAAATGACAGAAATAAAGATCATTATGTGCATCTGGTTTTCCAGGGGAAAGAAACGGAGATAAAGCCTTAAGTCTTTAATAAGGCTAGAAATTAAAACTGGGATTAACAACAACACGAAGCATTTATAAGAAGCCGTCCATGACATTCCTGCTTAGGTTTTGCTGGCCTGGTTTCTGGAACATTTTTTATATTGTTAATATTTATCACCAGCTTTTTCTTTAGTTGAAAAAAAAGTCACTGCCCACTGGTTTCAGGTTCACAGCCTTCTCTCTAGACATACTAGACCTGCTTCAAGACGATACTTGTTTAAAACCAATTATTCAGCACCATTTTCATGAGGTTTCTGTAGAGATAGGGGAGTATGTATTGCTTAATTTCAATGAAGTTTTGAGGTCTGGCTTTGCTCTGTGATACACAGAGGAAACAGCTTCCCAGGAGAGCTGTCCATGCACCACGCATCTTAGGCCTGGGAGGGGCAGGAGGGGAGGATGGACTATCCCCACATTTAGACACCCCAGATTCTCCTACCAGAGATGCAGTGGACATCGGCGCCTATCCAGGAGGCTGTGTTAAAATGTAACTGTGCCATTTGGTTGAACTATGTGCCGCCCACCCCACCAAAAAACACACTGGAATCTTAACCCCTGGGACCTCAGAATGTGATCTTATTTTTGAATAGGGTCTTTATAGACCTCATCAAGTTAAAATGGGCTCATTAGTGTGGGCCCTAACCTTATATGACTGGTGTCCTTATAACAAAGGAAAATTTGGACACAGAGACAAACATGCACAGAGAGAAGGTGATGTGAAGACACAGAAAGAAACTATGCTTCTTGCATTCAATATAATGTTTTTCAAATTAATTCATGATGTTGCTTGTATTAGTAGTATGTTGCTTTTGATTGGTGAGCAGTAATCCATTGTAAAAATATGCCAGTTTGCTTATCAGTTCTCTTGTGTTTTCAGTGTGGGGTTATTAAGAATAAAGCTACCATGGACATTCTTGGACACATCTTTTTATGGGCATTTTTCTTTGCAACATACCTAGGAGTAGATTTTCTGGGTGATAACATGGGCACACATTTAACTAAGATTACACTAATTTATACTCCTGCCAACATGGTACAGTTGCCACTGAAACTACCCTCACAAGAATTGCATGCTAGGCTCACAAAAATTGCATGCCAAGTTCTGGACAGAAATATAGTCATAATTAAGCATTAATAAGGCTGCACATTGGTCCACTTCCTTATAGCTGCTTGCTAACCAAAAGTCATGTAGCACTAGATACAACCACTTGCCCATCCTATACCCTTCCCACAGATGGAATTTCTGACCTTAGAATCATATGGCTTTTGTCTAAAATTTGCTTAAGATGTTTCTCAGATCCTGATTTCCAGCAAAATAGCTGATGCCAACCAGCGTGCAGACCCACAAAGAGGAAGTGAATTAGCATGGGAACACTGTTTCTTCATCTCTCAGTCCCGTGATTTCACCCTGCTTTCTTCAACCAATCAACAGCCCCCACACCTCAGACTACTCCAAACCTCTTAAAATCCCTAGCTCCAAATTCCTCAAGGAGGCAGATTTGAGATTTCCTCTTGTCTCCTCATTTGGCTGCCCTGCAATTATTGAACTCTCGGCTGCAGTGTCTCAGTATATAGACTTGCTACGCACTGGGCAAAAAAACCTATTATGCCAACACTTGGTATTATCAGTCTTTCTTTAATTTTAGACATTCTGGTGAGTGTGTTGCAGTATCTTACTGTGGTTTTAATTTCCATTTACCTCTTGCTGAATGATGTTGAACATCTTTTCATGTTTCTTACCAACTCAAGTATCTTCCTTTGCAAAGTGGTTACTCAAATTTCTTGTCCATTTTTAATGAATTGTTTGTTTTTTTATTACTAATATATGGAAATTTTCAAATATATTCTAGGTGAAGTCTGTGTGTGTATGTGTGTCTGTGTGTGTGTGTGTGTGTGTTGAATATTTTCTCCCAGTCTGTAGCTTAACTTTTCAGTTTCTTAATGATGTTTCTTTTGATGAAAAGTGTCTAATTGAGATGAGGTCCAATATGTGAATATGTGAATAGTTTGTTTTTATTGTTAATACCTTTTTTTTTTACTTTCTAAGACATTTTTACCTGTCTCCAATAGTGAAGATATTCTCCATTTTATTTTATTTTATTTTATTTATTTTATTTTATTTTATTTTATTTTATTTTATTTTATTTTATTTTATTTAGATTGTGTCTCGCTGTGTTGCCCAGGCTGGAGTGCAGTGGTGCGATCTCAGCTCACTGCAACCTCTACCTCTTGGGTTCCAATGATTCTCCTGCCTCAGCCTCCTGAGTAGCTGGAATTACAGACACCCACCACTATGTCCAACTAATTTTTGTATTTTTAGTAGAGACAGGGTTTCACCATGTTGGCCAGCCTGGTCTCAAACTCCTGACCTCAAGTGATCCACCCACCTCAGCCTCCCAAAGTGATGGGGTTACAGATGTGAGCCACGGTGCCCAGCCTGTCTTTAATTTTTAATTTCAAATTAATTTATATGTGTGGTATGATGTAGGACCCAAGGTTAATTTTTTTCTATGCCAATATCTCATTTTTCTACCATTTTTCCCTACCATTTACTGACATGTGATTTATTTTCTTTCTCACATTAAATTGCTTTGGCATTTTTGTCAAAAATCAATTGATCATGGGTCTGTATGTTGTCCAGTAAACCACTGCAGGTCTATTTCCAGACTCACTGTTTTTCTTTATGTTTTTTGTTTTTTGTGGTTTTTTTTGAGATGGAGTCTCGCTCTGTCACCAGGCTGGAGTGCAATGGCGCAATCTCAGCTCACTGCAACCTCCGTCTTCCGGGTTCAAGAGATTCTCCTCCCTCAGCCTCTCGAGTAGCTGGGACTACAGGCATGAGCCACCATGCCCAGCTAATTTTTGTATTTTTAGTAGAGACACAGTTTCATCATGTTGGCCAGGATGGTCTTGATCTCTTGACCTTTGGCCTCCCAAAGTGCTGGGATTACAGGCATGAGCCACCGCTCCCGGCCTATTTTTTATCCTTATACTTGAAAAGTAATCCTGACCCACTAATGGATTAAATGGACCCCCTTGGCTTAAGAAATCCTAAAAGCTAAGAAAAAGTTCATTGAGTTGCTGGCTAGGGCAGAATGGGAACTAGTTATGCCTCAACATACCCCTTCCTTATTAACCTTTAACCAGAATTCTTTCCTAAGGAGTAAGCAGAAACAGGCTGTGAAAAACAAGAAATGGACATCTCATTCCTTTATCACCTTTGGCCAATCATCTGAGGCTGCAGCCAGACTCCCCCGACACCACTACCCCCACCCCACACCCCCTTTGTCGCTTTTACATTGACAGTCACCAGTTTTGCAACACATCCTTTCCTGATGAGAAGCCACCAACCATGGTGGTTCTGGGACGTCTACAGAGGATGCACAATGCAATGACAGCGTTTGTGTCCTCTGCTTCACCTTTTGATGCCACGGGGCTGAAAACTTGACCCTCAGATCATGCTAATGGTGCCATTCTTTTTGTACATGTGATACAAGGAGAGGTGTACAACTCAATTGCACATGTGCGTGTTTCTCCTTTCATAAATATTCAGCACTCCCTATGCAGCTTATTAAATATGTATATGCAGCCACCCCACTCAGTATAAATTCCTGTTCCTTTTACTCCTCCCTTGAAGTGCTGTTTTTCCAGCATCTGCCAGAGTCTCTGCTTCCTGCCTGCAGGTTGTGATACCTTTCAGGAATAAAGCTCTCCATTTTAAATGTATAAAATATTATAACTTTATTGGTCAACATACCAATACCACACTGTCTTGATTACTATAGCTTTTTAATAAGTGATATGGTTTGGCTGTGTCCTCACCCAAATCTTGGCTTGAATTTTATCTCCCAGAATTCCATGTGTTGTGGGAGGGACCCAGGGGAGGTAATTGAATCATGGGGGCCAGTCTTTCCTATGCTATTTTCATGATAGTGAATAAGTCTCATGAGATCTGATGGGTTTATCAGAGGTTTTCGCTTTTGCTTCTTCCTAATTTTCTCTTGCTGCCGCCATGTAAGAAGTGCCTTTTGCCTTCCTCCATGATTCTGAGGCCTCCCCAGCCATGTGGAACTGTAAGTCCAATTAAATCTCTTTTTCTTCTCAGTCTTGGGTATGTCTTTATAAGCAGTGTGGAAATGGACTAATACAGTAAATTGGTACAAGTAGAGTGGGGCATTGCTGAAAAGATACCCAAAAATGTGGAAGTGAGTTTGGACCTGGGTAACAGGGAGAGATTGGAACAGTTTGGAGGGCTCAGAAGAAGACAGGAAAATGTGGGAAAGTTTGGAACTTCCTAGAGACTTGTTGAAGGGCTTTGCCCAAAATGCTGATAGCAATATGGACAATAAAATCCAGGCTGAGGTGGTCTCAAATGGAGATGAGAAATTTGTTGGGAACTGGAGCAAAGGTGACTCTTGTTATGTTTAAGCAAAGAAACTGGTAGCATTTTGCCCCTGCCCTAGAGATTTGTGGAACTTTGAACTTCAGAGAGATGATTTAGGGTATCTGACAGAAGAAATGTCTAAGCAGCAAAGCATTCAAGAGTGATTTGGATGCTGTTAAGGGCATTCAGTTTTATAAGAGAAGCAGAGCATAAAAGTTGGGAAAATTTGCAGCCTGACTATGCAACAGAAATGAAAAACCCATTTTCTGGGGAGAAATTCAAGCTGGCTGCAGAAATTTGCACTAGTAGCAAGGAGCCTAATGTTAATCCCCAAGACCATGGGGAAAATGTTTCCAGGCCATGTCAGAGACCTTCATGGCAACACGGAACATCACATCACCAGGTCATCACAGACCCGGAGACCCAGGAAGAAAAAGTGGTTTCGTTGCCCAGCACAGGATCCCCATGCTGTGGACTTGGTGCCCTGTGTCTCAGCCACTCCAGCCGCGGCTGAAAGGGGCCAATGTAACAGCATGGGCTGTGGCTTCAGAGGGTGGAAGTCCCAAGCCTTGGCAGCTTCCATGTGGTATTGAGCCTGCAGGTACACAGAAGTCAAGAATTGAGGTTTGAGAGCCTCCGCCTAGATTTCAGAGGATGCATGGAAATGCCTGGATGCCCAGGCAGAAGTTTGCTGCAGGGGCAGGGCATTCATGGAGAATCTCTGCTAGGGCAGTGCAGAAGGGAAATATCAGGTCAGAGCTTCCACACAGAGTCCCTACTGGGGCACTGCCTAGTGAAGCTGTGAGAAGAGGGCCGCCATACTCCAGACCCCAGAATAGTAGATCCACCAACAGCTTGCACCGTGCACGTGGAAAAGCCACAAACAATGCCAGCCCATAAAAGCAGCTGGGAGGGAGGCTATATCCTGCAAAGCCACAGGGGTAGATCTGCCCAAGACCATGGGAACCCACCTCTTGCATCAATTTGACCTGGATGTGAGACCGAGAGTCAAAGGAGATCATTTTGGAGCTTTAAAATTGACTGCCCCACTGGATTTTGGACTTGCATGGGCCCTGTAACCCCTTCGTTTTGGCCAATTTCTTCCAATTGGAACAGCTGTATTTACCCAATACCTGTACCCTCATTGTATCTAGGAAGTAACTAACTTGTTTTTGATTTTACAGGCTCATAAGCAGAAGGGACTTGCCTTGTCTCAGATGAGACTTTGGACTGTGGACTTTTGGGTTAATGCTGAAATGAGTTAAGACTTTGGGGAACTGTTGGGAAGGCATGATTGGTTTTGAAATGTGAGGACATAAGATTTGGAAGGGCCAGGGGCGGAATGATATGGTTTGACTGTGTCCCCAGCCAAATCTCAACTTGAATTCTATCTCCCAGAATTCCCATATGTTGTGGGAGGGACCCGGGGGGGGGCGGGTAATTGAATCATGGGGGCCGGTCTTTCCCATGCTATTCTTGTGATAGTGAATAAGTCTCAAGGGATTGGATGGGTTTATCAGAGGTTTTCGCTTTTGCTTTTTCCTCATTTTCTCTCGCTGCCAACATGAAAGAAGTGCCTTTTGCCTTCCGTCATGATTCTGAGGCCTCCCCAGCCATGTGTAACTGTAAGTCTAATTAAACCTCTTTTTCTTCTCAGTCTTGGGTATGTCTTTATTAGCAGTGTGAAAATGGACTAATACAATAACTCTTCAAATCAGCTAGTATAACTCGTCCAACTTTGCTCTTCTTTTCTGCAGCTGTTTCGGCTATTTTAGATCCTTTGCAGATATATTCTAGAATCAGCATGTCCATTTCTACAGTTGGATTGGGATTAAATTGAATCTGTAGATAAATGTGAGGAAAGCTGATATCTTAACATGCTAAGTTGTCCAATACATGAACATGGCATATCTGTCCATTTATTGAAAACTTCTTTAACTTTTTCAGCAATATTTTATAAATTCTCATGTAGTGATCTTGCATATCTTTCACTAAATTTAAGTGTATTCTGAATATATGATTCTTATACTACTTTAAGTAGTATATTTTAATTTTATTCTCTCATTGTTTGTTGCCTGTATATAGAAATATATTTCAATATTTGTACATTGACCTTTTATTTTATAACCTTGCTGAATTTATTTTTAAAATTCTAGTAGCTTGTTTGTAGATTCCTTTGGACATTTCATGTACACAATGATGTCATTTGTGAACAAAGATAGTTTTACTCCTTCCTTTCAGATTTTTAGGCCTTTAATTTCTTGTTCTTGCCTTATTGCACTGGCTTTGCCCTCTACTACATTGTTGAATAGAAGTGATGAGCGTGGACATTCTTGCCCTCGCTATAGGGGAAAAGCATTTAATATTTAAACATTAAATATTATTTTAGTTCTGTGTTTGGTAGATAGCCCTTATTAGAGAGGAAATTTTCTTCTATTTCTAGTTTACAGTTTGCTGAGAGCTTTTTGTTGTTGTTTTGGTTGGCTTTTTGTTTGCCTTTTTTTTTTTTTTTTTTTTTTTGAGATGGAGTCTTGCTCTGTCACCCAGGCTGGAGTGCAGTGGCACGATCTTGGCTCACTGCAAGCTCCGCCTCCTGGGTTCACGCCATTCTCCTGCCTCAGCCTCCCAAGTAGCTGGGACTACAGGCACCCGCCACATGCCCGGCTAATTTTTTTTTTGTATTTTTAGTAGAGATTGGCTTTCACCGTGTTAGCCAGGATGGTCTCAATCTCCTGACCTTGTGATCTGCCCGCCTCAGCCTCCCAAAGTGCTGGGATTTCAGGAGTGATTGTTTGCTTTTTAAAATCTTGGATGGATGTTGAATTTCACTGAGGGATTCCTTTGGATTTACTGAGATGGTACAACGTTTTGCTTCTTTATGATATAATTGTTTATTGAATGTTCAACCAATTTTCTGTACCTTGTAAAAACCACACTTCGTCAAGATAAATTCTTCTTTTTATATATTGCTGTATTGTATTTGCTAATATTTTGTTTGGGGTTTTGGTAAATTTCAGGAACTAGTCTAATCTGAACAACAAACTGTTCTCATTGTGTTGAAAAGAGGGTCTTCACATCCCAAATTCAATAGCTTCGTTGTCGTCATACAAGCCTTTCATGAAATACAGATTTTTTTTAACCTCTCATTTTTACTCTTCCTTGTGAAAAATTTTAAAAAGTAAAACTGAATTGAATTTGCCATGGCACAAATAAAAATGTATAGACTGTAGACATTTTCTGTGAAATAGGGATCATCTAAAAGCCATAACAAAAACAAATTCTATTTGAATTAGCAAAGTCAGACCAAAACCAGATCCTACTTTCTCTGTAACTGAGTAATACTGAGAAACCTGGCTGTTTGTTCCTTGTAACAATGCTTGTCTTTAGCAATGCACAAATCCTAAAATGACAAATTTTATCCTGGGATTAAGAATCATCCTTTTATAACTTGGGAATGAAAATTGTCTACGAAATATGTGACTTGATTTTGAGAAATAGATGATGAATCCCCAGAATCTCTCAAAAATCCTCATAAATTGTCTCCTGACACCATCCCCAATTCCCACTCCAATTCCAGCCCACCTGTATCTTTTGGTCTCTGAGTTAAGCCAATGATTCACTATGTGCAAGGGTAGACTTAGCACAGACCTTCTTCCTGTGCTGAAGTGGGGTCCCATCTCCCACATCAGAGAATCCCAGTCATACCAGGCCCTAAGAGTCATTCCCTGAGAAGCTCTTTTCCTGACATGTCCCCCAGGAATGCCTGGAAAATTGGATAAAGGTCCCATCTCACTCAGCCCCAAAGTAACCTACCTCAGGAAATGAACTCTCTCCAAACTGCTCACCAGAGCAAGGACTGTCCAAGGCCAAAACCTCTCCTCTGGCCTGCCCTGGGGTGGAACCTGCTCCCAGACAACCTGTATCTGAAGCCATTGCCCCACATCCACCCTCTGGCACACTGGTTCCAGGCTCTGTGGGGTGGAGACGGTAGCCTCTGTGCCTGTCTCCAGCCTTTCCCGAGAGCAATCCCTGATTCCTTGGAAAAACCACCCTTACTTACCACTCACACCCCATTTGTCTTTCTCACAGTTTCTTGAGTTTGTTTTGGGCACTTGCATCCAAAAGAAGCTTGGCTAGGTCAGGGGAAGCTAACATATATAAAAGTGAGGGAAACAAAAGTGCTGCAAGTTCCCTGCATGCAACAGGGTACGGCAAAGCCATGCAGGAGGACGCACCAAGCCAAACATGGGATAGGTCAAGACCTCACGACCAGGTGACTTGCCAACTGTGCAGCAGCAGAGAAAATGGAATCACCTTCAGTGTGGAAAGCTGGTAGAGGATGCTCTTGAAGACAGTTTCAAATCGTGCAGTGAGGCTGGATAGTGCTGGTCCCCAGGTCTGGCCAGGAATGACAATATGGCAGGGTATGTGGTTCCCGATGAGTTGGAGCAACAGTAACAAAAGAGTAATGACCCAGGCACAGTATTTCCAAATGCAGAGGAGAGAGAGGCTTGCTGGTCACCTGAGGCTTGTTTCAGCCCCACATGGATGAAATCCCTGTGGAATCTGCCAACTCCAATCCTCACACTTGGTCATCACTGTCACTCAATTCTTTGTCATGCCAGGCCTGGTCTTAGGAGCTGAGAGCCTATGAGTGAGTCAATCAAGGTACCTGCCCTCAGGGAGTTCACATACATTCTGCCAACTGAGCACCTACGGTGTGCTAAGCTCTCTTCTAAGCCCTGCACCTGCATTCATTCCTTCACTCCTCAGAGCAACCTTGTGAGGAAGGCGCTGTTATGAGCTCCACTGTACAGTTGACGAAAGAGGTTCAGAGAGATGAGGACACTGGCCCCAGAGGACACAGCTGGTAAGTGGTGCAGCTAGGACCAGCAGCTGCCTGGCTCTACAGCCTGAGGCCTTGGCTTCCCTGCAGGCAGGCAAGGCAATCTACACTCATCCCCCCACCTACCCCTGCCCCCCACACACACATTATTCTACTGGAAATGCTCCTGGGCCCTGGGGTACAGTGAGAAAGGAATCCTCAGACCAGCAGACAGGCAGCCATGTTTGGCTCTCGACAGGCGGGAGCTCTGAAGAAGAAGCCATTAGTGCAGCGAGACAGGGGTTCACAGAGAAAAGAAGTCTCGAGAGGAGACCGCAAGGATGGCGGCCAGAGGGGGAAGAGCAGAGTTGGGGCAGGGACACAAGAGTCCCATGGCCTAGTGTGGCTCTGAGACCAGGCCCTGGGGGGAAGGAAATTGGAGGCAGTGAGAGGGGTGATGAGGGTGGTTAGTGGAGAGGGAGGAAGTACAGGACATACTGTACCTAGCACAGTATCTGTCACCTGTTGTGGGGAGTGGAGAGGGAAAGAAGATGCTAAAAAGCCAAGGTGAAGACAGATTGTGAAAGACTTTCAATCCTTGTTAAAAGTTCAGACTTTTTGTTGTCAATGCAGAGTCAATAATGGTTAGAGTCATTAAAGGCATAGAAGTAATAAGTAGTACATGACCAAATCTATGTTTCTGTGTTAGATAGGTAGATAGTAGATAATAGAAACAGATAGATGATAGACAGATAGGTAGAGATGGCAGAGATACAGAAATGATAGATAGATAGTAGATATAGATAAATAGATCAATAGATAGTAGCTACAGATAGTTAGATAATGATAGATATCATAGATATGGTAGATAGGTAGACAGATAAGCATGATAAATAGAGATAGATGATAGAGATTGATATATAGTGTATCATTCCATTTCCACACTGCTACAAAGAAATACCTAAAACTGGATAATTTATAAAGGAAAGAGATTTAATTGACTCACAGTTCTGCATAGCTGGGGAGTCTTCAGGAAACTTACAATCATGGCGGAAGGAGAAGGAGAAGCAGGCAACCTTCTTCACAAGGAGGCAGGAAAGAGAGAGATCAGGAGGAACTGCCAAACACTTATGAAACCATTCACTCTCGTGAGAACTCACTCACTGTCATGAGAACAGCATGGGGGAAACTGCCCTCAAGATCCAATCACCTCCCACCAGGTCCTCCCTTGACACGTGGGGATTATGGGGATTACAATTTGAGATGAGATTTGGGAGGGGGACACACAGCCCAACTATATCAGATAGATGGATAGATAGATAGATAGATAGATAGATAGATAGATAGATAGAGCAATGATAGAGATTATAGAGATAGATATGATAGAGATAGCAATGATAGAGATCATAGAGACAGGTATGATAGATGGATAGATAGATAATAGATAGGTATGATAGACTGATGGAGGTAGAGGTGAAGGTACAGAGAGGTGGAGATGGGGATGGGGATGGAGATCGGGATGGGGAGAAGGGATAAGGATAGGGACATATATTTCCTGGTGGGGTGTAGAGGGATTTAAAGGCATAGAAGGCACTAGGAGTGGGCAGAGACCCAAATTATTTGTCACATTTCTCCTCCTCCCACTGTTCTGCAAATACCTTGGGGCAAAGTGTCCCTAGTACTCCTGGCTAACATTGCAGGCTGGTGACCAGTGGATGGAGGACATGCCGGAGGCAAGCCCTGGGCTGAAAGAACAGCCACTTCCCCTGATGGCTGCTCAACACCCGGACTTCAGATCCTCCGACCAGACCTGCTGAGCATGTAGTCGCTAATCTCTGCAACAAAGTTCCTCCCTGAAAATTAGGGGTTTTGTTTTTGTGTTTTGCCTTCTGCAGTCTTGTCCACGTTTGCCTCAATTTCCACCCCTCATTGTGACCACCTGTTGGGTCTAAATGTTATTAGGAGGGGACAAATCCCGCAGGTAGCTGCCACCTTGCCCACAATGGCAGTTGTTCAGAAAGCCAGGCTCCTGCTGCGAGGGGCCACGCCACCCTGGGAGGGAAATGACCAAGGTCAATGTTGGGGATGCAGCATCTGCAGTGAAGCATTTGCCCATTCTCCTCCTGTGGTCATTGTTACATTCCACTGACCAGCTGCCTGCAGGCTCCAGGCACAGCCGCCATTCATCAGAGATTAATGCCTGAAATGAGCCACACCTCTGAACAATTGCTTCCTATAAGAGGGACAGCACTGAATGGCCAGGGAGCCCCATTGATGACTGTTATAAAAGAGGTGAAGGCTTGCATGGAGGAAAGAAAAGTTTCACACCGCCCCTCAAACCTAGCTCGATTCTTCCTTCTCTCTCTTCTTTTCCCTTCTGACTGCCCATTTTGGCCACATTGCCTTAATTCAGAATCTTCTTTTATGTACAGGACTTGGGCAGCAAGCTGAAAATTTGTGAATTTGCTACTGTAAGTCATATTGCTGTGTGCTGATCGCATTAGTACTATTATCTGTGCAACTTTCCAACTTGACAATTAGTTACTATCATTCACGCTGTGCAATCAGCTGTTAAATCCTCGTTTATGCTAATTTGAATATGAATGTGCTGTTCAATAACATGTTAGATTGCCATGTTTACAAATATACTCCAGGTATTTAGAAATTTAGATGATGCAAAACATACTGTTTAAGTTGCGCTCAGTGCCAGTTTAAATAACTTAAGCCTATTTATCAGTCACTTAGCAATTCTTTTCACATACTTCTGTTTTCCTCTGTCCTACCCTTCTCAACCAAAACTAAAATATGCTCTTTTTGCTTGTTTGTTTTGTTGCTGTATTAAACTAATCATCTTCAAGATGGGACTTAATTAGCAGTCACCTCAACGTGGGCCTTCTTTTCTAATTCCTGACTCTTTTAGAAGCAGATGAAACAGTTAATAGGAAAAAGAAAGAAAAAAATGATCTCTGCAGCTGCAGTGTTAAATATTGACTTCTAACACAGTCATTGAAAAGGAATGATTTGTATGTAGCTAAAAAAGGAGAGAAGACAAAATTTTTTAATGAAGGTAAAACTAAAGAGGGCGAGATACTCGTGATGGTAAACTCCTGGAAGGAAAGCAATGTGAATGCTAGAGCGGAGCTTCTCAACCCTGAGCATGCACGTGAATCACCTGGGGATCCTATGACTCATACACACTGGTTTAGTGAGTACCCTACTGACTGAGCTGCTGTGGGTCAAACCATCTCTCAGGTGCTGCTATTGTGGCTGCTAGCCTGGGTACCACATTGAGCAGTCCAGCTCTAAAATGTATATCAACCAACTCCACTGGAAACAAGAAAAAGTAAAATAAAATAAAATACATATCATACCTCTACCTTCAACTATTATTTTTACAATAAAACACACTTTTCCACTAAGAGATTTAAAAATCAAGCTTGACAATTTCCCTTCTGAGTATTAATCCAAAAGAACTGAACTCAGAGTCTTGAAGAGATGTTTATGCAACATGCATGTTCATAGCAGCATTATTCACAATAGCCAGGAAGTGGAAGCAACCCACTTCAATAGCCAAGAAGTGGAAGTTATTATCCATTGACGGGTGGGTAGATAAACAAAATGTGATGTAGACATCCATACAATGAAATATTATTCAGCTGGAAAAAGGAAGGAAATTCTGGGACATGCTGTGACATGGATGGGACTTAGAAATATTATGTTGAGTGAAATTAGACAGTCACAGAAGGATAAACACTGTATGGATCCACTTATATGAGATCCCTAGAGTAATCAAGTTCGTAGAGACAGAAAGAAGAATGGTGATAGCCAGGGGTTGGGTAGAGGGGAAATGGAGGGTTGTTTAATGCATATAGAGTTTCACTCTTTCAGGATGAAAAAGTTCTGGAAATGGGTTACACAACAATGTAAATATACTTGGCACTACTGAATGGTACATTTAAAAATGGTTAGGATGGTAAATTTTATGTTATGTTCTTGTATTTTACCATCATTTTCCCCAACATATATAAAATAAAATTTTTTAAAAATTGGTTTTAGGGACATTGTAAAAAATATTTTTTTTCTGTAAAGAAAGCTATATTTTAGCCAATTCTTCTTGATTCTTCAAGGAGCTAATCAGATATCGCCAGCTCTGGCACCAGTCAGGAAATAATTAATCCATCTTTCTTCATAGTCTCACATCTTTTGATGGAAACTCCATTCCAGGATGGGTGTGGTGGCTCACACCTGTAATCCCAGCACTTTGGGAGGCTGAGGCAGTGGATCACTTGAGGCCAGGAGTTCAAGACCAGCCTGGACAACATAGGGAGACCCTGTCTCTACAAATAATTGAAAAATTAATTGGGTGTGGTGGTACATGCCAGTGGTCCCACTTGGGAGGCTGAGGCACAAGAATGGCTTGAACCTGGAGGCGGAGGTTGCAGTGAGCCAAGATGGCACCACTGCCCTCCAGCCTGGGTAACAAAGCAAGATTCTGTCTCAAATAAAAAGCGTTTTACAAAGAAACTCTGATCTGCTAAGTGTGACATTCTAGTTGATGATCAGATTCCTTGTGACTGTCTCCACGTCCCTCCCTACGGCGTGAGGTTTTGAGGGCAGTGGTTGATGTCCTGCAGAGCTGCAGGTGATGCTGTCGGCTGCCTTCCCTCGGGCCATCTTCTCTCCTCCTTCTTGACAGAGTCCTAATTTTGCTTAGTAAGTCTCCTTCTCCACTCGTCCATGCTGGCACCAGCCTGAGGATTAAGCTAGTATCAGAAAAAGACAGAGTCAAAGGACCCAGAGAGGCAGAGCCAGAAACCAGGCCACCCTTGCTTTAGATCTCCTGCCATGTGAAATATAAAGTGCCCTCAACACTCCAGCTGATTGAGTAGGAATTTTCTGTTTCTTGAAGCCAAAACCAGTTTAACTCATAACAGTATTTTGCAGGTAGAAGATCATCTGAAATTTGCCGGATTGAATTCAAGTAGGAAGATGGGGCTGGTTCACTGTGCCCAGAGGCTCAGCAGGCAGCGTGACAACTGTCCCCTGTGCTAAGCAACTTCACATAGGAAACGGTATTTTCCAAGAAGAAAGGTAATGGTGTTTTGGTTTTTTGTTTGCTTGCTGGCTTTATTAAAGGATTTTCTAAGGGCTACTTTTCCCAGAAAACATTTTAAATGTTTTTCCATTTACAAAGTTTTATTGAGTTTTACCTTTTTACAAACCTGTGTCTTACAAGAGCAACATTCAGGAATAGGTAAAAACAATGTCTACTGTTTCTTGAGCACTTACTCATGGTATTGTGCTCAGTGAATCCTCACAAGAGCCCTTGGGTGATACTACTTTCATTCTCCCTTTACAAACAAAGAAATAGGCCACAAAACGTTTCATTTACTTGTCCAAGGTCATACAGCTAATAACACCTAGGGCTGGGATTCGAACCTGAACAGTCGGCTCCTACCATTATACTCGGCAGCTATGCTTTGGTGAGGTGCATTGCGGCATTCCTTAGTTCAAATAACTGCAACCCACATTCTATAGGGTGGTCAGAAAAGTCTTCTTAAAACCATTACAACCTCCTTAAGACTTAAATCTCGTTAACCTGCTACCCAATGCCCTTCAGTGGATTCCAATGGATGTTCTAGATTATATCAAAGTGATTATATCCACAGCCTCCTCCCCCTGTCATTTCCAGCCCTGCCCACCTCCTACTGGCCTTCTCTCTGCTCCTTTAACACTTTCTGCCTCTTCTGTCTCAGAGCCTTTGCATGTGCTTCTCCACCCTCTCCAACACACTCACATACACACACACATGCATACACACACACTCACACACGCACACACATACGCACGCAGACGTGCACACGCACCCCTTGGTTCTGGATAACTTCTACTAATCCTTCGAGTCTCATTTTAATATTTTATTTCTTCAGAGAGGTCTTTGCTGACCATCAGTCTAAATTAGTCCCCCTGTTAGACTCTCTCCTTGTCATCTTTGTCACAGCATTTATCAGAATTTATCATTTCACTGGTTTGTGTGATTACGTGCTTTGTCTCTGTCTTCCCCAAGAAGAGGATCAGCTGCAGGTGTGTGCCCTCCTGTCCATATTGTCACCACTGTATCCTGAGCAACAGGCACATTGTAGCAAATAGCAGGGAAATTGGAGAATGGGAGAAGCAAAGTTGAAAGGAAAAGAAAATATTGGAGGGAAGGAAGGGAGGTGAAACTGGGAGAACAGTGGAAGGAAGGAAGGGACTGTGAGGCTCCCAGGAGTCGCCATGCATCAGAAAGCTTTCATCACGGTATCATTCCCTACTCCAACACTCAAGAAACACGGCTGTAACAATAGCTAGCTTGTTTCTATGCTTCCTTCTTCTTTCTATACCTTTCTTCCTATTTCTTTATTCCTTTTTCACTTTTTTATTTTTATTTTGTTGTATTATTTTATTTATTTATTTATTTATTTATTATTTGTTTTGAGACAGAATCTTGCTCTGTCACTAGGCTGAAGTGCAGTGGCGTGATCTTGGCTCACTGCAATATCCACGATCTCAGTTCATTGCAATATCCGCCTCCCAGATTCAAGTGATTCTCCTGCCTCAGCCTCCCGCGTAGCTGGGACTACAGGCGTGCATCACTGTGCCCTGCTAATTTTTGTATTTTTAGTACAGATGTGTTTTCACTGTGTTAGCCAGGATGGTCTCTATCTCCTGACCTCGTGATCCTCCCGCCTCAGCCTCCCAAAGTGCTGGGATTACAGGTGTGAGCCACTGCACCCGGCCAATTTTTTTTTTTTTTGAGATGGAGTCTTGCTCTGTTGCCCAGGCTAGAGTGCAATGGTGTGATCTCAGCTCACTGTAGCCTCTGCCTCCTGAATCCCAGTAATTCTCCTGCCTCAGCCTCCCGAGTAGCTGGAATTACAGGCATCTGCCACCAAGCCCAGCTAATTTTTGTATTTTTAGTAGAGACAGGGCTTCGCCATGTTGGCCAGACTGGTCTTGACCTCCTGACCTCAGGTGATCCACCCTCCTCAGCCTCCCAAATTGCTGGAATTACAGGCGTGAGCCACCGCACCCGGCTTACAAGTGTGACCCCCGCATCTGGCTATTTTTAATTTCCATAAAACAAGAGTAAATGATGAAATGAAACTGGCATTTAAAAATTAAATTATCCTTAAATTTTAAGGTAAAATATGTTCTGGGCCAACAAGATACTTTTACCCTTGTTTGATGGAGAGCCACGGAGCTCTCTCCTCCCTCATTCTCTTCCTCTTCTCAAAGATGTATCTGTTTATATTATGTGCATGAGCCTTCACAATCTCCTCTATCTTTCAGTGCAATAACACTAACCAAGCTATTATGCTAGAATTGGGAATATAACTTTTAGAAAATCCACTAGGCAATTTGGTGGATTGTTCACTTACAGGATTAAGAGGCTGTCAAGAAATCGGCATGGGGTCAAGAGAGTTACGGCTCAAATACCTTCCTTTAAGTAAATTAAGAGACAACTAGTGAGAAAAATATAATGACTTAAAAATACCCAAGCAACCAGAAAACCGTTAAAGGTGAGAATCACGAAAGTATAGAGTAATCTGGGGAAGCAACAGAAATTCTAGCACTTTAAGCCATTTTGAAATAGACAAAATAAATTCATTCCAGAACATGTCTAACTACTCAGGAAATGTGATTATAATCAGCAAAATGTCTTAAAATTTATTTTGTAGAGCATTACTTTGGTAATTATAACTAAGATGATATTGACTAACAAAATTCTAGCTACACCACTGAGGCCATATATTCAAGTTTCCCCAGATTAGAAAGCACGTGCTTTAACTAGTAAATGTCTCATGTCTTTTTTGTTTGACTAGCTTTCAAATTCATTTCATTCATAGGACCCATCAATTAATCATCTGATGTGGTAATGAGACTGGTGAAAGGAAGGAAGGGAGGAAGGAAGAGAAGGAGCAACAAAGGGAGGGAGAAGGAAAGCTATGTGTCTAAACTAATAGGATCCTTCAGTAGTGCTTCCTTGAGATTATGCATTTAGTCTTCAGTGCCTCCATTCCTTAAATGTTTTGGGGAAGTTTCCACTTGGAACTGTCTTTTCCATAGTGGTTCTGCCTTGTAGCAGGTGCACAGATTAGACCATCCCTTACCTGTATATCACACACCACAAAAGTTTAGGGCTTGAAGAGACTTTAGGGTTTACCAAGTGTTTATTTTATGGATAAGGAAACTGTAATTCAGATAATTTAAGACACTTAGCAAACTCACAGAAGTGAGAAAAGGGATCCACTTTGACATTAAACTATTCAAAGTTATTCCATTCTTTTTTTCTGCATCCAAGTATATCAGCTGTTGTCATTCTTTCTTATTAGATTCTCTCGTTCATTTATTCCGTAAATATTTACTCAATGCCTAGTAAGTGCCAGCTATTGTTGAGACAGCAGTGTACAAAACAGACAAAATTCTCTACCCTCATAGAGCTCATGTCCAGGGATTCAGTGTGATTTAAATTCCTGAATCTATTTTCCATTCACAGCTTGCTGTTTTAACAATTCTCAGGAACCACTTAATTAAAATCAAAGGTGTTGAGCAAATCACTTACAGGATTAAGTGGCCATCAAGAAATTATGTCCTACTGACATAATTTGATGAGTGTAGAAATTACAAATATGAGCCCACTCTATTGATCACAAAGGGAAATGGAAGCAGTGTCCATTCAACTTTTAAAGAGACAGAGAAATTAAACCCCGTGAAAAAATAATGTCCCAGCATAACATCCAGATTCGCCAGCCACAGCTCCTGAAACAGAGGGCAAGACTTAGAAGTAAGACAAAAGACAAACTAAAAGCATTTCTACAGGCTTTGCATACAGGATAAGAAAACATGAAACTCTTGGCAAATATCCTAGCAGCTTGCAAAACAAAACCACTCCCTGCCTGTAAGTGTTTAGCCCACAGCTGTTGGAAATGAAGAATGTCAAAATACGCAAATGTAAGAATTCATGCATGTGCATCAAAGAAGCAAAGCTCCAGGGAAACCCAAGGGTTGAACTCCAACTAGGATGGATCACCGGAGCATGGAAGAAAAGGCAGGAAAGGGAGATCTGGACCATGCAGAAGACCAAGCCACAGCCACAGATCTGGGCTGTGCTTATCAGCCTCCTATACCATCATATGGGAAAATTATCTCCATCATTCAGAAATACATTTTAATAGGATAAAAATCCCACTTCATTTGCTCTGTTTTGCACATGGTGCCTCAGTTTACTCAATAATAAAATCATAAAAACATAGGGAGGGGCCAGGGACAGTGGCTCATGCCTGTAATCCCAGCACTTTGGGAGGCCGAGGCAGGCAGATCGCAAGGTCAGGAATTCGAGACCAGCCTGGCCAACATAGTGAAACACTGTCTCTACTAAAAATACAAAAAAAAAAAAAAAAAAAGAATTAGCCAGGCATGGTGGTATGCACCTGTAGTCCCAGCTATTCAGGAGGCTGAGGCAGGAGAATCTCTTGAACCCAGAAGGCGAAAGTTGCAGTGAGCTGAGATCGTGCCACTGCACTCCAGCCTGGGTGACAAGAGCAAAACTCCATCTCAAAAAAAAAAAAATAATACGTAGGCAGGGCTCCCAGTTTGCTTTGTCTTTTTTTTTTCTTTTAATCAAATCTCATATTTACTGTACAAGTAAAAATACTTAATTTTGAAAAGCAAAACAATCTTATTTATAAAGAAAAAGCATTGTATACTTTTGAGAAGCCAATGTTCTGAAAGTTCATAAATCCCTTTATTTCTTGGTTTAAGTAAAAACACCACATCCCAGCCATAAAGGGGAGGCACATTCATCAATGGGGCCAACCCTTGTGGAGCCTTGTCAATGATGGTTGTGAAGATGATGTCATAACTCAGAGAAATTATTTGTGATGTGTTTTCTTTTTGATTTTTACAAGTTTTGTGGAATTTGACAGTGTCAGTTTAATAATTTCAACAAAACTAAAAATAATATAGAGTGAACCTCCACTATGACTAGAGGTGAGAGGCATGTCCCTGGATTTGGTCTTTTCAGATACAGTGACAAAGAAAGGCATCAAAATCAAAGAAAGTATGGGAAGATGATCCACAGGCCAGCTAAGCCTTTTGACACATGAAATGCAAGGATTGACATGCTTCTCTTATATCACCACTTTATTCAAATAATTCAAGAGACTTTTATAAGCATTAGGAAATTGGTCCCTAAAATGTCTTGAGTTACTTAGGTAAGAAAAAAGAAAGGGAGAAATCAGAAGAACTATTTTGTAAATTGCTTTGATGAGAACCTACAGGACAAACCCTAGTTCCAAGGCATGAGAGCTGCAGGCTACAAGAGGCTGAATTAATACAAGTGATAGTGGCAAGAGGCAGCCAAATGCCTATGCAGATAGGGGCAGGTCCCTGGTTAAACCCCACCTCCAAGCTGAAGACAGTTTAAAGCCTGAAAGCCAAGCTACAAGTCAAATCCACAGACTGGATTGAGAACCTGTCTTCCTGTTTGGCACACTTTCCTCTGACTGATCCCCACCCTTCATCTATTTTACATATCTATCCTTTCCTAATTGTCTTTCTACACTGCTGTGCCCACCTTTGAGTGGTGCTTTTGCTTTAGCCTTTCTTTGCATACTCACAAGCCAATCAGCACACACTCCCCTATTCTGAGCCCATAAAAGTCCCAGACTCAGCCACACTGGGAGAGGGAATCCACCCCACTGCAGGGGTGGGGGACCACCCCCGATGTTCCCTCTCCACTGAGAGCTGTTCCATCACTCAATAAAATTCTTATCCACCCATCCTCACCCTTCAATTGTCGGCATATCCTCATTCAGTGATTGGTAAAAATCATTGTTTATATCCTCCGTAAATTTTGATTAATGGAAAAAGGGATTTGTGAGACTAGTCTTAAGCTATAGTGAATCCATTGTATTAAGAATTTGTCTTTCTGTATCTTTCCATCAGAAAGAGGGATGCCTTAGGATAGAACATGGGCCTAGGACCCCGTAAGCCCACTGTTCAAGCCAGCCTGGCAAACTGTTTAGTAACAAACTTTGCTACAGGTCTCTAAAGAAAAGAACTGGATGAGGTCTCCATCTTGTTTTACGTCCTTTGCAGCTGGACCTTGTAACCACATGGCAGTACTTTCTTTTGGTCTTTGCCATTTTGCAATGGAGTCCCGGGTTCAGTCCTGGCTTAGGCAATGAGTACTTTCTGGTTAATATCTGCATGACTTTTACCATTTGCTGATTCTCCTCCCCTCCATGAACAACTTCTAGCTTCCTTTTGATGGCAGCAGTGGGCTGTCCAGAGCAACCACTGCACTGACTGCAGTGGGGAGGTGTGAGAGGTGGTGACAGGAGCAGCTGTGGGAACAGCAATGGTGGCGGTGGGCCCCCTGTGCCCCATGTCCCTGAGGCAGCTGACTGTGCAGCCCCCACCCTGGCACAGCAGCCAGGTGGGACCTGCCCCCAGGGCCTTAGCCTTCGTAACTCCAGACCCTGGCTCCGAGTTGCTGCTCTCATCTGCCACCACTGCAGGGGAGGGCTCAAGGAGAAGGTAGAGTTGGGCCCAGGGCAGTGCCACTCTCCATGGAGCCAGCAGGAGCCAGGGACAAGTGGGAACCCCCCAAAAGCCTGCTGTCCTGGAGGCTGCCATGAAGGGGCTAGATCAAGCTGCCCAATGGAGGGGAAAAGCATGGTTGGGCACAGAGGGGTGGGGACAGAGGGGCCCAGTGAGGACCTGGAGCCCCCACCCCAAGCTGCGAGGAAGCACAGCCAGGGCTTCTTGCATGCTCCTCAGAGAGGGCAGGAGTCCTGCCCTCCCAGGTGCAGGACCTGGGTGTCTCTGCACTCTGCACCCTCAGGGGTGTCTGCTCCTGCTGCCTGGCCTCTCCCAGCTCCCAGCACCTGCTCTGATCTTGGAGCGGGGTTGGAGTCCAGCATGGGCACTGTCACAGCCCAGCCAGGTACGCGCACACTTGGGGCAGTACTGGCACACCAGACACACCAGCCCCCTGCTGCCTCAGCCTCCTCTAGACATTGGGCACTGACAAGCATGGTGGGGAAGCTGAGAGGGGCACTGAGGGTAGCTCGGCACTGGTCTGCAGGTGCTACTTGTCACAAGTAGCCTGGGCACCATGGACAGTGGCAGGGGGGCAGACAGGCTCCTGGGCAGAAGGAGGTGGGTCCCTGGTGAGGCCCCACCTCAGGCCAGGGAGGGCCTGATGGCTGGGGGCGAGGCTGCCAGAACTGCAGACCAAAGTGGGAATTTGTGGTGCCTTTTCCAGGTGCCCCCCATGGCCACCCATGGACCAATTGATATACACTTTCTCCCCACTGAGGCCCATAAAAGCCCCATGCTCAACCAGAGCAGAGCAGATGACAGGATGACCAGCTGTAGAGAGGAGCTACCCTCTCTGCTAGGAGCTGAACATTCATCAGGACACCCTGACTGTGGAAAGGAGCTACAAACTGAGGGTCTCCTCTCAGCTGTTCTATTACTCAATAAAGCTCCTCTTCTTCTTGCTCGCCCTCCACTTGTCAGCATACCTATTCTTCCTGGTCACAGGACAAGACTTGGGACCTGCCAAATGGCGAGGCTAAAAGAGCTGTAACACAAACAGGGTTGAGACATGCCCTTTGCTTGCCACATTACAGGTGAAGAGATGGAGAAAAGAGCTGCAACCTTTCAGGGAGCCAAGACCAGGGAGCTCCCTCAGCCAGGACTGTGACTCCCTCCTTGGGGCCCTGTGATTTCTGGCATGTTCAAGCTTCTGGGTGCCACCATGTTCCCCAGTGCCATCTCTGGAAATTGCTTGTGGTGTGCCTGGTCCAGCCATAGCCTTGCAGACAGCCAGCACCTGTGCAGACACCTGGAGCTGCCCGCCCCACTGTGGGTTTCTGCACAGAGGTTTCTGGCCAGAAAAGCGGCACCTCAATGATCCCATAACATTTTCTCTGAGCTACCTTTAAAGATTTTAGATTTTGTAAAAAGTGCCTACCACCTCTGAAAATGCCTTGTACACTCATGATTAAATCAACCTTAGTTGAGGTTTGTTGGTTTCACCTGTGAGGTTAATTTTGGTAAAGTTCAAAAGTCAGAAATATCAGCTGCTTGGCATGGCTAAAGTTGGGTAATAAGGGAATTAAAAGAATTTTTTAAAGAGTGCTACAGCTAAAAGTCACCTTAATTAAAAGTGGATATCCAAGCTATATGTACATTTGAAAGGCCTTTATGCTTTTTTTTTTTCTCTTCTTGGATCTTGTTTTGCTGGAAAAAGTTTTCTTTCTTCTCAGTCACCTGAATTATTTTTCTCCATTTTGTCTTGCCACTCTTTTGTTGTTGTTGTTGTTTGTTTTTTTCTTGAGACACAGTCTTGCTCTGTTGCCCAGGCTGGAGTGCAGTGGCGCAATCTTGGCTCACTGCAAGCTCTGCCTTCTGGATTCACGCCATTCTACTGCCTCAGCCTCCCGAGTAGCTGGGACTACAGGCGCCCATCACCATGCCTGACTAATTTTTTGTATTTTTAGTAGAGATGGGGTTTCACCGTGTTAGCCAGGATGGTCTCGATCTCCTGACCTTGTGATCTGCCCACCTCAGCCTCCAAAAGTGCTGGGATTACAGGCGTGAGCCACCGAGCCTGTCTTGCCACCCTTAATGCACACATGAGAGGCCCTAAGACAACTTCTGATAGCCTGGGATGGCTTGGGAAAAACAGAAAAGGTGCCATGGACCCCATTTTGGGCAAAAACCTGTGTTTTCCTCATGGAACACCAGGAATTAAAAGTGGATAGAACCCTCTCAAAATCTGTATTTGTCTTCCTGCTATGCCTGTTTATTAGCCCTAGAAACTGCATGCTTTCCTAGCCCTGCTCTTGAAGGGCTCCACCCTGAGGCCAGTAATCAAATTAAGAAACTGGCAGATGAAAAATCTTACAACTACTGGATCTTCTTCTGTCTGTCTGTATAAAAAGGAGCTCTAATTAATTGGCTTAAAGAAAATAAAGGCTTAGATCAAAAATTTTAAAGGAAAAATAAAAGCTGTAATGCCATTTAGTTCACATGACTTTAATCTTTGAGAAATAAAAACAGTTTTAAAGATTATTGGTAAAATACAAATGTCTTCAAAATGTAAACATGTGGTCTAAATTATGTTCAGATATTAGGTTTGCTAAATGCTCTAAGGTCATAAACTGCTTCTTTGGATTTTGAAAACTGTTCGGCTTGTCTGCTTTACAGTTTGGTAAGGCCTTGGGACATGTGGAGTTAACTATACCTCTTACTATACTGGAAAGTGTCAGATCTTAGCTGCACCTAGTACATAATTAAAACAGCTTACCAGGTTTTACACTAAAATTAAAAATTGCTAAGAGTTACCATTATAACACATAATTGGGACTACTAAAAATAGATTTACATGCAAGGTGTGTAAAGAAAGTAAAATATATTTTTGGTAAAATATTATAAGAAGGCATGGGAATATAAATTTTTGCCTAGTTTAGAGGGTTAAAGAATTGTTTTAAATCAGATAAGATAAAGCTAAAGGTTTAAAGAAGTTGTGAAAGGTTGGTAAAAATTAATCTTGTAAAAGAAACTTCATTTGAGATCAACTAAATTCAAAAGGGTATGATTTGGTTTTTCCGTAAATCAAGCATTGGAATTAAAGCATAACAGGGTTTTCTTAATGTATTGATCTGCTCTTTAACAAAAATTTGTAAAGGGTTATAAAAGGTTTATAGGAACCTCACCTCATGGTCAAACTGGTTAAGATTGGATAGAATTATCTATAAGGTTTCAAATAAAGGAGGGAGGAAGACAAGACAGATTGTTTGGAAAGCTAAGTCTTCCCTCTTAGTATGTAAAGGTTTTTGCCTTTTTAAAAATGTTTTAAATCATTATTTTGGCTAAATAAATGACTTGTGGTAACCTGGAATTCTATTGCATAATATCAAATGTTTTAAACCTTTAACATGTTTGTAGGCTTCCCCAAAAATCAAACTTTAGCTTCAAGGTTGTCTTTTCTAGCCCCTAACTTTTGGATGCTACAGAGGGCCCCTGGAACATCCAAAAGAGAGGTAAACAGGATTATTTGACATGTTTAGTTACATGGGATTGCCAAAATAAAAATAACATTTAATTTTCAGGTTCTATTTTGGTGAATAATATTAATGTATGTTCCAAAATTGCATAGGATTTCTAAAATTCTAATGTCTGAGTATATGTTATCAATCATAATTAAGGTTATTATGTTAAGTTATTGTAAACCATACAAGTAGCCAAATTTCTCTGTCAATCAAGTTTTTAACTGTAACTAGCCTGAACATTTTGTCATTCACAGATAATTGTTGTCTTGTATTGTTCCTTTTCAAAAGATGGTTGATAATCAGCTATAGAACTTTGACAGGTGCTCTTAAATGCAGGTTCCTGATATCTTTGGAGATTGTGACATTGGAATAAAGGAAAAACATTCAGGACTCATGAAGAGCTGAAATGTTCATGAATATCAAGCAGATATTGGACTGAATCAATAGAAAACTGAAGTAATGTTTTCAAAATTTTGCTTAAAACATTGCTGATCCTTGTTTTGTTTTTCAGAGTCAAGGAATCTTTTGAGCTATCTACAACTTTTAACAATTGAGTAAGGTATACTACTGTGAACAAAATTTGGAGCATATTTGTTTCTCTCTGCCTGGTTTCTCTAGAATTTGGAAACTATTTGCGAGTATCCTTAACTTACGGCAATATAGTTATTTGCACCAGTGCAATAAGAATCCATTTTCTTTTGCAACAATATTCAATTGGAGAAACTGGTTGTTCTGCCAAGGCTTTGACTGGAATGATGTACTTTCCTTTAGGGAATCAAGCTTGACTTGCAGAACCAATAAAAGCCCCTTGGGAAACCTGGCCTCACACCTTGTCTACACAGTTCCTTTACAGGGTTCGTAACCTGTGGTGAGTAAAGAATGTCACTTTCTAACAGGCCCAGCAGCCCCAAGCTTTCTTAGAACCTCAGGAAGAGAGGAATTTACCCAAATCATAGGTATTTGAGGGTATAAACCCATGGCTGAGCTCAGCTTTGAAAAGTTTTATCTAAGATTACTTCTGGAACAGAGTTTCATCAAAGCCAACTTAGAAAAGCCTATGTGAAAATAATTATTCTTCCTGCACTTTATGCAGATAATTAAGCCATATATAAGATGAAAGTTTATTTTGCAAACAACTCAGTCCTATCATGATTTGTTTTTAACAAAAATGAGGACTGGAGAGAGAAAAAAATATGTTTCAAAACTTATCGTACACTTGACATTAAATTCTAGTCTCATTGTTTTTAAGTTTTTGTCTGCATTTTAGACTAACCCTGCTTATTCCTGTGAACCAACCAGTGATCTCCAGCTGCAGCTCAGAAGAAACAGAAGGGCTGGGTAATGTAAAAATCTGGATCAATATTCTAGTTCTGGGCAATTATCCTGCAAATCCTGCCAGGTGATAGGAGTAAATAGGGTGCCCATAACCCCAAGATTTCTTTGTTTGGGAAAATAAGACCAAGGGAGCTAACCAAAGCCAAGCTCCATGCACTCAAATCTTAGCAGGCATAACTATAGCCATCAGTTATCTGGGCATGTTGGCAACCTTGGGATTTTTGAACTGTCCTTACCCCCTTGTTTCATTTTGATACATGTCTTCTAATAACCTGGTTTGTCTCTTTTCACCTTCAGGCCATCAAACTGCAAATGGTCATGCAACTGGAGCCTCAGACAATGGCTCCCTTTTGTCAGGGACCCTTAGAGAGGCCTCTGAGGGAGAACTGACTGCCATTTTCCCAAAATGGCACCTCCTGTCAGCATGAAGCAGTTAAGATCGGTCACCGTTCTTATCCTAATGACAGTTAGAGGTACCTCTTCAGAGGGGGGAATTGATAGCGGCAGGAGGCAGACAAATACCTAGGCAGATATGGGCAGGTCCCCAGTGAAACCTGACCTTCAAGCTAAAGACAGTTTAAAGCCTGAAAGCCAAGCTACACGTCAAATCCACAGATTGGATTGAGAACCTGTCTTCCCATTTGGCACACTTTCCTCTGATTCGTCCCCACCCCTCACCTATTTTACATATACTTACCTTTTTCTAATTGGTTTTCTACACTGCTGTGCCCACCTTTAGTGGTGCCTTTGCTTTAGCCTTTCTTTGCATACTCACAAACCAAACAGCACACACTCCCCTATTCTGAGCCCATAAAAGTCCCTGACTCAGCCACACTGGGAGAGAGAAACCACCTGAGTGCAGGGGTGGGGGACCACCCCCGCCATGTTCCCTCTCCACTGAGAGCTGTTCCATCGCTCAATAAAATTCTTCTCCATCCATCCTCACCCTTCAATTGTCAGCAGCATATCCTCTTTCTGCTTGGACATGACACAAGAGCTTAGGAATCACCAAACTTGGGTACAAGCTATAACACTGGTGGGCCAAGTGGGCAGGGCGCCTCCAGAGGCAGGCCGGGCTAAGCGACGTCTGGGCAGGGAGGGGGTCACTGGCCATGGAAGTCCCCAGTTGGCAAAGTGGCCAAGAAAAATCCTGTGTCACAAGTAAATATGGCCTCCCTGCCCCACTGCATTCCTGCCCCTGAAAAGCAGCTGACAGGATTTGCATAATATGATAAATTTCCAGAGGTCAGCTTAACTACATATGTGAAAATATATATATCCTTTGAGCTAACAATGCCTCTTTTAAGTCTTTATCTTAAAGCGCTAACCAGAGAAGTACACAAAAGGTATTTGTACAAGACATTGATTTCAGCTTTCTTTCTAATAAGAAAAAAATGAGCACCCCCACAAATGGCCCACAAAAGGGATTAATTATATAATTAAAGAATATCTATATGATGAACTCTGATGCTGTCTTTAAAAAGGAATATGGGCCAGGTGCGGTGGCTCACACCTTCAATCCCGGCACTTTGGGAGGCTGAGACGGGTGGATCACCTGACATCAGGAGTTCAAGACCAGCCTAGCCAACATGATGAAACCCCATCTCTACTAAAAATACAAAAAATTAGCTGGTCATGGTGGCACGTGCCTGTAATCCCAGCTACTCAGGAGGCTGAGGCAGGAGAATCACTTGAACCCTGGAGACAGAGGTTGCAGTGAGCCGAGATTGTGCTATTGCACTCCAGCCTGGGCAACAAGAGCAAAACTCCATCTCAAAAAAAAAAGAAAAGGAATATGAAGATATAGAGTCAGTGAAATGAAAAAAAAAACTTCATGACATATTGTTGGCTAAAACAAGCTATTTATAAAATGGTATGTATGGATGGGAGGGGGTGGATGATGAGAAATTAATTAATGGGTACAATATTCCTCATTTGCATGATGGACACACTAAAAGCCTTGACTTCACCACTACACAATCTGTCTATACAACAAAATTCCACTTGCACCTCATAAATTTATACAAATAAAATAAAAGAAAATGGTATGTATGATATAGTACCATTGTTACTGGGCAAGATGTATAAATGCGTAGACATCCGAAAAAGCAGTCTCCTGTTTACCGGCAGTGGTATCTCTCAGTGGTGAATTTAGGATGACTTTTACTTTGATCCTTACTCTGGCCTGTGTTGCTTGAACGTCCTACAAAAGGAGGTGTGGACTTCATCTGGTGCTGTGAAGAGGCCTCTAGGATGGAGCTGACGGAGCCTCTTGAGAAGCCCTGGGGAGCCCCAGCATAGTGACGGGCGGAGGCCCCAGGGATGGAATTGCTGGAGGGTCGGCAGAAAGGCTTAAATGATGTGGAAGCAAAGACAGAGCCCAAGCAGTTTTATGGCAAGAGAAAGGGCTGTGATGAAGCAGAATTTCCGGGTGATTTGGCTGAGCTCTCCGCGAGGCTGCATGGGATTCCATGTCCCATTATTATTCATAGAATTCTTGCTATCATGGAACTTATTGGGCCATTGAAACAGCCTGGCTAACTGATTGTTGTTTTGTGTTTTTGTTGTTGTTGTTGTTGTTGTTGATTTTATTTTTTATTTTTATTTATTTTTTTGGTCAGCTTGGGACCTGCTGGGGAAAAGTAAATACCAAGCTAACTTTCCCAAGGAATGCCATAGTCATTGGAGGTGGGGGAGAAATTCTTCCGCAGAACATGTGAAATCATTAAGGTCCACAGGTAGGCTGCAGACTATCTTGATTGGCAGTTGCATTCAGCACAGTGAAATACAGTACATTTTTCTTTCCTAAAAAATGGTGAAAATGAGGTAAAGAATAATGAATCTCTTCATATAACAGGAATCCAGCGTATAGAGTGAGTGTAGAATGTCCTGTAATGGTTCCATTTAGTGTTGAGATCCTCAGGCACCAAAGATGTAACTACTAGATAATATAATAGCTCTAATCCTGCGAAATTTTCTAGCGGAAGAGGGAGAATAAGAAGCATTTTTGGCATAAGTACTAGTTTGCCTGATTAAATATTCTCTATAGAGTAGGTGGAGTTCACAATAGAAATCAATAATATTGAAATAATTATCATAGTGTTGGTCCAGCACAGAAATATTGTTCAGTACTTCAGTAACATATTTTCCACTACCTAAATTCAAAAAAGTATTGTAAAAATATAGCCAAAACACTTATTTTCTCTTCCATAAGACTCTATTTGATAGAAAATACTTATTAAAAGGAAAATATCTTCAAACCGATTGCCCAAAATGGCTCCAGTGCAAATGTCTGGGAAAATGACATGCTAATATTCAGAGGACTTTCCTACTTGATCCTTTTAACAGTGGTCACTTGAAAACTTCACATTAGATTTGCACACCATACCAAATCAAAAATTAAACAGCCAAAAGAAATAAAAAACAAAACCATAATGCAAAACCAAGCTGCAACAAAAAGCCCTCAAACATTTGAGGCTATTTAAACATTTTAGAACATCTCAAAGTGAAAATAAACTTCTCTGCTCAAAACTAGTAAGCAAATTTTAAATGTTGCAACACAGATTTTCTATCACATACTTTGAGTTAACACAGAGATACAACTTAATACAATAAGCATGGCTGGCTTCTCCTGTTTGGGATTCTTAAATTGAAAGAAATATAGCATGCTGGCTATTTACTCTGTTTGAATTAACAGCAATGTACATATAGGATATTGTTAAGATCTAGTCATTCTATGACCCTTTGCTGCTTAAAATTTCTCCGTTTAACAGAATCCATACATTGGTAATGTTTAAAATGAGACTTTTCTGTGACCAAAAAAAAAAAAGTATTTGTGTAATCTTCAAAGTGTTTAATTTGTATTAAAGCTAAATCCAGAGGCTCTGAAACCTTAGGGGCTCTTGATGTGGATTTTTGTTCTGGTTCACACACCTTGAGACAAAGGCTCATAGTCAAGATGTGGAGGAAAAAGACGTTTTTTTGTGTGTGTGAGATGTGGGGCAAATTTATTCCTGAGGCAGCCTGGAATGGGCTTCAGAAAATGGATAGAGTGTCTTCTTGAAGAAAGGGCCTCTAAGTAAACTCCACTGCCATTCAAAAGATTTGCTCTGACACTTAACAAGTGGTGCAGGAAGAAAGGAAAATCTGTTGTCAGGTTTGGGGTGTTTATCAGCTCCCCTCGAGACACTTGACCTAATGCTGCGGTCCCCCTAATCCGCTGATCTGCATGCGGTGGCCCTGCAAGCCTCAGCCCACAACTGCCAGCAAAATTGCCTGGAACACTTATCCCAACACATTGATCCCTCAGTATATTGTGTGCCGCTCACCTACTCCCCCTCCTCCCCTCCCGCCCCCCTCTTGCGACTCCCCCGAAATTTAATTCTGCTCACAAATTGTGAAATAAGTTGTTTGGGCTGGATTTGTCGAGTGAATTGTCCCACTAATGAAACAGTCTGTTCATTATACAGTGGTAGGACGGAAGATTTAGCGCTCCCATACCCCGGGACCCAGGCAGGTTAACGTTTTTAGACTGACAGTTGACAAAAGAATGAATAGCTCTCTCCTGTCAAATCAGGCTTACAAACAGCTTGGCATACAAACAGTTACTGCTTGCATGCATGAGGATTTAGGGTCCCCGTCTGCTAATGCCCCAGATTTGTAAGTACAAATTGGTTAGCCTTCAAACTGTTTGCTAAAGGAATAAAATGACCAAAAATTAGTTTGTTTTAGCCTTTCCCCCTCCCCTCCCTGCTCCTGCAAGTGAAACATTAAAAAAAGAGAAGAAAAGGATAAAATAGTGTGTAATGGTCTCATGGAATATTGTTGGGTTTCTGGGTAAGGCATCAAATTAAGCAGAACCATTGTTTGGCAGGAAACATTTTGTTGTGCTCGGACACCCTGCTTCTCGAAAAGCAGCTGAAAATCTAATGGAATTACTGTAAGACATGTGATTTTAAACGATAGGGAGCAGAGGGGGAAGGAGAGTGATCAAAAACATTCATTTCTATTCATTTTAGTACCTGTTGCTTAAAACAGGTTACAATAATACAGTGGGTAATTGAGATTTCTGAAACTTTTTCATCGGCAATTATATGTACATTAGATAAAAACCATTTTAGTTTTCCTTGTTGGTTTGCATCATTTTGTGACTAAAGTAAACTAATGCAAAAATCACTGAGAGAGAATGCTTTATAGGAAAGAAAGTAAATACTTTTACCAGGTGATTTCTCGATGTGGTGATAATTTTTAGTCTGGGTTAGGTTAAATAACTCTCTGCTATATTATAACTGAGGCAGAGCAGTTGACAGGGACAGGAGTGATAGCATATATTTTTATTGAATTCTAGGGAACACAAATGAAAAAAAGGTAATAGACAAGAATTTTTTCAACTTCAACATGACCCAGTGTCTTTGAATTAAGAACTCTTTTCTTCTTTATAAAATATATTCCCAGGGTAGCCATATTTCAGTGAGTTCATGATCACATCTTTCTACATATGCTAAAGACAATTTTTAAAAATCAGACCTTTTGGAAACTTTGCAAGTAGCAGTTATGAGTTAATTCAAACATTCCTTACCACCTCCTCTCTTATCAGCGTCTAAGTCTTGCACGGGTATTTGCAGCATTAAGAGTTCCAAACAATAAGTACAATCTTAATGCAATGCATAAGTGTACAAAGTCAATGACAGTTGCTATTGGAAATCTGAATAAAGCAAGAGCATTAGGCTGCTAGAGAGAATAAGTGGGACAGCCTTCGTCCCAGATATGATTGAATCATTTTTTATGAAGTCGTCCAAGCCTATAGAATGTTCTGCACCTGTGAGTCCTTATGCCAAAATTGGTCATTTAAATCTGAGGATGGGAATGGGAGAGAAAGTCACAAACAACTCAATAGCAAACAATACTATGGCTGCACACAGAACAGACCCGAGTGGTCTCTCTCCCTTTCCCATTTCTCCTTACCACTCCCAGAACTTTGCAAACATCTTCCTCTAAAATCCATTCCTTTCCCATCAACCCTAAATTTTTTTTTCCTACATCATCACATTTTGGGCGTTTCAAAGACAGAGGCCGGGACTGATGAAGAACTTCAGGTTAAGAAAATGCATATGTTTGGTGAAAACTTTTTGGAGAAATATGCTTAGAGAAATGGCATTTTCCTATGGATTTTACAGTGCAGTGATTCCCTTACAATGGAAAACCACAGAAAATGCGGGGGTTTCAGTAATCAGGTCATCTGTTTGGGGCAGATTTCTCCATACAATCCACAAGATTACAAAGAACGCAGAGGGGAGTAAAACTAAAGCTGACCTAAGTTCCATGCAAGAGTTGAAGAGAAATGAATAAATACTTAGGGCTGCTTATTGTCTTACTCCTTATGAGAAACAAAGGCTGCTGATGGAAAGCATTGTTAATAGCACACTATAGGCTAAAATACAAAGCCTTCCTACTCTAAAAAAGAGCTGAGGCTAAAGCAAGCAAGCAAGCAAGCTAGCTAGCTGCATCATTAGCAGGAAGGGATGGGCATGGCGCACAGGTCTCTACAGAAGGAAATGCCGTTGACCTACATGGAAAGATTTTCATGGTGGTAAAGCCTCAGTCACCCAGTGACCATGGGCAGGTCTCTTAACCTCTTTGAGCTTCCCCATCCCATCTGTAAAATGGAAAGAACAGCATCTCATGCTGTTATTGTAATGGATAATTTATGTGTTACACAATGCCTAGTCCAGCAAACAAATATATGTAAATATTTCCCATATATATATATATAGAATAAATAGTGGACAGGCACGGTGGCTCATGCCTGTAATCCCAGCACTATGGGAGGCTGAGGCAGGCAATCCCTTGAGCCGAGGAGTTTGAGGCCATTCTGGGCAACATGGTGAAACCCCGTCTCTACAAAAAATAGAAAGAGTAGCTGGGCATGGTGGTAAGTGCCTGTACTCCAAGCTACTTGGGAAGCTGAGGTGGGGGGATCAGCTGAGCCTGGGGAGGTTGAGGCTGCAGTGAGCCATGATTGTGCCACTGCACTCCAGCCTGGGGAACCCTGTCTCAAAAAAAAAGATAAAAAAGGAATATATATTCTTATGAGGTTTCTGAGCAATTGCAACTGGCTGAAGCAGAAAAATCCTAGTGTTTTATGATGTATCTAAAAGCCCAGTGGAAAACAGAGGGTGATGGCTGTGGCTGAATGAGCTACCCGATCAGTAAACCTCAGGTTGGTGTTGCATCCCCCAGTGAGGCTTAATTCATCTAACGTCAGGTCTGGATGTCAGTCTCCCTTATCTTACAGATGAGGAAGCTGAGGTTCAAATTAACATGGGGTTAAATCTCAGGCCTCCTGATCACCAGTCTAGTAATGTTCTTCCCCTTCAGCACATTCCTTCTAAAGGAAAGGTTGTAATGCCGTAACCTGGTTTATCTTTTGACACGTAACTCTTATTTTATCTGTACAAAATGGGGCATTTGTGTGGGTTCACTGAGTTTTCTGAAGTAACATTGGTTCAGTACTTTTTGCCTTTTAGGCTTGTTTATGAATCTGTGAGATCTATTTTTAGAAGTTAATTACAAAGTCTACCTTTTTTCCAGTTAAATGCCTAGGTTGTGGTTATTGTTGTTTTGTTACTTATAAAGTAAAATAAGCAGAAAAAAACCCCGAAAAACAAAATAACCTATTTGTTATTTTAAATCTTCTAAAATATAACATCAAAAATACATTTTTCGGCCGGGCGTGGTGGCTAATGCCTGTAATCCCAGCACTTTGGGAGGCCGAGACGGGCAGATCACGAGGTCAGGAGATCGAGACCATCCTGGCTAACACGGTGAAACCTCGTCTCTACTAAAAATACAAAAAATTAGCCAGGCATGGTGGCAGGCACCTGTAATCCAAGCTACTCGGGAGGCTGAGGCAGGAGAATGGCATGTACCCGGGAGGCAGAGATTGCAGTGAGCCAAGATTGCGCCACTGCACTCCAGCCTGGAGGACAGAGCGAGACTCCGTCTCAAAAAGAAAAAAAAAAAATTCACATTAAAAAATCCATTGATTTGAGAAAACTGTACTTAAACCATGGCCCCAGGGTGAAATGAATGGTGAGTGGGAATGCCAATTAAAACAGATGGGAGGAGAAACGTACTTGCATTACCTTACACAGGTTTTCTAGGATTCCCTAAGTTCCCCAGAAACCTCTAGAAGGTGTTTGTTTTCTCTTTTGCCATCTCCCTTTCTGGGAAGGCTGCCAGAGTCCCTTCACCCCGAGCACCCATTCAACATAAAGCACCAGAGAGGCTAACACGGCTGCCACTTCCAGGCAGGGCTCAGGTTAGGATATTAGCTGCTCATGGCTTGGCTACATATTGCTTTGATTCAGTATTAGCGGCATCCTGCTGTGGTAAATATTATCTTTTAGAGAAAGGGATCCAGAAAGAGACGTCTAAAGCCCCCAAGACAAATTTCATCGTTTTACCCAGTACAAGCCCATGGCAGATCTATACAAGAGCCACCGTTCTCTAACTAAAAATGGGGCCAGGGCACTGAGTCCTATGTGAAAGGAGTGTAATGATGAGGTTGGAAAAAAACAAAAACAAAAAACAAAGAGGCTGTGCAGTCAGGGGACATGGTTTTGAATTTTATTTTATTCCCGCTCACCATTCGTTCACCCTGGGGCCATGGTTTAAGTACAGTTTTCTCAAATCAATAGATTTTTTAATGTGAAAAATGTATTGTTGATGTTATATTTTAAAAGATTCAAAATAACAAATAGGTTATTTTGTGTTTTTTGGGTTTTATTCTGCTTATTTTACTTCATAAGTAACAGAACAACAATAACCATGACCTAGGCATTTAACTGGAAAAAAAGTAGACTTGGTAATTAACTTCTAAAAATAGATCTCACAGATTCATAAACATGCCTAAAAGGCAAAAAGTACTGGACCAAGCTGTGTGGCCTCAGTTATTTAGTTTATTCACTTAGGTATTCAATTATTTAATTCTTCATCTAGAAGATGGAGGTGATAATAATATCTCCCTCATGAGGTTAAAAGTAAAGATTAAATAAGCAGACACATATAACACACACATACAGTACTTACAACACAGTCATGTGGTTCATAAGTGTTAGCTGCTGTCAATGGATATTCACAAGACCCTCTAGTGAATGTTCACTAGTGTTCAAAGTTTGGGCCTTGGACCAGAAGAATGGACATCAACTTGTCAGCAATGCAGAATCTCAAGCCTCGCCCCACAACTGCTGAATCAGAATCTGCACTTTCGTAAAGCACTCCGATGATTCATGCGTCCATGAAAGTTGGAGGAATGCTGGCTTAGAACACACACTCCAGACTTGTCCCTTGAGGCTTTGGCTGGGTGGCATTGAAATGAATGCTGAAGTCTTCAGCTTGGATCTCCCATATGCTAGCACACTACCCAGTGGTGTGGGCTGCCAGGCTGGTTATTTAATGAGTTTTATGATACATTAAATCTTCCAGACCTCACGGCAATTTGACCATTAAAGAAATAACTTTTTTTAAGGTAGCCCAAAACAAGCCAACTCAAGCGAATAATGGGATTAGCGCGGTGATATTGAAATCAGAGTCAGACCACGTGAGTCAGTCTCCATCAATCACGGCTGCTGTCCTCACAGCTGATTGTGGCACATTGTTTCATCAAATTAAACACCAAAGGGATGTTGTAAAGGCAGCATATGGTCCTCTTTCAAAAGTAGTTAGCCTGGCATTGCACAAGTGGCCTCATGGTGGCTCCCCTGAAACCTTCTGAATCAACATATTAAGGGTATTTGCTTTCGCAAAACAATGACTCATAAAAGTGGTTGCTTTTAATTGCAGGCTTGATAACGTTGTCGTCGGAAGCAAGTCCAGGATGTGAGATGGGAAGGAGAGTAGATGGACTCATGATGAAAGGACAGAAATCAACTGCCATCTTTTCCTGTTCTCCCATTGCAGTGGCAGTGATCACAGAGGAGAGATGCCTATGTTCACCTCTTCCACCTGGATGGATGCTGAGCTCTTAGAAATTGACTTTCCAGGGGATACAGAGGCTCATGCCTATAGTCCCAGAACTTTGGGAGGCCGAGGTGGAAGGATGGCTAGAGGCCAGGAGTTTGAAGCTGCAGTGAGCTTGAGACCAGCTTGAGACTAGACCCTGTCTCTATAAAAAATGTTTAATAAAAACTTAGCTGGGTATAGTGGCATGTATCTGTAGTCCTAGCTACTTGGAAGGCTGACATGAGAGGATGGCTATGTCCAGGAGTTCAAGGCTGCAGTGAGTGAGCTGTGATTGCTTCACTGCACTTCAGCCTGGGTGACAAAGCAAGATCCTGACTCAAAAAAAGCCAGGGGGAGTAGGAATAAAAGAAAAGAAAGCAATAGACTTTTCTCCCTCTCTATTAGGCAAAAGCAGACTGGGGATGGTTTTAGAATCAAGGCAAGAATAAAGACATGTGGCTAAAAGACCTGCTGGAGGGGGAGAGGATGTCCTCAGGAGAGACAGAGGACAGACTTCGCAGAGGGGCTGGTGAAGGGCAGCTGTGTCAGCCTCTGGTGGCTCCGGTAGAACCCTCGTAGTTTTTGATGCACCAGCTAGATGATACTGGAAGGTGAGGCCAGCCCAAGTCTGACTTTCAAGAGAAAGTCATTAGGCAATATTAGGAGTGATGTTTGGTTGCTATTTTGCATGTATGTGGCTGACCTTTGCTCCATGAATGTGATGGATTAGCCAACGTGTGATTAGTGAATAGCAAACCTCACAGCGCCCCTGTGAGCTCAGCATGAAAGGAATGATGTCATATCATAGGTAGCAGGTCACCTGAGCCATATACCTCTCTTGCAACTGCAACTCTTATCCCACCCTCCCCTCAAAGTGCCCCCAAAATAAGAGGGCTTGACCAGCCTTGGCGCAGGGTTGGAGACTGCATGGGTCACCTCCCACCTTCTGGTTTGTATGTGACCCTTTGTCACTTATGACCACACAGTTGCCACCATTCCTGGGGGCAGCCCTAAGTCCACAGCCCCCTTTTATGTCTGCTCAGAGGTAAACACAACTAAGAGAACTAAGGGAACATTTGAATCACAGCCTGAAAAAAGGTATTATTATTGGCTGGGCGCAGTGGCTCACGCCTGTAATCCCAGCACTTTGGGAGGCCAAGGCGGAAGGATCACTTAAGCTCAGGAGTTCAAGATCACCCTGGGCAACGTGGTGAAACCCCTTCTTGCTAAAATAAAAAAAATTAGCCAGGCATGGTGGCTGTAATCCCAGCTACTTGGGAGGCTGAGGCACCAGAATTGCTTGAACCCAGGAGGCAGAGGTTGCAGTGAGCTGAGATGGCACCACTGCACTTCAGCCTGGGTGACAGAGTGAGACTGTCTCAAAAATTAAAATTAAAATTAAATAAAAGATATTATTATTATTATTATTATTCAACAGCAAGACATGACCTTTCATTTTTCAAAATCAACTGAAGGGGATAAAAATAAAAGTGAAAGTCTTGTCAGCTGACTCCTTTACCAACCTTCCCCTTCTGTCCAAGAGTAGCCACTGGTGCTGGCATGTTCTCTACCCCGAAAAGGATCTTAGATGATGCCTGGTCAGCTTCCCAGTGGATACAGAAATCTCCTCAACACTGAGAATGAACCAAGATGCCTTGGTAAAATCATCCTACTGATAATACTTCACAAATAACACAGCCTTTTCCCTTGAGAGTTGGGAAATACTGGTTTTTACCCCAATTTATTAAACTCTGGCAGCATGATACAGTATCGTAGGGGTGCTATTTTACCCTTCATAAAACAGACGTGGGTTCTACCATGTCTAGGCTTCTGCAGAGGCCTCAGAAAACTTCCAGTGATGGCGGACGGTGGAAGGCAGGCACATCACATGGTTGGAGTAGGAACAAGAGAGAGAGGGGGAAGGGGCTACACACTTTTAAACAACCAGGTCTCACCAGAACTCACTCACTATCCTGAGGACAACATCGAAGGGGTAGCGCTAAACCACTTATGAGAATTCATGAGCACCCATGAGCCAATCGCCTCCCACCAGGCCACACCTCCAACATTGGGAACCTCCTTCCTACCAGTGGGCAAAAAGCAATAAATCACTAGGTAACCAGGACAATTCAATCCATGAGTAGCCACAGAAGTGACCTCAAAATTCCAAGTTATTTTTCTTGACCAAACAAAACTTTTAAAACTTCAAATAGAGGAAGTTGTGTCAACAGTTGCTAAGGTCATTATCTACTGAAGAGATTATTAGTAAAAGGAAGATTATATAAGAAATGGAACTCACCTACTGGTCTGATTAAGAAAATTCAGCATGGAAAGACTTCAATCAGAAAAGTGAGAGAAATATTTCATTCCTGCTTGAATAACAGGGGTATTTTAAAGGAAAACATGTGTGCCACAGAGTGGAGAGTGAGCTCGTCCAAGACAAGACTTAGATCATATCCTTAGCTGTGGCAAGACGAGGTGGCTCCTGGTATAGGATTCATGGGGGTTGGCAACTGTATTAGTCTTTTCTCACATTGCTATGAAGAAATACCCAATCTGCAACCAATTAAGCTGACTGAATTCCTTTCCTCCCGGGGGCCAGGTGTGCAATGGCTGCAAACAGCAGCTTCCTTGGTAGTGTACGCAGCCTGTTTCTTGTATGCGTTGCTCTAAGGGACCTTGGAGACAGGCCCTTCAGATGGATGTTCATGTCTCTGACCTTGTATTACCCCAATGTATGCTCCAAACAGACATGCGAGGTGCCTTTGGAAAACCCCAGGGCACTGTGGCCGGGGTTCACATTGTACCACGGTTATCATGTCCATCTGCACCAAGCTGCAGAACAAGGAGCATGTGATTGAGGCCCTGCGCAGGGCCAAGTTCAAGTTCCCTGGCCACCCCAAAGATCCACATCTCAAAGAAGTGAGACTTCACCAAGTTCAATGCAGATGAATTTGAAGACATGGTGGCTGAGAAGCGGCTCATCCCAGATGGCTGTGGGATCAAGTACATCCCTAGTCGTGGCCCTCTGGACAAGTGGCAGGCCCTGCACTCATGAGGGCTTCGACTGTGCTGCCCCCTCTTAATACTCACTAATAAATCCTACTTCCTGTCCAAAAAAAAAAGAGGAAGAAATACCCGAGAATGGATAATTTACAAAGAAGAGTTTTGAGGCTGGGTGCGGTGGTTCACGCCTGTAATCCCAGCATTTTGGGAGGTGGAGGCAGGTGGATCATGAGGTCAAGAGTTCAAGACCAGCCTGACCAACATGGTAAAACCCAGTCTCTACTAAAAATACAAAAATTAGCCAGGCGTGGTGGCGGACACCTGTAATCCCAGCTACTCAGGAGGCTGAGGTAGGGGAATCGCTTGAACCTGGGAGGCAGGGTTGCAGTGAGCTGAGATCATGCCACTGCACTCCAGCCTAGGTGACAAAGCGAGACTCCATCTCAAACAAAAAAAAAGAGTTTTGATTAGCTCACAGTTCTGCATGCTGTCCAGGAAACATGATGCTGAGATCTGCTCAGCTTCTGCAGAGGCCTCAGAAAACTTCCAATGATGGTGGGCAGTGGAAAGCAGGCACATCACATGGCTGGAGTAGGAACAAGAGAGAGAGGGAGATGGTGCTACACACTTTTAAACAACCAGATCTCACCAGAACTCACTCACTATCCTGAGGACAGCATCATGGCGGTGGTGCCAAACCATTTATGAGAATTCATGAGCACCCATGAAACAATCACCTCCCACCAGACCACACCTCCAACAATGGGGATTACAATTTGACATGAGATTTGGTGGGGACGCAGGTCCAAACCATATCAGTGACCACGTACGAACTTAACCGCTCAGCTAAAATAATGACTACATGTAACCAACTTAAATGATCTTAATAAACTCGTAACCCTGGCGTTCGGGCCACCTTGGGATCTGCGGTAGCTGAAGCATAACAACCAACCAACCTGCTGGGGGAAGATGCGATTCAAAACACACCTGCGGTAAGTTATTTTTTGGTATCAATTTAAAGCCCAAACACTGATGCAATTTGGTCCTCTTTAGAGCCAGGCTTCATCAGGCACTCTCCCCGTTAATTAGCTGAGCTGTAAGATGTTGCTAATAGCCACACATCTTGTAAACATGTTGAGGAGGCCCTGGCCCTGCCCCTGAAGAGCCCGCACTGTTAAGTGATATCTCAGCTGGGGCAGGCAGAGCCGGTCTTCCCACCAGGGAGCGGGTTGCAAGGTGTGCAGCCTCTGCTCAGCATCAAAACACTGTGCTCTGAGAGGTTCTCATTTGGTCGTTGTTCCCCTAGAGGTGACTGCCTTTTGGTAGTAATGATAATAATAATGAGAAAGAGAATAAAAATGAAGAGGCAGAGGAGGAGTGGGAGAAGGAACTTGCCTTTACATTCACTAGAGAGACTAGAGGCAGTGAGATTGTGAACATTCTGCTTTCTTCCCAAGGTAAACGGAGACATCAAGCCTTGCAGAGAAGAAAATATCTGTGAGTGTTCCTTAGTCTGCTGACATGGCTGATCAGCTGCTCTCTGGCTAGCCACCAAAACTAAAACCATAGCAATGAATGATTAAAAACAGTTTCCCAAAGCAGCACCCAGATAGGAAACTGCAGAGGCAGAAGAAGGAGTGAATGAAGAGGTGGAGAGGCCACATGGCTGCAGCTCTGTTCGCTAACTTGATGTTTGAATTCTTTTGCAGGATTATGTCCAATCTCGGGTATTCAGAGGTATATCAGGGAAGCTGATGGAATAAACCAAATGTGGAAGAATCCTGGAGTTATGGTGAACAACCATCCTAGTTTTCTCTGACTCTCCCAGTTTTAGTACTGAAAGTCCCTGTTCAGGGAAACCCCTGAGTCTGAGGCAAATCAAGACAGTTGGCCACCCTGCATAGAGTCATAGAAGTGCATGGTTAAAAGAGACCCTGGAGCCTCATACAACTCCCTCATTTTTGGCCCAGAGAGGTCAAAGAGGCAGCACAGCAAAGAACTCAATGTCTTCTTAATAAATGATGAATAAATCTATTGTCTCGTCATGTGAGTAAAATCACCAGAGATTATTAAATGTAAACATGGTACGAGACAAGGACTGGCACCAGAGTGAGGTGATGTGGGATCTAATCCTGGCTCTGCCACTAAATGGGGACCTTGGGTAGGGGAGCTCTGACCTGCCAGGTACTATACACCGATTATTTCATTAATCTGAATTATACTCCTTTAAAGCAGGATTAATATGCCTGTTTAACAGATGGAAGAATGGGCTCAGAGAAATCAAGTAACTAGCCCAATATCATAGTAAGAGCTAAGATTCGAAGGTCAGTTACTCTGACACCAAAGCATATGTTGTTGCCAAAATAGCCCCTACACTGGTACAAAGCTGATGGCAAATCAGCTGCTTGTTGCTCCCATGAAGGACTCATCAGATGGGAACGGCAATTGGAAGAGATAATTTTTTTTCCATTTCTGCAATGCAATTAAGGATATAATAAAATCATCACAGAATGCCCAAATGATTGATAATTGAGAGACTAGTACCAAGTCTACTTCCAAGAAAGATTTAGATTAGCTAGTGCATGTATTTAACCTGAGCTCTCTTTTCTGTTTTTTAATAACAAACTCAGCATCTGATTGATTTTAAGCTTAAGTTCACCAGTTTCTCATATCCACCAAATCAGAAGATAAACTGTATGAGGATAAGAATTTTGTTCACTGCCATAACCCCGGGGCACTTATGCTTGCCATGTAGTAGGTTTGCAATCCATATCTGTTGGATGTAAGAATGAATGAACAAATGAAACAAATTCAAAATTCAACATAGGAATGTTAAGTAATCTTATTATGTATATATACATGTGATAATTTATTTAAAAGTTGATTGAGCACTCAATACAGGAGGTAGAAATAAGGGAAGTAAAGATTTATCTGCCATGCAAATATTAACCAAAAAATTATTGGATGGATAAACTATAAGGATCAAATTGATCTATATATTTTTAATTTTTATAGATTAGAGCTTTTTTAGACTAAAGGGGGTTAGTAGAAGGTTCCTGTGATGAAATAAAGAATCCTTTTAGCAAAATAATAATGATCATAAACTCATTTTTCTAAAACAGTTGAGGATTTGCTTCCAGTGAAGGACTCTTTTACGGTAACTTGAGTCTCACTTTCCTTTGTTTATGTGGTGACATACATGTAGGAAGCAAAAAGCTGAATGCTTTTCTCTTTTGTTTTTTTTTGAGACAGGGTCTCACTCTGTCACCCAGGCTGGAATGCAGTGGCACAATCATGGCTCACTGCAGCCTTGACCTGCCAGGGCTCAGGTTATCCTCCCATCTCAGCCCCCCAGGTAGCTGGGACTACAGGTGCGCCACCACACCTGGCTGATTTTCATATTTTTTCATAGAGGTGGGATTTTGCCATGTTGCCCAGGCTGGTCTTGAACTCAGCATATGTTATAAACATAATTTCTCTGATAGTAAGGATGATATATGTGGGCATTCAGTACTAGGGGTTTGGGGTTTATGGGTGAATGAAGTTTTATATCACTTACCATGCTCTATGCTCCTTAAACTAGCTAGTGCTTGAAAATGGTATTACCATACATATCTTCAAATATGTATATTTGACAGTGGAGAATAAAAAAGAATAAATCACATAGCTTTAAAAATGATGTCAAATACAGCTTCAGCCTTTAAAACACATTTTAGAGGAAAAAAATTAACTATTATATAGAGTTAATCAAAATAAAACAACTTCTTAGGTTTGATAGCAGATCAAAAGTAAGCTTAAAAGTAATATACAGTGTTTAACATTTATGTGTAAGTTTAGTGGTCTGAGAAATAACTTTCCAATTGTACGGCCACTCTGTATTAGACATGATATTAAGGTAATGATGGAATATGTTCTTTCTTTATGGATACAAGGGATCTATTACCATAAAGAATGAATTAAATCTGTTACTATATCAAGAAAAACAGTGCATAAAATACTAATGCTACAAGAAAATGTGTCTCAGCCGGGTTAACAGATGGGTGAAGTGTGAAGGCAGATAAACTCTGCTTCTTTTGGCTTAGTCTTTATATCTCCCTACAACTATAACTAATCCTCTTTATTTGAACAATTTCAAAGACTCTAATTTTACACACATGGCATGCATACAAGAGACACACTTTTAGTTCCTGCCAGCAGGTAATTAGAAGCAACAAAAAGGTATGTCTTGATGAAGAATTGCCTCACTGCCCAAGCCACCACTTCAGCTGATCCAACAGAAATTCATCCTGTTACAGACCACTGCTCAGAGGCAGAGAAGGTCTGGTTTGCAGAGGAAAAAAAAATCATCCAGCCAATCAGACTTGAAATTGATCAATTCATCCCATTATATTTATGTACAGAAAAAGCCTATTAATTTTTGTATAACTAACTTTATAACCAGGTACTTAGTCATATTATTTCTAACAGCTTTTCAATTGATTTATATGGATTTTAGAGATATATAATGATGTAATCTGCAAATAATTTTCCCCATATTTACAGCTTTTTTTCCTCTTATCTAATTGCACTGGCCAGTACTCCTAGAACAGTATTAAAAAAATAGTTTCCATGGTGACCAATATTGTCTTTAATAACGGAAAAAATGGTTTTAGCATTTTGCCATTTAGCATCATGATGGTTTTTCAACTAATACGTGCATATGTGTTTACATGTTAATTTATTGTGTCCAGAATCTATTCCTAATTGAAACTTTTAAAATGAAGAAATGATTGTCAAATTTTGACAAAAAAAGCTCTTTGGGTCACAAAACTATAATTATGGGTTTTTTCTTCCATTACCTATTAATATAGTAAATTATGATAATAAACATAATAGCAAGCCATCCTTGCATTCCTATGATTTTTGCATTTCAACAAACTTCTAAATTCTATGTGCTAGTATTTTCTTTAAGAATTGTACTTAAGGACATACAGTATAAAGAGATAATCAGGGCCAGGTGCAGTGGCTCATGGCTGTAATCCCAGCACTTTGGGAGGCTGAGGTGGGCAGATTACCTGAGCTCAGGAGTTCGAGACCAGCCTGGGCAACGCTGTGAAACCCCATCTCTACTATAATACAAAAAATTAGCTGGGCATGGTGGCATGCGCCTGTAGTCCCAGCTACTTGGGAGGCTGAGGCAGTAGAGTTGCTTAAACCCAGGAGGCAGAGGTTGCAGTGAGCTGAGATTGCACCACCACACTCCAGCCTGGGAGACAGCAAGACTATGTCTCAAAAAAAAAAAAAAAAAAGAAATAATCAGAATTATCCCTCTCCATACTGGCATTTCTATATTCTTTGGCTCTGTAGGAAAGTTGGTGCTGCTAATACACCTCTAGGATTTATTTGCTGTAAGCAAGTAATAATAATAATAGTAGCTCACACTTCCTACAGCATGTATTCTGTAACAGATGATGATCTGAGAGCTTGTTACATAATGCTTTCAATCCTGTGAGGCAAGTACTATCATCATTATCATCACCATTATCTCCACTTTTCAGACAAGGAAACTGAGCTTGTTCAAGGTCACTTAGGTAGTAAGTCACAAAGTCCAAGCAATCTGGCATGACAGTTTGTGTTCTGATTCCCTAAGTCACTCGTTCATTCCACCTGCAGCATGTATTTACTCACTGCCTATTTGGAAGACACTTCACAATATTTTCCTTTTAAAAAGCAAATGAATACTTTGATGAACATCTAGGTCTATGCAGTAGTTCTAAAATGTTTGTATCTATTTATTCCAGGCACTATTCCCATACAGCTCTCTCCCCAACCTTTCAAAATTTCTGTCCTAACTGCTGTGATCCAATATGTCAGGCTGAGAGAATATTAAGCTGAGCCCAAGATACTAGCCTAGTCTGATGACATTCTGGCAGAGTCTATGTGGATGCTCCTGGAAAGGCAAGGCCTTAGTAACAAAGGAGAACCAAATATCCATGTCAGCTGGATGACGAGGCTGTTGCAAATGATGCTACCCGACATGACATGTCTCGTCTGGAAAAGAGAGAAAACTAGCTAGATGTGCAGCAAGGCATGAGTGCTTGGCCAGTAGAAGGTACAAGAAAATAACCGAGTGCCAACTACAGGCAGAGCGTGAGAGCGGAGCAGCGTCTGGGAGGTGCTTTTCACACCATATGTCTTTTCCTTTGCCCCACAGCCCCTGTGGCATTTTTGAGGTGTCAGCTCTTGATTTCTTCTATTACCTGGTTTACATTAGCCTCCTGAAGCCCCTTTGTGTGGGTTGTAGTGTCCTCTGTGAGGGTGATAAATAGAAGGCACCGTGGCCAATATTTGGGGGAAGGAGCCTTGTGAATGGGCCTGATGGGCTGAGGTTGGGGGCTGGGGAGGATGGAAAGAATGTTTCCTCTGTAATCCGGCATTTAATCACTGGCGCTGAGGACAATGGAGGCTCCTCCACCCTCCCAAGGCCTGATTTCATTTGGCAAGCCCAGCCCTCTTTTGTCAGCCTCACAAGGAGGTCCCACCCCTCCATGCTCCACACAAGGTTCGCTTCCCAAGTGTCATTGAGATGAAACAGCCAGAACATGGGCTGGGGACTGCTGCGCTCAGCCTCTCTCTGTCACCAGCACTGGTCCTTCCCTCATAGGCCTTTGTGACTCTGTGAATCTATAATTCCAGGAAATTTTATATTTAGTGTTCTCAAAGCGAGTGCAACCCGGTGCAATGCGTTTCTATATATATAACTTTTCCTAAGAAAATTATGATTCCATTCAAGAGCCAAAGAGTGCCAGATGGTTCCCAGCAATATGAAATGATAAGCACAGTGGTACTAAAATGAAAGGAAACCTCTCAATGACTTTCATTTCTTCCCTTCCCTTCCAGTCCTTAAGTATGATGGCTATCTAATTTTATGTAATAATTACAGCAAATATGTGATTTTTTTGTACTTTTTTTCAGCCTAGTATTTTTTAATATTGCTATGTTGCTTTCAAAATAATTATGTTAATGCTAGATACTTACACTCACGTTCCTGGGTTAACATTTACCCTGTTGCCAGACACAGATATAAAGGGATGTCATACTGCACGATCAGCCCCTGGAATCAGAAAACCTCAGCTTTGTTCTGCTTTTATTCCAACAGTGTGATCTGTGTATCTTAACCACTCTGAACATGTCTCTTCATCCATGAAGCAAGGGTCACAACCGCACCTACTTCCCAGGGACACGGTAAAATCAAAGGAAATGATACATGTGACAGCTGCTTGTGAACTGCAGAGCCAGACAAGTGGTAGTTATTAGTAGCTTGTTTCCCAGTTTTCCATGCTAAAAATAAAGATTAAAGTGAACATTTTCAAACACAGAGCATTCAACTCCCTTTAGATGCTTTGTCTAGGATAGATTCCAGAACCTAGGACTATTTGATCAAAAATAAAGAAATAAACATTTTTATGGTTCTTAGATCAGAATTGCTACCTGCTTTTCAAAGGGTTGAACCAACTTACATTGTAACTGGCTACATATGGATGTAGCACTTTGCCAAGACCTCACCAGCATAGCAAAATTTCGTTTTAAAACAGGTTGGCTAATTATATAAGTTGCCACCATTTGCGTTGTTTAACCACTGGTGAAGTCTGAACATTTTTCATATTTCCTTATGAAAAACAAGTGGGCATCAATATGTTTTAAGACCATTTTTAAAATAACACTAATTTCCCAAGGTAGGGAGAAAAAGACCATATCATGTAGAGAAACCAACTTGAGCTTTAAAATGACACTTAAGTACAAAAATGTTTGCAGTACTCTATAGCCAATGAGCTCTCCAAAACCAAGAAACCAAGTTCCCACTTTTGTCCTGAGATATATCTGGCCACAATGATTTATCCATATCTGGGGCCCAATCCTGCCTCTTTGGTCCTTTTCTGTAGTGTGGATATTAGCTTGTGAAGGCAAGCAACAGAGTTGGGGACTGACAGTTTCCTGGGGAAAAACGGAGGCTTAGGGGGCTAGACTTCAACTAATGGACTAGTCGACAAATATTTATTGGGTGTTATTAAGCACTTACTAAAGCATGGCTTCTACTCTCAAAGAAATAGTAAGATGAAAGGGTTAACAACAGGAAACCATCGTAGAACACAGAACATACTTGAAAACCTGGTGATGATGCCCCCTAGCACCCTGGCAGTCAGGAAATGGAGAAAACATGTCGCCTGGAGTGAGCTGGAAAATCTTCAGAGAACAGGTAAAAATTGCTCTGCCGGCCGGGCGCAGTGGCTCACGCCTGTAATCCCAGCACTTTGGGAGGCCGAGGCGGGCGGATCACGAAGTCAGGAGATCGAGACCATCCTGCCTAACACAGTGAAACCCCGTCTCTACTAAAAATACAAAAAAATTAGCCGGGCGTGCTGGCGGGCGCCTGTAGTCCCAGCTACTGGGAAAGCTGAGGCAGGAGAATGGTGTGAACCCGGGAGGCGGAGCTTGCAGTGAGCCGAGATCGCGCCACTGCACTCCAGCCTCGGCGACAGAGAAAGACTCTGTCTCAAAAAAAAAAGACAAGAAAAGAAAAAGGAAAAAAAAGAAATAAGAATTGGGCACTTCATTCCCAGGGGAATTACCAGAACCCACCTAAGCTAGACAGGAAAAGAAATGAAAGTAGAGGTTATCTGTAGTTCATGATGAACTTGCTGTTTCCCTCATTATCACTTGTACTTTCCTCTTGTTTATGTACCTAGGATGACTCCTTTGTCCAACGCTTCACCAAATCCAGCACCATGGACTCAGTCAGATTCCATAGGCGAAGAACAGAAGCTCATGTTAGCAAAGCTTCCTTGTGTGGTATTCTGATTTGATGATCTTTTTTTTTTTTGGAAACATACTATCAAGAGATCCTGTTGGCCATGCAAGGTGGCTCACGCCTGTAATCCCACCACTTTGGGAGGCCGAGGTGGGAGAATCCCTTGACACCAGGAGTTTGAGACCAGCCTGATGAACGTAGCAAGACCCTCATCAGTACAAAATATTTAAAAATTAACTGAGTGTGGTGGCATGCAACTTGTAGTCCCAGCTAGTCAGGAGGCCGAGGTGGGAGGATCACCTGAGCCGAGGAGTTAGAGGCCGCAGCTGAGCTATGATTGCACCACTGCATTCCAGTCTGAGTGACACAGCAAGACCCCATCTCCACAAAACAAACCTCAGAAAGCTTAGAATTAAAATGAAGAAGGTGATTGGGATAAAAAAAATTCATGATGGAGTAAGATAATAAATACAAACCTAAATATACCATAATAATATTAATGGCTCAAATTCCCACAGTAAAAACAGATTAGATTTAAAAATCAGTTATATTTGGCTGGGCGCAGTGGCTCATGCCTGTAATCCCAGCACTTTGGGAGGCCAAGGCAGGTAGATCACCTGAAGTCAGGAGTTCGAGACCATCCTGACCAACATGGAGAAACCCTGTCTCTACTAAAAATACAAAATTAGCCAGGCGTGGTGCCACATGCCTGTAATCCCAGCTACTTGGGAGCCTGAGGCAGGAGAAGAGCTTGAACCTGGGAGGCAGAGGTTGCGAAACTCCATCAAAAAAAAAAAAAAGGCCGGGCGCGGTGGCTCACGCCTGTGGTCCCAGCACTTTGGGAGGCTGAGGCAGGCAGATCATGCGGTCAGGAGATCGAAACCAGCCTGGCCAACATGGTGAAACCCAGTCTCTACTAAAAATACTAAAAAAAATGCTGGGGGTGGTGGTGGGCTCCTGTAATCCCGGCTACTCAGGAGGCTGAGGCAGGAGAATCGCTTGAACCCAGGAGGCGGAGGTTGCAGTGAGCCAAGATCGTCCCACTGCACTCCAGCCTGGGGGAAAGTGCGAGACTCTGTCTCAAAAAGAAAAAAAATCAGTTACATTCTATTTATAAAAGATAATCCAAAACATATGGAGGACAAGGGAATAAAGTGATGAATAAAGATATACCAGACAAATAGGAACCAAAAAAAAAATCTAGGATCGCCACATCAATTTTAGACAAAATAACAATAAAGAGGGTAACTAACATTCTGATTATCTAGAAAAGAGAGTAACTAACATTCTGTTGTTTAGAACAACAATTCTAGAGTAGAGGGCATCATATAAAATAGCGTCAAGGAGGAATAAGTTCCAGTGTTCTATACCATTGTAGGATGACTGTAGTCAAAAATAATATGTGGTTTCAAACAGCTAGAAGGAGGATATCAAATGTCCCCCATACAAACGAATGATAAATGTTTGAAATGATGGATATGCTAATTCTTGTTATTCTGATCACTATACTTTATATGTACCAAAACATCACTATGTGCCCCATAAATGTGTACAATTATTACATGTCAACTTAAATATATATAAAGCAATAATTCTAAAACAAGAGATTCTAAAATTAAATGGAAACATAGTGGGCTAAGAGTAGCTAAGGCAATCTTGAAGAACACTTCGGAGCTATTAAAATTTATAAAAGACCTATCATAAAACTCTAGTGGCCAAGACAGTAAGGTATCGGTACAAGAATGAAAAAAAACAATAGAACAGAATGGTGAGTTGAGAAACAGACCCACATATATACAGTCATCCAATTCATAAGAAATTGACAATCAGACAATTAAATTTGTTTAAAATCTTGACCCCTGACTCACACCAAAGATGAAAATCAATTCCAGACAGATCATAGATTAAATGTATTGGGTTAAACCATATGAAACTCCTATTTTTTATGTTGACTATTAGTAATTTCATATGGTTTAACTTAATAAAACAGTAAAACTTTTGTGATAGAGCATGGGAAAATATTTTCATGAAACTGAAGTAGCCAAAGGTCTATTTAACCAACACAAAAAATGTGATAATCATAGAGAAAAAATAAGTAAATTAAAACACATTAATATTAAAAACTTTCGGCCAGGCGCAGCAGCTCATGCCTGTAATCCCAGCACTTTGGGAGGCCAAGGGAGGTGGATCACCTGAGGTCGGGAGTTTGAGACCATCCTGACCAACATGGAAAAACTCCATCTCTACTAAAAACACAAAATTAGCCGAGCATGATGGCGCACGCCTGTAATCCTAGCTACTCAGGAGGCTGAGGCAGGAGAATCACTTGAACCTGGGAGGCAGAGTTTGTGGTGAGCTGAGATCACTCCATTGCACTCCACCCCAGGCAACAAGAGTGAAACTCTGTCTCAAAAAATAAAAAAGATTAAAAACTTTTGTTCATCAAAAGACAGTGTTAAGAGTGAAAAGTTAAGCCACAGAGTGGGAGAATATATTTAAAATACATGTATTCAACAAAGGACTCATTCAGATTATATAACGAACTCCTACAAAGCGATTTGTATTAAATGTCAGACAACCCAAAAGAAAAAAATGGGCAGAATTATGAGCAATTATGTCACCACACAAAGAAGATAGCCTTCAAATAGTTATCAAGAAAATGTCACCTAGGACCACAATTGTGTACACAAGAATGACTAAAGGGAAGAAGACACTATCAAGTGTGGGCAAGAGTGAGGAACAACGGGGACCCTCATATACTACTGGTCGGGGTGTAAAATGGCCCACCCACCTTAGAAAACTGTCAGGCGACATCTACTAAAGCAGAAACATATGTGTAGTCTGTGACCCAGCAATTTCAATCTTGGATGTATACTCAACAGAAATGTATATACATGTTCACCAAAACACATTTAGGAGAATGTTCATGGCTTCACTATTTATAATAGTAAAAGAACTGGATACAACCCACATGCCCATCTATAGTAGAATGGGACTAGGTACAGTGGCTCACGCCTATAATCCCAGCACTTTAGGAGGCCAAGGCAGAAGGATCGCTTGAGCCCAGGAGTTCAAGATTAGCCTGGGCAACATAGTGAGATCCCACTCTACAAAATAATTTTTTTTTAAAGATGAAAAATTAGCTGGGCATGTTGGCATATTCTTGTAGTCCCAGCTACTCAGGAGGTTGAGGTGGTAGGAACCCTTAAGCCCAGAAGTTGGAGGATACAGTGAACCATGATTGTGCCACTGCACTCTAGCCTGGGTGACAGACCAAGATCCTGTCTCAAACATTAAAAAAAATAAAATTAAAATAGTAGAATGGGTAAATAAATTGTGTAATATCCACACTTAGAATAATATTCAACAGTCAGTGAGAGCGAATCATCTGTAACTGTCTAAGACTACTCAGGCCCTATAACAAAACATCACCTATTGGATGACTTATAAAAACAGACATTTATTCCTCATGGTTCTAAAGGCTGGAAGTTCAAGATCAAGGTGCCAGCAGATTTGATGTCTGGTGAGGGGCACTTTCTGGTTCATAGATGGTGCCTTCTTGCTGTGTCCTCACATGATGGAAGAGAGAAAACGCTGGTCTCTCAGCTTCTTCTAAGGGCACTAAGTCCCATTCCTGAAGGCTCTACCCTTATGACGTAATCGCCTTCCAAAGGCCCTGCTTTCTAATACCATCGTCTCAAGAGTTAGAATTTCAACCTGTGAATTTTCAGACCAAAGCAAGAATATAAAGCACTCAAAAACAACCTCAGATATATATATAGAGAGAGAAAGAGAGACATTTTATATTTGCATATCAATAAATAGAACTGGGAAAATTAGTTTTTCATATAAAAAGTTATACCTAAATCATGCCATACTCAAAATTAATTATAGATAGATTTAAAACTCCAATGTGAAAAGGAAAGCTTTAAAACTTTGGGAAGAAAATATCAAAAATATCTTTATAAATTCAGAATAGTGAAGGACTCTGGGGCCAGGCTATCTGGGTTCCAGTCTCAGCTCTATGACTTACTAGCTGTGTGAGCTTGGACAGTTTCTCCCTACTCTTTACTTTCCACGTATGAAAAATAAGGAGAATAATGGCACCTTCTCACAGGGTCATTGAGAGGATTAAATGAATAATATGCATAAACTGTTTAAAATACTGACTGACACTTATTAAGTGCTATATGGGTTTTTGTTGTTTTATGAGTAGTACTGGTAGTTGTTATAAGGGACAGATACTTTCCAGTTGGAAGATATATGTTTTTAAAAGTTCAGAAAGTCTAGTAATTAAGGGAAGAAATGGATAATCAATATTGAAAGATAGCAAAAAAGAAAAATATAATAAAGAAAGGACAAATTAAGAATTTGTGAGCCCCTCATGTAAAAAACCAGACTAATGTAAATAAGCTGAATTACTCTATTAATCATTTAATCTGTGTATGTCTCCCCCACTGACCCCCAAGCTGTCCCTAACCAAGAATACCATGGGATTGTGTTCTTGTCTGCTTTCTTCCTGCTGTACTTCCACATTCTGAAATGCATTCCACAGGCAGGTGCATCTTGGGTTTCCAATAAAAATCAACCGACCAAGGGGGCGGAATCTCCAGGCTTGAACCCTCAAATACAGACAGGATTATGTGTTCTTTTTCTATTGGGAGGCATAGTTTTCTGGTAGGATACTGGCAAATCAGAAACAGCAAAACAGAGTCTTCTCAGGAGTTCAATAGACTTTGCAGCAAGACTCTTTTATATGCTCAAAATTTAAAATCATTCATGCACTTCTTCATTTTTAAAAAATAGTCTTTTAAGTTTATAGTATTTTCTTATGTTTTTCCAATATTGAAAAACTGCAATGTACAGTATTCTTATTCTCCTGCCAAAACAAATAGCATATTATTGCAGCTGTAACATTTTATGTCTTTGCCACAATAACTGTGGTTTTCCGCAGTAATTTTGCTATTATGCTATGATTTTTATTAGAAAATGTATTACTGCCATCTTAATTTTCTTAGCCAGTTTAACACATTTATGGCTTTTCTGCTTTGGCAAAGTGGTATTTCAAATACTGAAGAATAACTTTTTTAAATTCTATAAATCCTGGATGAAATTTAAACCATAAATTTCATTTCTGAATAATCAAATCAGAACATTACTGCAACTGTGTCATCGCCTAAAGCCAGTAATATTCCATGAGTTTGTAATAACATTATTTTGAGCAAGTCACACAAGGGGTAGTTTAGTGATCTGAAATGTCCAGGGTTTGCTATTTTTTCCCCAATAGTCCTTTTTTTTTTTTCTAAGATGGAGTCTCACTCTGTTTCCCAGGCTGAAGTGCAGTGGCATGATCTCAGCTCACTGCAAACTTCGCCTCCCGGGTTCAAGCTATTCTCCTGCCTCAGCCTCCCAAGTAGCTGGGATTACAGGCTCCTGCCACCACACGCAGCTAATTTATGTATTTTTAGTAGAAGACGGGTTTTCACCATGTTGACCAGGCTGGTCTTGAACTCCTGACCTCATGATCTGCCCTCCTCAGCCTCCCAAAGTGCTGGGAGGCGCAAAGTGCAGGCGTGAGCCACCATGCCCAGCCTCTTCCCCAATATTCTTGAAGAGATTTATAACAACACCGAATCTCAGATTTGATGGCTACCTGTTGAGAGAAATCAAGGAATGAGGAAGAATTTGAATGAGGAATGCAGGTGGCCTTTCTCGCCATCCTTTTGCCTAGTGGCCCCCTTTTTCACCAAGACAAGAGGCTGGTTTTTGTTTCTGGTTTTATCACATCAGACTCTGGCTCATAGCAAAAGCAGTCAGTCTCCTGTTGCTGCTTCATGGATAGCGCCTCTAACAGGCATTAATTTTTTGTTGTTGTCGTTATGGAGGAGTGTCAGCATACACTCTAATAGAACAGTCTGGAAAGACAAGTGTTGTTGGTAAACCCTAGGGACGTGAGAATCAAGTGTCACCAGTAGGTGGAGGACTTGATCAGAAATACACATGCCTTGGGGCCTATACGGAGTTGCCTGCTCAGCTATGGTTTGAAGCAGAATCTGAGGGGATGCTCATGGTCCAGTTTGGCAAATATCAGGGTGTGGTTATTTAGATGAGGCACAAGACTAACTGGAAGTGTGGGACATAAGTGAAAGATGGCACCAGGAGGTTGAAACTGTCCCTTAAACTGAGTCCTACAGGCACCCTCCCTTGGGTGACGGAGCCCCAGTTATTCCTGTGCACCCTCATAGTCTTCTGAGCCAGGGCCCTCTCCCCAGCTAGGTGGCTGATGCCCCAGAACACACCGTATGTGAAACTGTCAGTGGATTCCAGGCACCCGTCCTTTAGTAGGCAGCTAGCAGATCCCCAGCTTAGCAGAAGGCACAGGTTTGGTGGAGACTCAGAAACTAAGCCCAGCAAGTTCCCTCATCAGTGGCTCTCCACCTGGATACATAAACAACTTTTACAATGGTTGTTTAAATAACAGAGCTAGTTCGTCGCCCAGATCTCCTGTGTGTCCTCTCCGTCTTTTTTTTTTTTTTTTTTTTTTTTTGAGACGGAGTCTCGCTCTGTTGCCCAGACTGGAGTGCAGTGGCACGATCTCGGCTCACTGCAAGCTCCGCCTCCCGGGTTCACGCCATTCTCCTGCCTCAGCCTCCCGAGTAGCTGGGACTATAGGCGCCCACCACCATGCCCAGCTAATTTTTTGTATTTTTATTAGAGACAGGGTTTCACCGTGTTAGTCAGGATGGTCTCGATCTCCTGACCTCGTGATCCGCCCGCCTCGGCCTCCCAAAGTGTTGGGATTACAGGCGTGAGCCACCGCGCCCAGCCTCCTCTCCCTCTTAGACATATATTTTGCACACTGAGCTATTTGCACAATCAGGATTAACAAGCAAATAGCTGATGGAGGAAGGGTGAATTGGCTCTCTCTGCTTCAGCTGGGACATCCGTCTTCTTCTGCCCTTGGACATCAGCTCTCCAGCTTCTCGGGTCTTTGGGCTCAGACTTAGACTCACATCATTGGTTCCTCTGGGTCTCAGGCTTTTGGGCTGGGACTGAAACTATACCACTGGCTTTCCTGGACCTTCAACTTCCAAATGGCAGATGGAGGGACTTCTCAGCCTCCACAATTATGTGAGCTAATCCCTCATAATAAATCCCTTTCTTTACATCTATATATAGCCTATCAGTTCTGTTTATCTAATACATTTCCTTTCTGATTTCTTCAATTACTTCTTCTTTACAGCTTTAATGAGACATAATTCAAATACTACACAATTCACCCATGTAAAGTGCAAACTTCGTTGGTTTTAGTGTATTCACAGAATTGTGTAACCATCACCACAATCAATTTTAGAAGCTTTTCATCACCCCAAAAATAAACCCATGCCCATTAGCAGTCATTCCCCATTTCATCTCACCTCCAGCCCTAGGAAATCACCAATCTATTTTCTGTCTCTATGGATTTTCCTATTCTGGACATTTCATATAAATGAAATCATACCATATGTGGTGCTTTCACACTGGCATTTTGCACTTAGATAATGTTTCAAGGTTTATCCATGTGGCAGTATGTATCAGTACATCATTCTTTTTCGGTGCTGAATAATATTCCATTGTGTGGATATACCACATTTTATTTATCTATTCATCAGTTGATGGACATGGGTTGTCACCACTTTGGGGTATGATGAATAATGTTGCTATGAACATTCATGTACAAGTTTTTGTGTGAACATGTATTTCACTTCTCTTGGGTACATACCTCCCAGTGGAATTGCCTGGTCATATGGTAACTCTATCTTTAACCTTTCAAGGAACTGTCAGACTGTTTTCCGAGGTGGCTGCACCATCTATGACAGGCTGAGCATCCCTAATCTTAAAATTTCACATCCAAAATACTCCAAAATCTGAAAATTTTAAGCACCAACATGATGCCACAAGTGGAAGATTTCTCACCTGACCTCGTGTGATGGGTCGCAGTCAAAATGCAGGTGCACAATGCTGAAGATAACATAGTTAACACTGCAGAAAAATTGCCTCTAGACGACATAATGAAAACGTGTGATGGGCTCATTGAAGGACTAGAGCACCACGCATTCATAACAGAACAATAAATCATATCAGGTTTATAAAGTCAAAGAGAGACTTCTAAGACAAGAACAATTTACGCTTGACATTTATGCTTTAACGAGGCAGTTGATTCTGGAGGAAACATCTTTAAAAGCCATCCATCAGAATGCCTCCTGAGCCCCAGAGGACCCACTTCCTGGTCTCTCAATTGCTTCTGAAGTTTCTTCTCATCTAAAAAAATAAAATACAGTGCACAGTAACCTTTTCATCAAAACACAGCATCGTAGGTGGAGCCTGAAAACCTGCTGTTGTTTGTTGCTACTGCTGTTAAGCAGCTGATTCAGCTATTCCAGGGATGCTACTGAGCAGCTTGGTTGCCCTGAACACATTATGTTTTCACTGCATTGATGGCATTCCATGTTTTATTTATTTACTTTTTATTATACTTTAAGTTCTAGGGTACATGTGCACAACTTGCAGGTTTGGTACATAGGTATACATGTGCCATGTTGGTTTTCTACACCCATCAAGTCATCATTTACATTAGGTATTTCTCCTAATGCTATCCCTCCCCCAACCCCCCACCCCCTGACAGGCCCCAGTGTGTGATGTTCCCCACCCTGTGTCCAAGTGATCTCATTGTTCAGTTCCCATCTATGAGTGAGAACATGCAGTGTATGGTTTTCTGTCCTTGCGATAGTTTGCTCAGAATGATGGTTTCTAGCTTCATCCATGTCCCTGCAAAGGGCATGAACTCATCCTTTTTTATGGCTGCATAGTATTCCACGGTGTATATGTGCCACATTTTCTTAATCCAGTCTATCACTGATGGACATTCGGGTTGGTTCCAAGTCTTTGCTATTGTGAATAGTGCCACAATAAACATACGTGTGCATGTGTCTTTATAGTAGCATGATTTACAATCCTTTGGGTATATACCCAGTAATGGGATTGCTGGGTCAAATGATAATTCTAGTTCTAGATCCTCTAGGAATCACCACACTGTCTTCCACAATGGTTGAACTAATTTACACTCCCACCGACAGTGTAAAAGCTTTCCTATTTCTCCACATCCTCTCCAGCATCTGTTGTTTCCTGACTTTTTAATGATTGCATTTCTAACTGGTGTGATATGGTATCCCATTGTGGTTTTGATTTGCATTTCTCTGATGACCAGTGATGATGAGCACATCATCATGTGTCTGCTGGCTGCATAAATGTCTTCTTTTGAGAAGTGTCTGTTCATATCCTTTGCCCACTTTTTGATGTGGTTGCTTGTTTTTTTATTGTAAATTTTTTTGAGTTCTTTGTAGATTCTGGATATTAGCCCTTTGTCAGATGGGTAGATTGCAAAATTTTCTCCCATTCTGTAGGTTGCCTGTTCAGTCTCATGGTAGTTTCTTTTGCTGTGCAGAAGCTCTTTGTTTAATTAGGTCCCATTTGTCTATTTTGGCTTTTGTTGCCATTGCTTTCAGTGTTTTAGTCATGAAGTCCTTGCCCATGTGGTCCTGAATGGTACTGGATGGCATGCCATATTTTCTACTGATCAGTACTCATGCAAATAAGTGTAAGAAAATGATTTTTATTTATTTATTTATTTATTTATTTATTTATTTTTAAGACAGAGTCTCGCTCTGTCGCCCAGGCTGGAGTGCAGTGGCATGATCTTGGCTCACTGCAACCTCCACCTCCTGGGTTCAAGTGATTCTCCTGCCTCAACCTCCCAAGTAGCTGGGATTATAGGCCCGTGCCACCACGCCTGGCTAATTTTTTGTATTTTTAGTAGAGATGGGGTTTTACCATGTTAGCCAGGATGGTCTTGATCTCCTGACCTCATGATCTGCCCTCCTCAGCCTCCCAAAGTGCTGGGATTACAGGCGTGAGCCACCGCACCTGGCCAAAAATGATTTTTATCACTAGCATATATATTCAGAGTCTGGAATAACAGTGATACCAAACAGCAATGCCCACACGGGTGGCTGAGATAGTGACACTTGCTTTCAGATGGTTCAATGTATACAAACTGTGTTTCATGCAAAACATTATTTTAAATATTGTATAAAATAACTTTCAGGCTATGTGTATCAGGTGTATTTGAAACATAAATAAATGTCCTGTTTAGATTTGGGCCCCATCCCCTTATATCTCTCATTATGTACATGCAAATATTTCAAAATCCAAAGAGCATCTGAAATCCAAAACACTTCTGGTCCCAAATATTTTGGATAAGGGAAACTTAACCTGTACTTCTTATCTTAAAAGTTTATTTACTATTCAATTAATTTTTACCTCATTTTCCTATGATTTTATTTTTAAGAATTTATTAATCCCATATAGACTTCATTCCATATATAGTGACAATCTATATTTGCATTTTCCTCCAAATTCATAGCCAGTGATTCCAAATTATTGCTGAGTAATCCTTAATCTCCTCAGTAATATATATTTTCTTCTTTTATATATCAATTCAAAACAACATTTTTCAGACACAGGGTCTCACTGTGTTGTTCAGGCTGGCCTCGAGCTCTTGGGCTCCAGTGATTATCCCAAATAGCTGAGACTACAGGTGTGCACCGCCACCTGTGGTTACAGTCTGTCTCTGTTCATGTCAGTACTGCACTATTTCAGTGACTGCCATTTTGATTTTTGTGTTTTGGTGGGTTTTTTTTGTTTTGTTTTTTGTTTTTTGTTTTTTTTGACAGAGCCTTGCTCTATTGCCCAGGCTGCAGTTCAGTGGTGGATCTCAGCTCATTGCCACCTCCAACTCCTGGTTCAAGGATTCTAGTGCCTCAGCCTCCCAAATGGCTGCGGTACCAGGTGCATGCCACCACACCAAGCCAATTTTTGAATTTTTAGTAGAGACAGGGTTTTGCCATGTTGGCCAGGTTGGTCTTGAACTCCTGGTCTCAAGTGATCCACCCACATCAACCTACCAAAGTATCATTTTGTTTTAATAAGTCAAATGACTAATCCCCCCTTATTATTCTTCATATTTTGAATATTTTCTTTATTATCTCATTGAACTTCAGAATACTTGTATCAACTCCTTCGATATTTGTATCAATTTCCATTGGATTTTTAAAATCACTATTGAATTAGCTCTCTAAATTAAGTTGAGAGAAGTTGTTATTTATTGCTGGCTGGGCACAGTGGCTCGCACCTGAAATCCCAGCACTTTGGAAGGCTGAGGCAGGCTGATTGCTTGAGCTCAGGAGTCTGAGACCACTATGGGTAACATAGCAAAACTCTGCTTCTACAAAAAAAGTATAAAAATTAGCTGAGCATGGTGGTGCATGCCTGTGGGTCCAGCTACTTGGAAGGCTGAAATGGGAGGATTGCTTGAGCCTAGGAGGTCGAGGCTACACTGAGCGGAGATCGCACCACTGCACTCCAGCCTGGGTGACAGAGCGAGACCCTGTCTCAAAAAAGAATAAGTTATTATTTCTATAATTTTAATTATTACACATTGAAATGTGCTTTTTCTGCAGGAGAAATTTCAAACTACAATTTCCAGTATTTGATGATTTGTTGGCTCTTGGATTAAAGAAGGAAGAGTCAAAATGTTTCTAAGGCTTGGGGTCTGAGAGACTTTGGGACTCAGAAAAGCTTCACAGGAGCCAAAAGAGCATTGCTAAGTGTTATCAGAAAGAAGAGGGAAGATTTTTCAGTGTTACTCTTAAGGGCGGAAAAACAGCCAATGTCTCAAAATTCCCAGGAGACAGATTTAGCCATACATAAGAAATTATTTTACATAATAGAGCTCTCCAAAAATGAAAAAAATGCTGCTGTGTGAGGAGGCAAGCCTTTCATCTCTGGAAGCATTCAAACTGAGGATAGATTACAAGTAAGTGTCAATAAGACAGCCCTCTTATTTCTAATAGTCTGTGTTGAGTTTATTCTCCAAGCGGGGGTGACCTTCATATAACTGAAACAAGTGACTAGAACTCATGAAGAAGAGCAGGGTTAAGGACAACACTTTAGGTGCTGCTCAAGAAAAGAAAAATAGGCCAGGTGCCATGGCTCACACCTGTAATCCCAGCACTTTGGGAGGCCGAGGCGGGTGGATCACTTTGAGGTCAGGAGTTCAAGACCAGCCTGGCCAACATGGCAAAAACCCGTCTCTACTAAAAATACAAAAATTAGCTGGGTGTGGTGGTGCTTGCCTGGAATCCCAGCTACTCGGGAGGCTGAGGCAGGAGAATCGCTTGAACCTGGAAAGTGGAGGTTGCAGTGAGCTGAGATGGTGCCACTGCACTCCAGTCTGAGCGACAGAAGGAGACTCCACCTCAAAAAAAAAAAAAGAGAGAGAGAAAGAAGAGCCCAAAGGGGAGAGAGAGAGAGAGAGAGATAGAAAGGATGTGACCAGTAAAATAATATTATAAGCACCAGGAAAAAGTTATAGAATCATGCATGACAGTGGAAGACCAAGGAAAGGTTGGCTAATAGTCAGGTGCCACAAATAAGAGAAGTACAGTAAGGCCAAGCAAGTTGTGAGAGGACTTGGAGAGTGAAGTTCCAGTAGATCTGTGCAACAGTGAAATGACACCTAAGTGGCACTACAGAGTCAAGTGACACTTTCTGCATTTCAGAATGAGGAGGCCTTGCACATCTGAAGTCCAAAGAACAGACAGCAGGGATTAAGAGATAGAAAGTACAGGATATTCCTGATATTTATGCTTTAATCTCTATGGTTCTTACCATTTGTCATCAACCTCTATGGGCCAAACCATGTTGTAATTTCTAAATTTTGCCAAGGCACACACTGGAATCACATCCGCTGAGGAACTGCCGCACAAGAGTGAGTCACTTATTTGGAGAGCATGCCTCGCTAGCTGCCCAACATCTGTATCATATCATGCCTTTGTTATTCTCTGCTAATCGTATGTGCTGTAACTATCATGAAGTGAGAGGGACTCCGCTGCTTTGTAGATTCAGATAAGCCCATGGGTAATGTCGCCACTAAGATGATGTATGATGACTACTTTAGTTCTTTAAAAACCATCTAAGGGACTGAAGATATCACTTCGATGCTTCAGGTATTCTTCCCATCATTTTATGGAGGTAATTCCATATGAGGGGTACTCTGAAAAGAGGGATTTTCGAAGCTCTAAGGATACATTTCTTAAAACTATCAAGATCAAGATTCTACTTATTGGAAGAGATGAGGCCATCACTAGAGAAGAAACGCAGGAGTTGGGAAGGGCTGCTTTTAGCTCACAGGTAGAAGAATTTATTTTAGAATCTGGAAAGAAGAAAGAATGTGGCTTAGCCTGATTTTCCCAGAGAGTAGAACATCAGAAAAGCATATATATACATATATGCAAGCACTGTATTGGGAACTGCTATCCCTAGAAGCAAGAGTGAGGGAGAGGGAAGCGGTGAGGGGCAGCGCAAGGTAAGTTACTGCTTGATTCTGTGAACCACCTGAGAAGCCACAAGGCACGCATCTCAGGACTGTCTGCCTGGATTGAGAAAGGAGGAATCCCCCATTGGTCAAAGGATCACTCCATGGAGGCATTAAGTCCCCGGAACTTCAGGTTGCATTCATGAGACTACTAAGGAGTGTTTGCAGTGTCTGTCCCAGGCTGCAGAGATGACAGAGAAGGCTTCGGATGGGAGGTGAGAGGTGCTTGCAAGTTAGTTCTACATGCAGCTGGTCAGGCTCATGGCAGAACTGTCACTACAGTGGCGGCTGGAATCAAAGACAGGTGTGGCTGAAAGGAGCTGAGGCAGTGCTTACGAGGTGTCTGATCCAAGATGTTCATGTTCTAAGGAGTATATAGGTGTGAGCAGGATGGTAAGAAAGCCCTGGTACGATTCCTGGCTCCTCTCAGATGCAAGGCCTTCTCACGAGGCCAGGGATGCTGTGACAGCAGTGAGTATCTGACACAAGTGGAGAAGAGTTATTGCAGCCACTGGGCCAGAACCGCTGGAAGACTTCCGGGATCACATCAGGGGTTCTCAGGAAACCAAGCATTAGGAATTCTTAGTTCTCTGCATTTTCTCCATGAGTGCCTGTACCCTAAAGTGGATGCTGAGGAAGCAGACCATGAGAGGACCCAGAGTGGACTTTGCAGAGGGCAAAGGTCATAGGTAGGGGTCACCTCGGTAGGGGTCAGGGCAGTGTGGATGCAGCAGGGCAGGGAGCTGAGGGTGGATGGAAGAGGTAAAGCCAGAGGCGCTGATATCTAGAGACACTGTGAGGATGGAGCAGGGAGAAGGAACACACATAGAGCCCTGCACAAGCTCTGGGGCCCAGCAAGGCCATGAGGTGAGGACATGAGTGCTGACGGCCTGCAGTGAGCTGAGAATACAGATGTTAAAGTTGCCAAAGAAGGAAGGGGAAGGGAAGTTGGGAAGGAAAGAGAGACCCTGAGATGACTCCTGCCCCAGATGGAAGAAACACTTATAGAAGACACTGGTAGTGATTTGGAGGCAGTTAAGTAGGGGGTGGTAGAGAATCCAGATGAGAATCCATGAAGAGAGGGTGTCAGAAACAGTGGAATTTGAGGCCTTGTGGTAAAAGATTTTTTTTTTCTTTTTCAGAGACAGGGTCGTGCTCTGTTGCCCAGGCTGGAGTGCAATGGCGCGATCTTGGCTCACTGCAGCCTCAAACTCCTGGGCTCAAGAGATCCTCCCACCTCAGCCTCCTGAGTAGCTGGGACTATAGGTGGGCACCTCTACACCTGGCTAATTTTTTATTTTTTGCAGAAACAGGGTCTCACTATGTTGCTCAGGCTCGTCTCAAACTCCTATCTTCAAGTGCTCCTCCCATCTCAGCCTCCCAAAGTGCTGGGATTACAGATGTGAGCTACCATGCCAGGCCCAAGGTAAAAGATTTTAAGGAACACGTTAGTGAACAATCAAGCAAGATTTGCTTCACTGCAGACTTACACCAGACATTATTTCCAGAAGATCAGTTGTAGAGGGGGGTGTGGATTTTCACTTTTGCTTAATACATTGGATATTATCTGAATGTGCTATCAGAAAAACTGCATTGCTTTTATGATAAAAAATAAAACGGAGAAAGAAAACAAAATTGGTCAAGGACAAAGCTAGAATTCCATCTCATTGTGAACAAACACTTGTCCACCACCCGTTGGCTCCACAGCTGAACAAAACAGGCAGTCTGAGGTGTGGTTTTATTAACCTTCCCAATACTCATTGCTGCTAAATCAACTTAAACTATGTGACCGGTTAACACAAAGAGCCAGTGGAAGTAAATGCTTTAAAAAGACAGGGAGATATAAAACCTGGGGTAAATGTTTAACATGCCATACACAGGGCCCCAGCCACATTCCATCAGCAGCTGCATGTTTGGCCTTCAAGTTTCCAGGGAAGTACCTGGCTCTTCACACTCTTTGCCTTCAGCCAGGAACCCCACTAAGCAAGAGGTCCTGGAAGGCATCCGAGTCATAAATAGAGAAAGTCACAAAGAGTAATCAATATAGTAGCTACCATTACTGGCTGCCTTATTTGTGCTCAGTTTACACTAAATACCTTATGCTGTTTATCTTAGTCATTAAAATAAAGAAGTAGAAGAGACAGTACCAGCAAACTTCCACTTACCTTGTATAGTAGGCCATTCTCGCCTTGCTATAAAGAAATACCTGAGACCGGGTAATTTATAAAGAAAAGAGGTTTAATTGTCTCATGGTTGTGTGGGCTGTACAGGAAGCATAGCAGCATCTGCTTGGCTTCTGAAGAGGCCTCAGGAAACTTACAATCGTGGAGAAGGTGAATGGGGAGCAGGTGTGTCCCATGGGGAAAGCAGGAGTAGGTGTGGGGAAGTGCCACACACTTTTAAACAACCAGATCTCATGAGAACTCACTATCGTGAGGACAGCATCAAGCATTCATGAGAAATCCACCCTCATGATCCAATCATCTCCCACCAGGCCCCACCTCCAACATTGGGGATTACAATTCCACATGATATTTGGGCGGGGACATATATCCAAACTCTGTCACCTTGTATTGGACAGAATTAAGGCACTAGTATATAATTCAGGGTTCTTGGTTACAGGCAACAGAGTCTACTCTAGCTGGTTTAAACCAGGAATTTCTTCAGATATACAGATACTGCCTTGAGTCATTGGAAGGACTGAAGAAATGGATTCTAGACTGAACTCTGAAAGTCACCATAGAATTGAACCATCATGGGGAGCTACTACCTCATCCACAACCAGGAAGTTGCTGAATTAAGAGGCCACATTCTCCAACAGGAAGTTAGTGCCACAGTCCTCAGCTCTTGAGCCATGCCATATTGGCCACAACCAGTCAACAACTCAGTCAGAAGGCCACCCCCACAACAGACCATGCCATATCTGCTGAGACCCTGGCCAGCAAGAGATTCCCAGTACTCTCCTCTCTCTTCTCACTTAATTCATTCCCAAAGTCTCAGGATCCTCTCTCCACGTGACTTCATTCTGAATCAAGTATAAATAATAAAACTTAAATCCCATCTGAAACCTCAGCTTCAAGAGACTCTGTTGTGTTGAATAATAGAGATTTCCAGTCTCTACAGTAGAGGCAGGCAAGACAGAAAGATGTTGAAATAGAGGTTGAGTACGCCAAACCATTGGATTAGCCACAGTTGCTCTGGAAAGTTGGGGTATTCGGTGTATTGTTGGCCAGCCTTTCCCTCCCTCATCTTCAGGCATCCAGTGCACATATATTATCTCATTTTTTCCTCAGCTCTACCTTTCAACAAAGTATTATTATACCCACTTTATAGATAAGGAAACTGAGGCTTATAAAGTTTAAATAATGTGCAAGAAGGTAACAGACTCAAGGTTTGAACCAAGATCCACTTTGCTATTCTTACATGGTAGAATTCATATATGTGCTTTGCTGAAACTGATCACCCAACAATAGCAGCCTCTCTCTATTCTCAATTCCCTTTATTCTGGCTGTGATTCACTGGCTTTCCAAATGGCTGAATAGGCCTGGGACTCTTCCACCTCCAAACCTTTGCTCCAGCAATTTTCTTAATTACTTGAGTTCCTTTATCCTGTGGGCCACCGAGAAGCCATTTGTGCCAGGCTCTCTGGGTGCAGAAAGGAGGAAGGATATATCCATCAGCTTGGATCCGCAGTTCATCAAATAATCACTCCATGAGAGATCGTTGTCCTTTCCCCCACATCTGACCATGCAGATCTCAGCCATCCCTTAAGGCCTAGATCCAAAACTACCTCTCCCCAAGGACTTCACCAGTCTCCCTGGCAAAGGCCGACCTTCACTGGGATTCCCCTGCATTGTGTCTGTATCTCCCTTCAAACATTTCCCAGATGCAACTTACATAATTGCCCCTCCTATAGTATAACTTCCTTAAAGACAAGAACCATGACATTGATCTCTGTGCCCCTTAAATCTCCTGGCACAGTGCATGTGTGTGGTAAGGATTCAGTAGATGAATAATAAATAAATGAATGAATAAATTTCCCTACTGAGGTGCTCTCTTCTTTAACATATTGGAGAATCTGTATCTGGGTAATTACAAATCAATTGCTCCAGACTCCTAGTGCTTTTAATTAGCAAGATTTTTCTTTATCTCAGCAGTCCCCTTCTTGGCACTAGAGACCAGTTTCATGGAAGATAATTTTTCCACAGACAGGCAGGGGTAGGAGGTGGTTTGGGGATGATTCAAGCGATTACATTTATTGTGCACTTTGTATTATTATTGCATTATAATATATAATGAAATACTTATACCACTCACCATAATGTAGAATCAGTGAGAGCCCTGAGCTTGTTTTCTTGCAACTAGACTGTCCCATCTAGGGGTGATGGGAGACAGTGACAGATCATCAGGCATTAGATTCTCATATGGAGCATGCAACCTAGATCCCTCGCATACACAGTTCACAATAGTTCACAATAGAATAGCATTCTCAATTCAATCCTATGAGAATCTAATGCCACTGCTGATCTGACAGAAGGCAGAGCTCAGGTGGTAATGTGATTGATAGGGAGCGGCTGTAAATACAGATGAAGCTTCTTCTCTTGCTCACCCACTGCTCAACTCCTACTGTAGCATGGACTGGTACCAGTCCGTGGCCTGGAGATCGGGGACCCCTGCCTTATCTTTTTTTCCCATATTTAGTGAGACTTCATCAGTTGTTAAGGCCCAGGTATTTATCTTCCCTTAAAATACATATATTGAAACCTAATCCTTAATGTGATAGCATAGGAGGTGGAGATGTTGGAATGTGATTAGGTCATGAGGGTGGAGCCCTTATGAATGGGATTAGTGCCCTTGTAAGAAGCTGAAGAAACCACAGTTTCCCTTCCACCATGTAAGGACTCAGCTAGAAGGTGCCATCTATGAACCAGGAAGCAGACCCTCACCAGAAAACAAATCTGCCTTGATCTTGGCCTTCCCAGCCTACAGAAATAAATATGTTGTTTGTAAGTTACCCAACTAATGGTATTTTGTTATAGAAGCCCACATGGACTATCAGTTAATGTACATAGAATAATTGTTACCTATTTATTGGTTTTGTGGCTTCTAATATTTTTTTAAATGAATTTTAAAAAAGACAGAGAATAATGTCTATCTTTGGAGTTCAAATGAGTTTTTTTTCTTTGGAACAACTACGATAGGACACTTTATACAGTAGTGCAGGCATTTACCATAAGTAACAATTCATCAGACCAAAAAAGGTGGAATAAATCATGAAAGTAAAAGTATCAAGGAGTCTCCGTACTCTACATTTAATCCATTCAATTTCCTGCTAAAGTAGAATTTCTTCCATTTGTGTCAATCCTTTGGGATCAGCCTACAGCAACAGTCTCCTCAGTTTCTTCTAGAAACTTCCCAGTTTAGAACCCCAAAAGAGTGGTCAGCAGTCACCAAGGCAGGTTCTCTCCTGCGTGTAGTTAATGAGACTGGTAGGCCAGCAGCTTCCTCCTGGTTGCCATGGAAATGACCAGGCTGCTGGCCCTCCGAAGACGGAAAAGAACAGCAAGTGCAAGACCACGCATTCCACCCTGGCTTGCAGATTAAACCAGCTGTCAAGCCAGGGTGAAGGATCCGTGGCCAGGCAGAGGTCTGTGGAGTGGAGAGGCGAGGCCTCACGGTGGAACTCTCAGATGTAAGTAATTTCTGTGTTCTTCTTTTTTAAAAAGCATGTCTAGTCTGACAGTTTTTCAGAGCTTCAGAATTTCTGCTGCATGGCAGGAACTGTGACGGTTGGAAGAACCATTGTCAGGGTCACCTTCTTGTTGCATTTGCATTTCCTGAACATAATGTACATGTATGAGTGGCTTTCACTATGAAACACTTTTTTAGGCTTCCAGGCATATGAATTCCTCTTTACTGAGATTCTGCCTTTAAAATGAAAGATTTTCAGTGCATTAAGCAAAGAATGACATGGTCTTCTCATTTAAACCCTAAAAAGATAAACTCACTTAAAGCTAATATAACAGATAGCTCCTTGAAATCTTGTCTCTATTTTAAAACATCTGGCTAGACTTTTCCATTAGTCTTCAATGCTAAATAACAATTAAGGAAAAGAGATATGATATCTCTTTTCCTTATTGTGATCACAAACAAAGAAAAGTGAGAACTCCCAAAACACCGGCTGATACTGTTTCTTTGCTCTGTTTTATCTTTTAATAATATTATATTTACTGCCTATTTACACACCAGGCTTTATAGAGTTTGCTGATTAGAAAACAAAGAAAAGAAAGTAAGCTAAGATGAGCATTAACATTTGGATTGGATAGTTCGTGTTTTTAAAAAATTGGTCTTTTATTCAAAAGTGAAAAAGCATGATAAATAATGTAGCAAAAGGCAAGATGAAGAGGGGAATGTTTTAATTCAAAATGAGTAGAACATATACAGTCTTGCATTTATTTCTTTGTTTAATAAGCATATTTTTGGAAAGCTTTTAGCAAAAAGTATGTTGGTGTATACTGAGGACAGGAAATGTTTCAAAAACATTGTGCATAATATTTATAAAAAACCCACCCTTAAAAAATACCAAAAAAAAGACTTCATTTGTTTGAAAATTTTTTACCGAAAAGAGCCATCCTTGAGAAGTTTTTTGCTTTTTTTTAGTCTAAATAATGCAATATGTTTGGAAGGAAAAAAAAAGACTTTTCATTACTTTTTTTTCTGACAGAAATTGGGCATTTTCTGAAAATAACAGTTTCAATAAAGTATTTATGGAAATGAGTGCTTTTCAAGAGCTGACTTGGATTTCTCATCTTTCTTTTCCACACTAATATTTTTCACTGCTTAAAGCTGCCACATTATCAGCTTTTAAAATTCAGTGCCCAGTGGCTTGTGTCTGTGTCTGTGGGAGCTAATAGGTCAATAGGCCCCAGTGGGAAGAACAGGCAGGCCTCACAGTTCTGTGGGCGTGGGACCAAGGGGCAGCTGTGCAAAGCTGTGGATGTGAACCCCAGTGATGCAATTAACTGAGTGTCTACCAAGTCACTCAAGGGGAAAGCCTGAAGGATTTGCACTCATTGCCTAATTCACTCTCTCAAGGACTGTGTCAAGTAGAAAAGTACGGTAGCCACATATTTTAGTTAGGACTTCCCAGTGGCTCACTCTCTGAGAATTCTTTGTCCCACATTCCATACCTATGTTAGCAGAAGCAGCACTCTGCTCATATTGTCCTCTATTCTGATTATGAACTTAAGAACAGAAATTTCTTTCTTATGGTTCTGGAGACTGGGAATTCCAAGGTCAAGGGGCCTGCATCTGGCAAGGGCATTCTTGCTGTTTCATTCCATGGTGGAAGGTGAAAGGGCAAGAGAACATGTGCACACACATAAGAGAGACAGAGAGAAAGGGGGTCAAATTCATCCTTTTATTTGAAACCTATTCCCATGGTGACCAACCCACTCCTCAATAACAGCATTAATCCATTCATGAGGGCACCGCCCTCTTAAAGGTCACCCCTTAAAGCTCCCACTTCTCAACACTGTTGCACTGGGGATTAAGTTTCCAACACGTGAACTTTAGGAAACACATTCAAATCATAGCATTTAGCATGAGGGTTCTATACACATATAGGTTAAAGGCTACAGCATCTAGTAATAGAATACAATGCATGGAATCTCACTTGAATAGGCCCAAGACCCTGGGGTAGGAAATAGCGCTGTAATTTCCACCATGACTCTTCAGAGTATAGTTGGCTGTCTGGGTTCAAATTTTAGCCATTATTAACTAGTTCTGTGACCTTGGACAAGTTATTTAACCTCCCTGAGTACCCATGTATCATTTCCTGATATGAAAATGGGACCATATGCAGTGGCTCATGCTTGTAACCCCAGCACTTTGAGAGGCTGTGGTGGGTGGATCACTTGAGGTCAGGAGTTCGAGACCAGCCTGGCCAAAATGGCGAAACCCAGTCTGTACTAAAAATACAAAAATTAGCTGGGCGTGGTGGTGCAACACCTATAATGCCAACTACTCGGGAGGTTGAGGCAGGAGAATTACTTGAATCCGGGATGCAGAGGTTGCAGTGAGCCGAGATAGTGCCACTGCACTCCAGCCTGGGTGACAGACTGAGACTCGGTCTAAAAAAAAAAGGGGAGGGGGGGCCATAATATCTACCTGTAGGATTACAGAAAGGATTAAATAACATAAAACACGTGAAACACTTAACAGTACCTGGCACAAAAGAAACACTCATTAGATCTTACTATTAGTGAATAAAAATATGGATAGTTCCTGATTTCATTCAATTTTCAGTATACAACATACATGTATCACATTTTATATATTATAGTATGTTGCCTCTTTATCAATGACAATTTGCTGTATTTAGCTAGCTTAGCCTTGGGAACACAGGGCTGAGGAACAGTGAATTACTGGTACAGTAACATTTCTCATAGGAGTCTGAACTTTCTTGGGAATCAGGAGCTGTGTATTTGGCATGTTAAGTTGGAGATGTCTACTAGACATTCAGAAAGAGCTATCAGATACAATGTGGGACATGTGAGCATGATGCAGTCAGGAGCTAGAGACGTATCTCAGTTCACCATCAGCATCTAGGTGGTATTTAACTTCACAGGACAGCATGCAGGCACCAAGAGAGTGGACGCACATACAGAAGACAGCCATGCACTGAGCTGGGGACATGCAACAATAACAGGTAAGAAGATCAGGGCCGGGCATGGTGGTTCACGCCTGTAATCCCAGCAGTTTGGGAGGCCGAGGCGGGCGGATCACGAGGTCAGGAGAGTCAGACCATCCTAGCTAACACAGTGAAACCCCGTCTGCACTAAAAAAAAAAAAAAAAAAAAATTACCGGGCATGGTGGTGGGCGCCTGTAGTCCCAGCTACTCTGGAGGCTGAGGCAGGAGAATGGCGTGAACCCGGGAGGCGGAGGTTGCAATGAGCCGAGATCACACCACTGCACTCCAGCCTGGGCGACAGAGCGAGACTCCGTCTCAAAAAAAAAAAAAAAAAAAAAAAAAAAGATCAAATGCCAGCCAAAAGACTGAGAAGGAGTGGCCATTGAAGGAGCCAGAAAACCAGGAGAATGTGACATCATGGAGGAACAGAAAACTATTCACTCAAAAAGAAGGGGGAGGCAACTAAGTCAGATGCTTGTGGGAAGTCAAACAAAATGAGACCAGGAAATTAATCACTGGATTTGGTATGGGGGTGGTGGGATTCACTGGGAACCTGATGAGAATGGTTGCAATAGAATGATTACAGCAAAAGTCTGGTTTTTTGGAGTGGCTTAAAAATCTAACACGACTAGGTACTAGGCTCTGTGTGATAACAGATTGGCTTACAAAAGCTCTTTTTTTTTTTTAATTTATCTTACAATAGACTGATGTTGCACTCTAAGAAAAGTAGGTTTGAGTCAAACAAGAACTGTCACCTATTCCCCCAGCATAATAAAATGTCATGAAAGAGGAGAGATTTGAAGACAGTATCAGAGATGAAGGTAGTTTCTTAGTGGACAAGAAACAGAAATCATCCCCAAACACAGAGGGCAACATACCCAGCATGAGGCGAATGGGGTCCAGATTGGAGAATAAGAAAACACAATGGGGGCAGGCGCGGTGGCTCATGCCTGTAATCCCCACACTTTGGGCGGTGGGAAGATCTCTTGAGGCCAGAAGTTGTAGATCAGCCTGAGCACTACAGTGAGTCTGTGTCTCTACAAAAAATTTTAAACATTAGCCAGTGGTACGCACCTATAGTCCTAGCTACTCAGGAGGCTGAGGTTGGGAGGCTTGCCTGAGCCCAGAAGTTCAAGGTGACAGTGAGCCACTGCACTCCAGCCTGGGTGACAGAGCAAGACCTTGTCTCAAAAAAGGAAAGAAAGAAAGAGAGAGAGAAAGGAAGAGAGGAAAAAGAAAGAAAGAGGAAAGAAAGAAAGAAAGAAAGAAAGAAAGAAAGAAAGAAAGAAAGAAAGAAAGAAAGAAAGAAAGGAAGGAGGGAGGGAAGAAAGAAAAGAAGAAAGAACAACAAAAGCCCAGTGAGACATCACACACACACACACACACACACACACACACACACACACACGCACCCCTCGAGGCTTGTCCCCACAACATGCCGTGATGCCTCTCCTTTCCCAGTTTTGATCCACTTCCCATAAAAGGATTACTTCGCATTTCCATCTCTGAAATGCCTGGTCTCTGGGTCATTAAAAAAAACAAAAAAAGAATCTTCTCTGTGGCCAGGAGGTCTGAAGAATTCATTTGGAGTTGTGCCTAGACACTATTTCATGGGCACTCGGTTTAGCCCAAATTGTGATGCCAGATTATCTACTGGAGCTCTGCTGCTGTCACAAAACTAATCGTCAAAGAGTCATCAATGAGATCAGGATTCACTCTTTTTAAATAAAATTCTTATTTTGCAATAGTTTCAGGTTTACAGAAAAATCGTGAAGATAATAGAGAGTTCTTATATAGAGTTAACATCTTACATGAGTATGGTATATTTGTCACAATTAATGAACCAGTATTGACACATTATTATTATAAAATAAAGTCCAAACATTATTCAGATGTCCTTAGATTTCACCCATTGTCCTTTTTTTTGTCCCAGGATCTCATCCAGGATCCCACATTACCTTTAGTCATCATTCCCAGGAAGCATTTTAAAACTCTGAAAAATCTTTCAAGAAAGAAACAAGGTTTAAATGTTCATTGGTTCCAATATTTGTAACTAAAACCAGCAAAGGAAATTTTAATTCTTATTTTTGTCCAAAATCGAATGGTCGGAACTATAGCTTGAACACAGTTGAAAGGAAAAAAGCCCAAGGCTTACATCTTAAGGAAATAGTGCAGGTACTTTACGGGAATATAAGAAGGGCACGACTGTTAAGTGGAAGATCTGAATTCTCTTTTATTGTTCTGGAAGCAGGTAATTAAAATAGTAAAGGTCTGCCAGCCTTTTTTTTTTTTTCTCTCATCTCCTAGCAAAGGGATTAGTGTCTGACTCATTTTCCTTGGCAACTTCACACTCACATAATACTAGCCCAGTAATTTAAGCAAAGCTCTCCCTGAGTTAGCTTTGCAAGATTGGACTCTGAAAGGTTAGGTTGTGGGGGAGTTTTGCAGCAAGGGCTGTTGTAATCTCTCAACCAAGAGCAATTAGGGGAATGGCTTCGTGATGCTCACAAATATCTGTGAGACCAAAATATACTAATTCTACTCATGTTTTCCTTCGCCCCTCGGAAGGTGTGTGGCATAAGATGGAAGGGCAGTGACTGGAGGCCTGACTTGGGACTCACGGTCTCCATTCTAGCCAAGTGTATTTCACGCTTCCTCCTCATCAGATTCACAGGAAAGTTGTAAGGCAATCAGGAACCTAGACTAGGCCTTTTGTAAAGTCACAGGAGGTTGGAGGTGCCTCCTGGGATTTTGCCAGATGTCATTCAATGGCTTTCAAGGATGATGCACAGCTAGGCCATAGGAGAGTAAGCTCAAATTCCCACCCTGTCACCCATACACAGAAACTCATTCTGGTTTTTCTGCCATGTCTAGGCCATACAATGAAAGTCGCTGAAGAAGAATATGAATTTTGCCTGCGGATTTGCTAACACTCGACAATCCTAGGAGGTAAAAGGCAAAAGAGGGGCTGGGTGTGGTGGCTCACGCCTGTAATCCCAGCACTTTGGGAGGCTGAGGCAGGTGGATCACCTGAGGTCGGGAGTTCGAGACCAGCCTGACCAACACGGAGGAACCCCGTCTCTACTAAAAATTAGCCGGGTGTGGTGGCACATGCCTGTAATCCCAGCTACTCGGGAGGCTGAGGCAGGAGAATCACTTGAACCCGGGAGGCGGAGGTTGTGGTGAGCCAAGATCAAGCCATTGCACTCCAGCCTGGGCAATAAGAGCAAAACTCTGTCTCAAAAAAAAAAAAAAAGGCATAAGAGGGAATCAAGGATCAATAACATGCCTCATTGGCTTAGCAAATGTAGGGACTCATTTGGATAATATAAATAGTCATGGAGTGCTCCTATGTGCCAGGCCCTGTGCTAAGGACTGGGGAAACCGCAATCAGCAAGAAGGCATCAGAAACCTGACCCCCTGATATGGTTTGGCTGTGTCCCCACTCAAATCTCACCTTGAATTGTAACTCTCATCATTCCCTCATGTTGTGGGAGGGACCCAGTGGGAGATTATTGAATCACGGGGGTGGTTTTCCCAATAACGTTCTTGTGGTAGTGAATAAGTCTTGCGAGATCTGATGGCTTTGTAAGGGGAAACCCCTTTCACTTGGCTCTCACTCTTCTCTTGTCTGCCACCATGTGAGACACGACTCACTTTCCACCATGATTGTGAGGCCTCCCAGCCATGTGGGACTGAGTTCATTAAACCTCTTTCTTTTGTAAATTACCCAGGCTTGGGTATGTCTTTATCAGCAGCATGAAAATGGACTAATAAAACCCCACAGTAAACCAACAAGGAAGCCCCGCATCCAGGCAGCAAATTAGTGGGTGAAATTAATACCCAGGTGAGCTCAGTGCTTTCCAAATAAAATATCTACTTTTCAGTCAGTTCTTACTCAGCTTCTAAGCTCCTAAGCACTTTAGTCTATTTCTATGATTCAATCAATTTAATCTCAAACAGGTAATCCAGCTGATACCTGAAGAGCTCCTGGCTTCACCAGCCAGAGGGCACAGATGAAGTTAAGTGAACACGAATAGCTTGTATTCTGTTGGCTCGTGCTCCCACCTACCAGATACAGGTCCTTGCCTCCTCCCACCACTACGTCTACAAAACAGAATTTCCTCTAGGTGCTTCTTTGAGTCCCCAGGGGTCTTGCCTATGCGCACAATGGTCCTTTCATCTGCTTCTGTCCCCAGCCCCCACTGGATGCTGACTGTCCCTTACCTTGGCCATGGGGCTCCCTGTTGCTTGATGACCAGAGAGCAAAATCCAGGGGTAGCCCCAGTCTGTTCTTGAGAAAGGGTCAAATAGTGCCATCTGTCCCTCATTCCTCACTGTGCTAGAGCTGAGCTGTACTCAGTACAGAAGTGGAGAAAATGCTTCTGTCCACCACTCAATGTCACCCTTTCTTGCCTGGGCAGGGGGCCACTTGTGCCTCACATCTCAGAATTCTTAAAAGCACTTCTTGCAGCCTCTGCTTGCTACCTGACCGGACTCAGCCTCAGGCATACGTTTGGGCTGGAAAGACACAAATGCCACTGTCCCATCCCTCTGCTCTTCCCTGCCCTGGGCCCTCCCATATCGTCTTCGCTCTCCTTCAACAATTCCATGTATGCAATTAACCACCTGAAGATGGTTCCCCCTCAACTCATAAGACGTAGCCAGATGTATCCATTTGGGCTTGGCTGGGTCCAACATAGTGTGACTATTCTATGGGAGCATTGAGCTCGGTATTTCAGGAGACTAGTTACCAATGATCCAGGCTAATGAGAGGAATAAACCACATAATGTAATTAGCAAACACTGCAGGGCTGTGAATACAGAAGGGCTGGTTTGGTCCACAAGGGTGGTTTGATGTGGTGGTTTGGTTTCCTCACCGTCTCTGTATTCATTTCCTATTGCTGCTATAAAAAATTTCTACAACTTGGCCAGGCGCAGTGGCTTACACCTGTAATCCCAGCACTTTCGGAGGCTGAGGCAGGCAGATCACTTGAGGTCAGGAGTTTGAGACCAGCCTGGCCAACATGGTGAAACCCCATCTCTACTAAAAATATAAAATTTAGCCTGGTATGGTGGTGCACACCTGTAATCCCAGCTATTCAGGAGGCTGAGGCAGGAGAATTGCTTGAACACGGGATGCAAAGATTGCAGTGAGCCAAGATCGTGCCACTGCACTCCACACTCCAGCCTGGGTGACAGAGCGAGACTCCATCTCAAAAAAAAAAAATATAATCTACAATGTTAGTGGCTTGAAACAACATATCTATATTATTTTACACTTCTGGAGGTCAGAAGTTCAAAACCAGTCTGACCAGGCTACTGTGAGGGTGTCAGTAGGCCTGGTTCCTTCTGGAGACTCCAAGGGAAAATCTGTTCCTTGCCTCTTTCAGCTCCTAGAGGCTGCTCGCATTTCTCAGCTTGTAGCCACATTGCTCCAATCTCTGCTTCAGTTGTCATATTGCCTTCTTCTTATAAGGACCCTGTTGATTACATTGGGCCCACCCAGATAATCTAGGATCATCTCCTTATCTCAAGTTTCTTAATTTAATAGCATCTGTAGAGGCCTTATGGCCATGTAAGGTAATGTATTCACAGGGCCCAGGTATTAGGACACAGGCACCTTTAGGGACCATTATTTGACCTACTATAACATCCATTAGGCACAGTTGGAGATCAGAAATAAAGTGTTTTGATCACATCCCATATTCCTGCTGTTCCTTTAAACATTTCATTCACATTTAAGTTAGTAGAAATGGGAATCAGATAATTAATTTCTATTTTCCAGACTAGCTCACTAATAATTTCAGGACCTCACAATCCTCAGAATTTACAGGAGGACGTTTGTAAATCTGATTGGATTAATTACAGGAAAAATCATGCAGAGAGACATTTTTGTTTTACGCTGTGCTTGTTCTCTGTCTAGTCAAATGTTTGATACAAGTAATGCATTAAATGAACCAGTTACTTTAGATTTCTTTGGGGTGGCTTTTGGGATGCCCTCACAGAGCATGGTAATACATTTGTTATCACTATGACTCTGATATTACAAAATATCAATGTCTATGAATAGTACTATGTATATTGTAGCATGCCTATGAGTACTTATGAGTATACAATATACATAATACTACAGAACTATTCAGGCTGGGTGTGGTGGCTCATGCCTATAATCCTAGCACCTTGGGAGGCCAAGGCAGGAGAATCACTTGAGCCTGGGAGTTTAAGACCAGCCTGGATGACATAGTGAGACCCCATCTCTAAACAAAATAAATAAATAATATAGTACTATTCATATATATATATATATATATAATCACATGCATCTACTTTGCTTTTGCAACCTGTGTGGTTGGATTATTATCCTGTGCCCTGTCAAGAGAAATAAGACTCAGACAGGTTCTCCGACTGATCCAACTATATACTAGTGAGTTCAACATGAACAGTCACAAAAATATTTTAAAGTGTGTCCTCTCAAAACCCAAATTGCATACTTGAAGCTAATTTTGCCTGCATAATTCCAACTTATGGAGACATGAATTTACTTCATCTTTTTCTAGATGAGCAAAAATATCAGATGAGAGCATATAGTTTAGATCCTACTATAGAAACCAAATGAGATTCCGATCACATCAGAATTACTGGGAACTCATTTCCTGCCCCGCACAATGAACTGTGTAAACCACAATGAAAGGGAAGTGATCTTCACCCACAGAGACTGCACAGAACGGTGACTTCAGCATTAGATCCTTGCAAGGGCCTGTGAAAATTCAGTGGCTCATACCAAGGATGAGGATGTGCTGTTGTGGAATGTGAAGAAGAAATAAAAGACACAGTATCACAGTATCACAGTATCACAGTAAGAAAACATTGGGGAGGGACCCAAATTAGTTTTCAACTTCATAAGCTTTGAAATAGTAAACAACAAAGATATCATTCCGTTTTCAAATATCTTACATAGTGTTTATCTCTAACCTATCTCCTGCAGTGCATTCGTGGAACAAAGCCAAAGAAAAGAAAAATGCTAAAAATCCCTTTTTTCAAGAGCATTTCAAGGTCCTACAGCTAAAGCCCTCACACTGCCTGTGTGGGCATCTCATCCACATAACAGAATAGCCAACACCCCTCCTTGACCTCAACGGGAAGAGGGGTTGCACAGCCCTGGACAAGTGGGCACTGGACCTGAGAACAGGTGACCACTTGTTTCTGGAGCCCAGCGTGGGTCTCCACCCCACACTCCTCCCATACTTTCTGTTTGATCCTTGCTATCTCTCTAATAAGGAACAAGGTAGCCATAAGGCTTACAGTGCAAATACCCTTGGACAAGAATGTGTCAGTTTAAATTCCGATTAAGGCCTAACCAACTGGTATCAGATACCAATCTGTGAGCGGGTTTTCAGCACTGGCTCCTGGAAAGAAAAGAATGGATGATCAGGGAGTTAAGAGGAAGGCACATCAAGGGGAACTGGGGATCGGAGAGCTACTCCACCTACTCCATAGTTTGCCATAACTAGCCCTCACTAGCAGCTAGGCTTGCTGCCAGTCTGATGAAGCCACCCAGAGGCTCCTAACTCTGAGAAAATGAGCTATGTTTTTCTCGTGGCTGTCAGGGCTCACAGTGGATGTCTCAGGGAGTGGCGTTCCCAGGCAAGCTGTGTTGGGATGCTAAGAATGAGACAACGATGAGAGGCTGAGGCAGAAGAATTGCTTGAACCTAGGAGTGGGAGGTTGCAGTGAGCCGAGATCGCGCCACTGCACTCCAGCCTGGGAGACAGAGAGAGACAAATGCTTTGCTGTGCTGCCCACTGGGCTCTCCTGCTCCCTGTACCACTGGTTCCCTCCTGGAGGTTCTAGCAGGTATCCTGACTCATGCTCATAGGAGGAAGACAGCCTCATCCTCATCCCCACCTTCTCAATCCTACATTCTTGGTTCTCTCCATCCCCTTGAGGATTCCAGATATTGAAACAAATTTATCCAAAGAGCCTGGAGTTAGAAGGAGTCAACAAATGGAGAGATGGAAATCACTGAGGAAAATACAAAAGAAAACTATTTAGAATTCACTGTCCTGACTAGTGTTTTCTCCCCAGATTCAGTCTCTCCCTGGCAACCTAGGTTACCTTCCTTAAACAAGATTTAAGTAGATGTCTCCTGCTTCAGACCTTTACCATCTCATTTTTTGTCTCTTGCAGGAGCCTCCAAAGAGGGAGCTTACCTCACAGGAGGTTTGCAAGCCAAGCTAGTGGGGTAGAGCTGAAAATATTCAAACTTTCATTTTTATTTATTTTTCATCTTAAATTTTTAAAAATGCTACAGTTTGTGTATTGTTGATAATACAGATGATATGTAAGCATGGTAATATGTGAATGGCCTTTATAAATTAACAGATACATCTATTGGGGAGGGTTTTAAAATCATTTATTGATGGGGTGATGATCAGAAGAGTTTGGAGACCAAGTAACTGCCAGCATAAAGTCCAAACCCCTTAGCTTGACCAGCAAGGTCCTGTCTAACCCTGTCTTCCTGCCTACATCCCCAGCCTCATGGACCTCCAGATGTCTTATACCTGCTCTAAACATACTAAGGACTTTAGTCATTCTGACATCTGCGCCAATGACTCTTATATCTGCACTGCCTCGCCCTTCCTAACCCGAACCTCTTCTCTGCCTGGCCCAAAGAGCACATCCTTTGAGAGTCTTTCCGTTTCTCCCTTACCACCACTCCATCTGCATCTTTTTTTTTTCTCTTTTGAGATGAGTTTCACTCTTATTGCCCAGGCTGGAGTGCAATGGCGCAATCTCGGCTCACTGCAACCTCCGCCTCCCAGGTTCAAGTGATTCTGCTGCCTCAGCTTCCTGAGTAGCTGGGATTACAGGTGCCCACCACCACGCCCAGCTAATTTTTTTGTATTTTCAGTAGAGACAGGGTTTCACCATGTTGGCTAGGCTGGTCTCAAACTCCTGACCTCAGATGATCTGCCCACCTTGGCTTCCCAAAGTGCTGGAATTACAGGCGTCAGCCACTGTGCCTGGCCTCCATCTGCATCTTTAAGAACTACCAATCACATTGTCTTATAATTAGTTGCCCAGTTGTTTGTTCCCAGAGTACATTCCAAGTTCTCTGGGCACACTTCAAGTCCCTTGAGGGCATGGATGATATCTTCTTCATTTTTGCTTCCCCATGACTTAGGCCATTTGCCTGGCATCCAATAAATGTCCTCTAAATGTTGATTTCTCATTTTCTTTTGAGAAAAGAGGATGTAAAAATCCTAAGTTGCAAAGCAATATTAGCACCTGCTGTATTGTACCCAGCTAGCAGGGTAGGCTAGCTGCTTTGACAAACTTCAAGATATCAGTGGCTTAGAGTAATTGAGATCTGTTCCTCCCTTACATCACAGACTAATGCCATTAAGGGGGAAGAGGGGTGTGCTCTCTTTCATACAATCATTCAGGGATTCAGCCTTTTGTCTACAGTTCTGCCATCTTCTAGGGCCGTCGGTTCCTTCGTGGAATCTTCCACCATATTCCATTGGCCAGAACTCAATCACATGGTACCACTTCACTACCAGAAGCTCAGAAATGAAGTCCAACAGTGTGCTAAAGAAGGAGAGGAGAACATGGCATTCACAGGGACTAGAAGTCTCTGATATACCTAGGTTGTAAGACGCAATAAGTAGCTTGATGCAACCATGACAAATACTCAGGGGATGTCTACACATCCAAATTTTTCAGTCAAGATGCTAAAAACTGTGCATGTTTTTTTTTTTTTTGGTTTTTTTTTTGTTTTTTTGAGACAGAGTCTCACTCTGGAGTGCAATGGCGCGATCTCAGCTCACTGCAACCTCTGCCTCCTGGGTTCAAGCGATTCTCCTGCCTCAGCCTCCTGAGTAGCTGGGATTACAGGCACATGCCACCATGGCCAGCTAATTTTTGTATTTTTAGTAGAGACAGGGTTTCACCGCATTGGTCAGGCTGGTCTCGAACTCCTGACCTCGTGATCTACCTGCCTTGGCCTCCCAGAGTGCTGGGATTACAGGCGTGAGCCACCACACCCGGCCTATGTGCTTACTTATTAAATATTTGAGCCTTTGTGCATGATTATTAAATATTTGAGCCTTTAAATCACTGGACATGTTTAAAAACCAGAGCTACTATTCAGAATCAGTTTGAGTATTATTTTTGTATTGCAGCTGAAGAAATCTCAAGAACAATACTAGCAACTAGCTGCATAAAGACAGAGGGTTCTAAATTGAGGAGATACAGACATCAGTTACTTCAAAACAAATTCCACACAGATTCCTTCTCAATCTAGGATTACACCCAACATTTAGATAATGTTTATACTTGGCTTCAAAAGGAATGTTTCAAACTTGACTAGTTCTGTTTATAAGAAGATATTACTAGTAAGGAGATATTGTGTCAGTGGGAGGACAGCATTTGGAGCATTTGCCCAAAACAGATTTGAAATGTCATAAATAATGATGTTCTGAGCTCTATAGTCCTAACACAAAAGACAAATAACTAATTGTGGAAAAATCAAGTGACATTCTCCAAATCCTTATAGCAATTAAAAATCAAAAGCAATTTAAAAACGTAATTTGGAAGTGAGCTTAATTTGAAATCAAAAGTGGTTTTTATTTTATTATTTGAGATAGAGTCTCACTCACTCTGTCACCCAGGCTGGAGTGCAGTGGTGCGATCTCGGCTCACGGCAACCTCTGCCTCCCGGGTTCAAGGAATTCTCGTGCCTCAGCCTCCTGAGTAGCTGGCATTATAGGTGTGCACCACCACACCTGGCTAATTTTTGTATTTTTAGTAGAGACAGGGTTTCCCCATGTTGGCCAGGCCGGTCTTGAACTCCTGACCTCAAATGATCTGCCCCCCTCAGCCTACCAAACTGCTGGGATTACAGGTGTGAACCACCATGCCTGGCTGTGATTTTTATTTTTAAAGTGGAAATGCAATTAGGGGAAAGACTCAAGAGAAGAAAATTGTGAAAGGCTCAAGAGTCAGAAGCTGAGAAGATGCCCTGGCAAGAAGCAGTCTCAAGTATAGATCTGAGTTATGGCTCTGGGGTTAAAGCCAGAAGAAAGCTAGGGCCCGGGCACCCCAAGGAACACACTGTGAAGCCAGGACTTGGAGAGGTAAGCAGGGCTATTGCTCACAAATGCAGTACCCAAAGTGTGTCCCTGCAAAAATCCTTGAAGATTCTTGGGTGGTAAAATCGAGGGGCCCTCCAGTAAAGGAGCCAATTTGAAAATCTGAATATATCCCACAAAGTCAGACATATATCTGCACTCTTAGAGGGCATTTTATCAAAGTGGTGCTTTAGTGTTTGCTGAGACTGAGAGGAGTAGAGTTGCAATGCTCACCCATGCTCATCCCATGGGTCTTGTGGGCACCCACCTTTCTGACTGCCTACCTGGCCCTTTTCTGATAGCGCCTCCTGATTTCCCTTTGCAGAACCATCCTTCTACCCTCTCAGTCCACTCTTTGCAGTGGGGCTGATCCCATTCATTGGCTCCCAAGCTGAGTGTACGACTCAGGAGTCCAATGTATTTTTGCCTCCTAATATTTATTTATTTACTTATTTGGTTATTTATTTCATTATTATTATTATTTTATTTTTTGGTTGCAAAGTCTCACTCTGTCACTCAGGCTGGAGTGCAGTGGCACAATTTCAGCTCACTGAAACCTCTGCCTCCCAGGTTCAAGTGATTCTCCTGCCTCAGCCTCCCTGTAGCTGGGATTAAAGGCACATGCCACCCTGCCTGGCTAATTTTTGTATTTTTGGTAGAGACAGGGTTTCGCCTTGTTGGCCAGAATGATCTCGAACTCCTGAGCTGAAGCGATCTGCCTGTCTTGGTCTTCCAAATGCTGGGATTACAGGCCTGAGCCATTGTGCCCAGCCATATTTATTTATTCATTAGAGATGGGGTCTCGTTCTGTCATCTAGGCTGGAGTGCAGTGATACAATCATAGCTCACTGCAGCCTCAAATGGCCTAAGAGTTCAAAGCCCAGTGAAATCACAGCTCACGAGGGGTACTTGAGAGAAACTAGGGGAGGAAGTTTTAAGACACAGTCTCCAGCAGAATAGGCTGTCATGAACCCGTGGAGTAAGAATTGGGGTTAGGTCATGAGGAGAACAGGTGCCTTTGCATATCATCCCTCCCTCTGTCAGTCACCCTAGGCAAGAAGCCATCCAGAGAGACTCCGAGGCCAGGGACTGAGTGTGCTCACACACCTTGCCCTGAACCTGCACTTGTGTCCCTATTTCTGCCTGTGCAGCCATAGCAGATACCACAACAGGGTGGCTTAAACAACACCGAATTCTCAGACTCAAGTGATCCTTCTGCTTCAGCCTCCCGAGTAGCTGGGACTATAGGTGCACACCATCATGTCCAACTAATTTATTTTATTTGTAGAGATTATGTCTCACAATGTTGGCTGGGCTGGTCTTGAACTCCTGGCTTCCCACAATCCTCCTACCTCAGCCTCCCAAAGTGCTGGGGTTACAGGTATGAGCCACCACACCCAGCAGCCTGGTGCTATTTAAAGAGAGGTTTATTTATTTATTTATTTTTTCTTGAGAGGTTGCTCAGCTGATAGAAAGTAAACCTGGATCTACTAGTGACCATCTTGTCCCCAGAAGGAGTGATCTTATCTGGGAACAAAGCCCACAAATGAGAAAGAATAAATGAAGAACGGACAGACATTTCTGACAACCTTTTTTGAGTAGCTGGATCAAGCCATGCCTGAAATCCTTCCTTAATTTTTCAAATAAGTGAGCAGTTTATTTTGTTTATTTTTTTATTTTTTTTTACCCAAGTGAGTCTTAATTGGATTTCTATAGCTAGCAGTTAAAAGAGTTTGAGTACACTGACATTTGGTAAACTATGTTTTTTCATTCATTCAATGAAATTTGTTGAGTCCTTGCTATGTGCTAGGCACTGTGCGGGAAATTGAGAATATAAAGCCCAAAAACTGCTCTCTTAAGGTCTTTACCCCAGTGAAAGAGAACCTTGAACTAATAATCACGGTACAGCCGAGTGCAGTGGCTCATGCCTGTAATCCCAGCACTTTTGGAGGCCAAGATGGGTGGATCACCCTAAGGTCAGGAGTTCAAGACCAGCCTGGCCAACATGGCAAAACCCCATTTCTACTATAAATACAAAAATTAGTCGGGTATGATGGTGCGTGCTTATAATCTCAGCTACTCAGGAGGCTGAGACAAGACAATCGTTGGAACCTGGGAGGCAGAGCTTGCAGTGAGCTGAGATTGCACCACTGAACTGCAGCCCGGGCGACTTCATCTCAAAAGAGAAAAAAGAAATTCATGATAGACTGAAGGAGGAAAATTTCCAACTAGCATTTCTGTGGCAGCCTCCATAAATGGGTTACCAGGGGTATTTGCCCCACTTGGTGCCCTCTTAGTGAGCCTTCCCCCACTAGGCATGTGTTTTTGTTCTGGCCTTTGGGCTTCCTAATGTCCAGGAGGCAGGGACCATCCTGAGGTCTAGCCAGGGCCTTACTGTCGGGAAGTTGCTCACAAATTCTTCTGGGAACTTCTTGTCCCACATGTTCCGCAAACCAATATCCTTTTCTCTTCTGATCTCTTTTCCTCTTCCACGGCTGCCTCTAAAAGGATCAGCACCTGAAACAGGGAGGCAGACACTTTTCTCACTAGGTTCGGGCTGATGAATAGACCTCTCCCCTCTTTTTTCTTTTAAGGCTAGGGTCAGGGTGGGCCAACAGTATTGACAGCATTCCTGGTTCTGGGATAACAGGGTTACTGGGACACGAAGTCCCAGAGGCCTCCAGTGGAATCTGGGACAGCTGATTGTCTAAAATTATCTTGTAATTAATAAATTATACACCGTTCCTCACTAAGGGGGTAGACACACCCACATTCTAACACTGCTTAAGACTGTTAAGCCTCTTGTTCAGGGAGAACGCTTGTTCTCCACGTTTCTCAAAGCTCTTTCTTTCATGACAAAATGTACCTATTAATACATTTAATAAGAAGCCTTTAAGAAAATCCTGTGCCAACTTCAAAATAGATACAAAGCACTCTAAACCGCCTTATCCAGTCCCCCGCGTCGAATCTCTCTCTCTCTCTGCTATGTTCTCATAGCCGCCTGTATGTTCAGTACAGTGCTTCTCAGTTCAGCCTTATTGGTCTTTTTCCTTTGAGGATAAATCCTGGAGGATAGGATCCAGGTCTTTTGTATCTTTGTTTCTTCTGCTTGGCCTAAGCCAGGGCCTGGCACACAGCCCAGGCTGGGCCCTGCCTAACTCCTGCATTTGCCCCCTCCTCTCGCCTCCTCCCCACTGCTATAGCCTCTCCATCCTCACATGCAGGACGGGCCTGGCTTTGGGCTATGACGCCCCAGCCCATTGGAAGCAGAATCAATTTCGTTAGGACATAAGTTCTATGAGGACTGGGCCCTGGGTTGTCTTGTTCTGAGTTGTACCCCCATGGCTAGCAGAGGGCATGCCACCTAGTAATCTTCCAATAAGCATTAGTTGAAGGAAGGAAGGAAGGAAGGAAGGAAGGAGGGAAGGAAGGAGGGAAGGAGGGAAGGAAAGAGGGAAGGAGGGAAGGAGGGAAGGAAGGAAAGAAGGAAGGAAGAAATGAAGAAATGAAGGAAGGAAGGAAGGGAGGGATGAATGCATGAATACAGTCACAGTTGCTGTGAATCAATGTCTCACCCTCTGTTCAAGTTTACGCGGCAGAGCTTACTTCTATCCTCCTGGCATCCCAGCCATGGGGTTGTGGCTTGTGCCTCCTGCCTGTCTACCCGATCCCTGGCATTTTTAGCCTTGATTCCTTTGGATTTCTAATTGCCTTGTGGCCTCATCTTACACCCTAATTGCTGCTTGTCTGCCTAGCCTCTTTCCTGCTGTCACTGTACTCTTTGGACACATGTTGAGCTCTTCAGACTGACCCTTCCATCTGTGGCTCCCTGGCCCTTAGTGTAGTGGCCCTGCCAGTAGCTCTGGGCCCTCCCACTCAGAGGTCGCATGCCAAGTATCCCACCACACCCATGGAGCTTAGCAAATGGAGAAGACTGAATTGTATTGTTTGGTTTCTCTCCTCAGTCATTGGGGGAATGTTATTACTTTCGCCAAACTGAAATGTGGTACACTCTGCCATAATGCTCATCTCATCTCATTCCAATCACACCACAAAGGAGGATCCTGCATCTGTCATATGCCAGACACTGTAGGGCTTTTACCCAAAACTGGACATTGGTGCTGCTCTTTAAATTACCCATGCATCCCTACCTTATTTAGATTTTTTAGAAGTTCTTATATATGGTTTTGTTTTGGAGCCCTGCAATACATTGACAAGATCAGTTCATAAATTTCTTCTGGCATAAGAGTAGCTAAGTCAAAATAATTGTGATTAATCGGTGGGTGATTAGTCTTTTTGTTGTCTATTACCACAGTTACCTAGGTACATTTGTAAGAGGCCCTGAACAGGATGAATGGACTCACAAACAGATTAATATGGTGGGGATGGGAGGCATGTTTATCTACTTAGAAATTAAAGCTTGCCATTAACTAAATGCTTCATTGGTATTCATGCTATGTTGTGTAATAGGTAGCGCTTGGATAGCTGAATCCAACAAAGAAGTGTTTGTCTCCCGAATTCCAGGAAGTCAGATATTGAGGGGGAGGAAAGCATGTCATGTTCAGGGGTTTTTGGGCGCTTCATGCTAGTAATTGGATGTTTGGAGAATGTGCTCTTTCAACTCCAAATCCCTGCCCATAGATAGGATGCGGTAGGTCTCCTCTCTGGCATCCGCTCTGGCATCGCTCTGGCTGTGTTGTTGGCATGTTGGTCTCACTGTCAGCCAACATCACTGGGAGTTTTACACCTCAGATGAGCAGAGCTCAAAGGTTTGGCTGCTGTCTCTGGATGAGGTGCTGAGAAAAGAGCTTGCCCAGTGCCTGGGCTGCAAGCATTGCCTGTGGCTCAGGAAACAGTTACTAGAACTGCAAGAAAGAAATGTTTACAACTTGTTTTTTTCTGGGGTTCCTTTTCCATAAGCTGTGTATTTCAAATGAAAGGTTGTGATAAAGCTGCCTCTTTTCTTTCAGGTGAGTTCCAACAAATTGGTTCAAAAAGAGGGGGGATAAACACGCTGGCCCATGCTGGGCAAGCATGGCACCACCTTCCAGGCACTGTCTTCTTCTGATCAGCACTCTGGGTGTCTTTGCACTTAACTGCTTCACCAAAGGTCAGAAGAACAGCACGCTCATCTTCACAAGGGAAAACACCATTCGGAACTGCAGCTGTTCTGCGGACATCCGGGATTGTGACTACAGTTTGGCCAACCTGATGTGCAACTGTAAAACCGTCCTGCCCCTTGCAGTAGAGCGAACCAGCTACAATGGCCATCTGACCATCTGGTTCACGGACACATCTGCGCTGGGCCACCTGCTGAACTTCACGCTGGTCCAAGACCTGAAGCTTTCCCTGTGCAGCACCAACACTCTCCCCACTGAATACCTGGCTATTTGTGGTCTGAAGAGGCTGCGCATCAACATGGAGGCCAAGCATCCCTTCCCAGAGCAGAGCTTACTCATCCATAGCGGTGGGGACAGTGACTCCAGAGAGAAGCCCATGTGGTTACACAAAGGCTGGCAGCCATGTATGTATATCTCATTCTTAGATATGGCTCTTTTCAACAGGGACTCAGCCTTAAAATCATATAGTATTGAAAACGTTACCAGCATTGCCAACAACTTTCCTGACTTTTCTTACTTTAGAACCTTCCCAATGCCAAGCAACAAAAGCTATGTTGTCACATTTATTTACTAGCATAATAACTGTGTCCAGCTGCCTGGAACTTTGGCAAATGATGAATAATTTGCAGAAGGAATCTGGAAATAAGGCCGTGAGATAGGTATCCCTACCCACAACTGTGCCTCTCTCCGCAGGCTCCATTTGCAACACAGCCACACATACCAATAACCAGCTCTCTGTTCTGCTCTGTGCCCAACTGCGAGAACACTTTTGAAAAACAAAAGAAAAAGAAACCAAAAAACCAACTTGATTCCGTCCAGGGACATGTCTTGGGAGCCAGCTAGGCTTGGTCTCTGCAACTAGAAGCCTGCAGGGAAATGTCCCGTCAGAAATGGAGAAAGCAATACACCCTAGAGACTGCTTAGTGGAGCTCCTCCTAGAAGGTGACCCCCAAGAAACATATCTTCTTTCAAAATACTGCCTTAATTTTTTTCTGTTTCATTTTGTGAAATTGCTTGGAATTCCCCTAAGTAGAGAATAATCAATTTCAGAGGTTTGGGGACTATGAGTTTTATAAAATGGTCGGGCACAGTGGCTCACACCTGTAATCCCAGCACTTTGGGAGGCCGAGGCGGGCGGATCACCTGAGGTCGGGAGTTCAAGACCAGCCTGACCAACATGGAGAAACCCCATCTCTACTAAAAATACAAAATTAGCCGGGCATGGTGGCACATGCCTGTAATCCCAGCTACTCGGAGGCTGAGCAGGAGAATCGCTTGAACCTGGGAGGCGGAGGTTGCAGTGAGCCAAAATCGTGCCACTGCACTCTACACTCCAGCCTGGGTGACAGAGTCAGAGATCACACCATTGCACTCCAGCCTGGGCAACAAGAGCGAAACTCCATCTCAAAAAAAAAAAAAATAATAATAATAAAATGATTAGGTTCTCTTAAACTGATCTTTTCTAAATACCTTGCTAAGAATAGATGCACCAAGAAATAAGAGGTTGGAGACTGTGTTTGTTGGGGTGGAGGTACCACAGGCATGGATAGGGTAAGACCTTAGGATCAAATGGGGGGACCAGTGTTCCAGAGAGAGGGATGCAGCAGTGAAAATTGGAGGACACAAAACACATTTGCATCTATCTCAAAATTTTGCTTAGAGCACAGCCTAACTGCAAGGAAAGTTCTTCACTTCTAGCCTTTCACATTCTTTTCCTTTTCTTTCTTTGCATGGTCTGTCTTTGCCCCTGCTATACCATTTCACCAATTTCTCTTCTCATTTTCATCTTCTTTCTCCTACTCCTTTTCCTCTTGCTCCAAAAATCAGAACTTAGATGAATACCATTCAAGCTATGTTTAACTACATTAGGGGCTAGCCTGGGAATTTACTCACCACTTACAACATTATTTCTATTGTTAAAAGTGCTCAAATTATTAACAGATAATTAACAAAAAAACATCTAAGGCTCAATCCATTTGGAAGGTTAAGATTGCAAAGTGAAGGCATTTTATATGACACGGTTAACACAAAATGATTTTATGTGTGCTGATAAAAGGAACCAAAGCAACATACTTTTGAAAAAATTAAATGGATTCATTATTGTACAAAGAAAATTTTCCCTCATAGAGACGCAACTTGCCATTAAAGTGGACTGTAAAGAATCCATGGCTTGGGAGGCCGAGGCAGGCGGATCACCTGAGGTCGGGAGTTCGAGACCAGCCTGACCAACATGGAGAAACCCTGTCTCTACTAAAAATACAAAATAAGCCAGGCGTGGTGGTGCATGCCTGTAATCCCAGCTACTCAGGAGGCTGAGGCAGGAGAGTCACTTGAACCTGGGAGGCGGAGGTTGCAGTGAGCCAAGATTGCGCCACTGCACTCCAGCCTGGGCAACAAGAGCAAAACTCCATCTCAAAAAAAAAAAAAGAAAAGAAAAAAGAATCCACTGCAATTGTGATACAAATGTCTAAACCTGGAGTGGAATGAATTTGAAACATTATTGCATTCATGATACCATAATGATAAGAAATAGTCCATGACTTAACAGGATATCCTGGGGTTGATGACTTTAGATCACATACATCACTTTTTTTTTTTTTTCACTTAACCTTAACATAGAGTAACTGAAATAATCTGCAATTTCTACATTTGCTTAATTGGTGGGGGATTTAGCCATTCAGGCTAATTAGCATGAGCCCATGTCAGTGTTTAAATTAGGCCAAAACAAAGACCAAAGTATGAATTTTAATAGAAAAATGTGACCTCATTACTGACATTGTACTGCAGATAATGTTAAAGTGAAAGAAAAAATAAGGAAAAGGGGAAAAAGGAGGAAAAAGGAAAGCAAGAAAAGACAAGTGAAAAGATTAGTAATATATTCATTGTCATTAGTTACTGAAAATATAACAAATTGAATTTTAATAATTTTTATTAATAAAGTATAAAATTAAATGATGATAGAAAGTATATGCCTCCTATAAATATCTTCCATTTGGTAGCTTTTAATAGTTTCAAAGCCCTTTCACATATGTTTTAAGTAAGTCTTTTGAGAAATACTTGTGAGTTAATGGGACTTAAACCAACAGAAAAGGAAAGCTAATTTAGTTATAAATCAAGCCTGAGGTTTCAGATTTCTGGACTAAAAATATGGTTCAGTTTGTGCTGCTGTGGGATGAAGAATGGGCAGAGAAAATCCACAGTGCAGGCATGGGGATTAATGGCATTTGGCACTTAGCTGCAGGGTTTGGGGGACAACAGGGAGTGGTGGGATGGTGGTTAAGTAAGGGTGCATGCCCCACCTGAAGCTCTACAGTGGCTCAGCTCCAACTGAGTGTTGCCATGGGAAAATCTGATGGGGCCAGATCTGATCCTTCAGAGAATGAGGAATTCCAGGTTGTTATGTGAATTCTCACAATTTGTAAATGTCGGCTTGCCATTCAGCTTTTTTGTTTGTTTGTTTTAAATAATATCATGTGGGTCAAACAAACTATGTTAATGGTAGCCATCTGGCCTGGGGCTAGTAGCTTATTGCCTCTGGCCAGTGGTGTGCTAACAAAAGTTTAACCAGCAGCTCTCCAACAAAAAAGGGAGGTGGGCTGCTCTGCCTATGCAGTAGCCATGCTTTTATTCCTTTACTTTGTTAATAAACTTGCTTTCACTTTACTCTACGGACTCGCCTTGAATTCTTTCTTATGTGAGATCCAAGAACCCTCTTTGGGGTCTGGTTTAGGACCCCTTTCTGGTAACATCTTTATGGCAACCACAAAGGGATGATACTAAGGAGACCCCTGACCCAAAGGAAATAGACCAACACTGATTGGCTGACTTTGGAGTCAAGGAAACCTTTCTTTTGAGCTATTGACAGCTTTCAACAATTGCATAAATTACGCTCCTGTGAACAAAATTTGAAGCATGCTTGTTTCTCTCTATCTAATTTCTCCAAAATCTGGAAACTAGTTATATCACTTTTAGTCAGAGTTATGAATGGCCCTCACCATACGGACTTTCTCTGACTGAACTCCTCTCTACCCTGGATCTGAGACCCTAATAGATAGGCAGGAATATCATCACCTCATTCAGCCTCCAGAAGTTACAAAAGATGGACCTTCATCTCTCTATGACCCTTAGGATTAAGGGTTCTCTTATAAAAGGGAGCGGGGAAATGTCAGAGGCGTTTAAACCAGAGCGACTCCATCTTGTTTAGAGGCTGGGTAAAATAAGGCTGAGGCCTGCTGGCCTGCATTCCCAGCAGGTTAGGCATTCTTAGTTACAGGATAAGATAGGAGGTCAGCACAAAATGCAGGACATAAAGACCTTGCTGATAAAACAGGTTGCAGTAAAGAAGCCATAACCCACCCAAAGCAAGATAGAGATGAAAGTGAACTCTGGTCGTCCTCACTGCTACACTCCAACCAGCGCCATGACAGTTTACAAATGCCATGGCAACATGGTCTAGAAAGGGGAGGAATCCTCAGCTCTGGGAATTGCCCACCCCCTACCCATTTCCGGAAAACTCATGAATAACCCATCCCTTGTTTAGCATATAACCAAGAAATAACCATAAAAATGGGCAACCAGCAGCCCTCAGGGCTGCCCTGCCTATGGAGTAGCCATTCTTTTATTCCTTTACTTTCTTAATAAACTTGCTTTCACTTTAGTCTTCAAAAAAGTACGCAGATATGTATGTACATAGTTTATTTCAATTTTACGGATGTAAAGAATGTGTAGCACACAATTTACAAATGATAATAAACTATAGATTACTCTTTATTATATACTCTTTGTACATCATTAGTTCTCAAAGAATGCTTTGATTTTTGCCAAACTCTTGTACACAAAGCCAACCTAGGGTTGCAACTGATGAGCATGTATAGTTTTGGTATAAATATTGGTTGAGATTTTCATTTATGTTAGAAGTAAGAGGAAAGTTAAACAACAAAGATATATGTGAGAATGTCACTTGCTAGTCAGTGATGAAAGCAACTTCTTTGCTGAATCAAATAATAGTTTTCAAATACTGGAGGAATATTTTCTCATGTATGGGGACTATTCACAATGTAAGGGCTATGGACATGACACACTTTTAAGTTTAATCTGCATCGTTAACATTTTCTCCATCACACTCAACAAAATCATAAATCACACTCTGATATGTAGTGGTGTAAATACTGCCACCATAACCCAATTTCATGCTACCAAGAGAACATGGAGTTGAGAAAAGACATACAATAGGGCAGCATTATATAGTATTTCCACCCTACCTATACAACAGGCACAACTAACCCCAAAAGCATGAATAATAGTAAAGTGAAGTAAAATAATTAGGAAGTGATAAGTTCTGAGTATTTATTATTTTTGGTTTTGATATAATTTATTTAATTGTAAGTTTACATAATTTGCTTTCAATAATGACTGTGCTTAACAACCAGCTTGCAAATTCCTGAAAACTTACCAATCAGCTCTTATGAGCCAGTACAAGTCCATGCCAATACCCCACTGACTGGAAGAAAGAAATGCTGACGGAACTAAGTAAAGACAATGAGTTTAGAATGTGAAGGATGGCTTGCAGTATTGAAATCCCCAATTTCTCACTTTCCAGAACCAGGGGTGGAAATTTTAGGGGTTTGCACCCACCTTCCATGCAGTAGCCCATTCTTCAACATTGAGAGTCATGATTCTGAAAGCACCAAAGGTGGTAGATGATGAGGTTGTGGAATTTAAGGCCTTGTGAGAAAAATGAGTTAGGGGTTAAAACTCTTGAATGAACCTATGAAAGTCCCTCAAAAGAAAGGAAGGAACAAAGGAATGAAGAAAAGATATAGATAACATTTTATACACATTAAATTAGTAAAAACAGGAATTGGAACCTCCATTTCCATTTCCCAGACTTGCTCACGAATAACTTCAGGGCCTCTGTTTCTCCAGAATTTACAGAACACTTGTAAATTGGATGTGATTTGTTACAAGAATAATGATGTACGGAGGCTTTTTCATTTAACAGAGTCTGATATGGTTTGGCTGTGCCACACCCAAATCTCATCTTGAATTGTAGCTCCCACAATTCCCACAGGTTGTGGGAGGTACCTGGTGAGAGGTAATTGAATCATGGGAGTGGGTCTTTCCCATGCTGTTCTCATGATAGTGAGTTCTTATAAGATCTGATGGTTTTATTAAGGGGAGTTCCCCTGCACACACACTCTTGCCTGCCACCATATAAGACGTGACTTTGCTCCTCATTCACCTTCAGCCATGATTGTGATGCCTCCTCAGCCATGTGGAACTGTGAGTCAATTAAACCTCTTTCCTTTATACATTACCCAGTCTCATGTGTGTCTTTATTAGCAGTGTGAGAACAAACTAATACAGAGTCACAACTCAAAATGTTGCACAAGGTCATGTTTATCCTACCCAGACTCTAGGAAAGCAATGAGGGAGAGCTGGCTCTACAGAGAGTACATTTCTCCTAAAGACAATTGTAAGACAATATAAATGGCACCATAGATAGACAAATACAGCAGGAAGGATGCCTCAAAGACAGATCCTAAACTAAAAAAAAAAAAAAAAGTACTTGCTAATAGTAAAATCATTAAAAAAAATGGAAAGGGAAATTAAGTCAATTGAGGGTGTTAGAAGCACACACACACAAAACAACAACAAAAAATAAAAAACAGACTAGGACGCACACTAAAAACAGTATCATATGTGGTGATGGTATGGGGGCAATTCTTATTTTCTACCTATCTGGGAGAAATATTTATTTACTGGGAGATATATTTATTTTTTGAATAAACATATAATCAAGACTTGAAAGAGCAGGGAGTAGATGATGAGAAATTACTTAATGGACACAAGGTACATTATTCCAGTGATGGACACACGAAAAACCCTGACTTCACCATTATGTAATATATCCATGTAACAAAATTGCACTTATGCCCCATAAGTTTATACAAATAAAATTTAAAACACACAAAATCACTTTCATAATAGAGAAAACCCAATAAGAGCATTTCTACATACATATTTTATTTTTATTTTTTTGAGACAAGGTCTCACTCTGTCACCCAGGCTAGAGTGCAGTGCCGTAATCTTGGCTCACTGCAACCTCTGCCTCCTGGGCTCAAGCGGTCCTTCCACCTAGGCCTCTTGAGTAGTTGGGACTACAGGTGCACACCACCACGTCTGGCTAATTTTGCAATTTTGGAGAGACTGAGTCTTGCCATGTTGCCCAGGTTGGTTTTAAACTCCTGGACTCAAGCGATCCACCCGCCCCAGCCTCCCGCAGTGCTGAGATTACAAAGTGCATGAACTACCATGCCCAGCCCATTTTTACATAAATAAACAAATGATGCTGGAACAAGTGCTTACTGCTTAAAGTTACAGTCTTACCCCAAGACAAATCTCATAATGTTAAATTAGATAGTATTAAAGTAGAAAACAAAGAGACTAACAATCTAATAGAAAAACGATGAAATAAGCATGCAATTCACTTTAAGATGAAAACAAGTAGCCAATAACTGAACAACAAAAAAATTACCTCTACCCAGAGAAATGCAACAGGAAACTAATATTTCATCCACTAGATTGGCAAAAAGTAAAGTTATTTGATATTCCATTTTGTCATGCCTGTAGGCAAATAGTCTCTATTTAAGAGAATAAACTGGTACAGTCACTTTGAAGTACAATTTAGGAATGTGTCTTAAAATTTACACAAGCTAGAAAACAACATTTATATTTTTGTATATCTACATAGAGAAGCACCCCACACACACACATACACATATGCCAGTTAGTAAAAATTCATTTAGCTCTTCATGTACAATAAATGCACTTTTCTGTATGCATTCTATACTTCAATAAGAATTTTTTAAAAAGAAAAGAATGAATAATATGACTAACACTCATGTAATTATCATCCAGAATTGACAAATATGAACATTTTGCCACATTTAAGATTTTTTATGAAAGAAATAAAACACTGTTAGTTTTTAAAAATGCAAAGAAATTATAAACTTTAGTAGGCTTGTTGGTGGTGATAATATTGGTACAACAATTCTAAAACCACTTTGTAGGATTGTGCAAAAGAGTAAATACACTCAAATTTTTGGAGGTCCATCCAGAGTTGTAATGGTAGGAAATATGAAGTGAGGGAAGGAGCAGAAGCCTGGGATGTTGGATTGGAATTAAAGGTATCAGTGCAAACTCATCACTTTTTTTTTCTTTTTTTTTGAGACAGGGTGTTGCTCTGTCACCCAGCATGGAGTGCTGCAGTGGTATGATAATAGCTCACTGCAGTCTCGACCTCCTGGGCTCAAGCAATCCTCCCACCTCAGCCTCCCAAGTAGCTGGGACTACAGATGTATGCCATTATGCCTGGCTAATTTTTTTAATTACTTGTAGAGACAAGGTCTCACTATGTTGCCCAGGCAGGTCTCGAACTCGTAGGCTCAAGCAATCCTCCCTTGTTGTGCTGGGATTACAGGTGTGAGCCACTACACCTGGCCAAACTCATGCTTTTTAAGACATATGTCTTAGCTTTATCCTCTGAGAAAGCCTAGAAGCAATGACACCCCTGTGGCAAAGAACACACCTGACACCTAAATTGTGGTTTCTCAACACCATTCCCCATTAAAACAAACAAACAAACAAAAAATAGGGTTTTGAAGAAATGGCTGATTCCAGGGGTCTGGAGAAACAAAAACATAAAGTGAGCTTGAAACATCTTACTGTGACAGAAAGTAAGATAAGGTCAAAAAGTTGATGGAGATGTAGCAAGAGAATGCAGAACCCATCGCAGACAGTTCTACTGGCCAAATTAGGGACAATATGAACATCAAAACGATCAATTACAGAAATGGATTTTAGCATATTGATTTGAAAAAGACTCCATGAGTCTGTACTGTCACTAAAAAAAGTAAAAAAATAAAAAGTGGGAAAGAAGAAGAGAAAGTCTGATTTACAGAACATTGGCAACTAATAAATTTAGAAGGAGTAATAGAGAGTAATACCAAATTACCATTTTGCAAATGCTATAGTAATCATGAATTCTGAAAAGAATCATTAATGGATGCTAAAATGATTGGTTGAAATTCTGAGGAATATTTACACAGTCTAAAATTATCATCATTCCACAGATTACTTATTAACTACAAGTAGGACCTTTACAATGGAGAAAGGTCCATAACTGAGTGATTAAACTTACCAGGGGTGACCATAGCCAATAACTGAATTGTACATTTTAAAATAACTAAAAGAGTGTAATTGGATTGTTTGTAACACAAATGATAAATGCTTGTGGGAATGGATACCCCATGTGTCTCCATGATCACATTGCATACCTGTATCAAAACATCTCATGTACCCCGCAAACACATACACCTACTATGCACCCATAGAGATAAAAAAAAAAAACTTACCATGGGACAAATTGGCATCATAAGCTGCCTGACATGATGCATTGAGAACTACACATTACCTAGGTAGGATTTTTCCAAAAAACGTTAAACTTTGTGTAATCCAAATCCAAATAGAGGGTCATTCTGGAGAAGAAAAAAAAAAAAACTGATGAGGACGCTTCAAAAATGTCAGTGTTGGCCAGGCGTGGTGGCTCACACCTGTAATCCCAGGACAAGGTGGGTGGATCACCTGAGGTCAGGAGCTCGAGACCAGCCTTGCCAACATAGCGAAACCCCGTCTCTACTAAAAATACCAAAAATCAGCCGGGCATGGTGGTGCATGCCTGTAATTCCAGCTACCTGGGAGGCTGAGGCAGGAAAATTGCTTCAACCTGGGAGGTGAAGGTTGCAGTGAGCCGAGATCTTGCCACTGCAGTCCAGCCTGGGTGACAGAGCGAGACTCCGTCTCAAAAAATAAAAAATAAAAAAGAGTCAATGAAAGTTAAAAGAAGAAAAAAAGAACGGATAGACTGTTCTAGAATAAAGGAGACTAAATACCCATGACAACTAAATGCAATGCACAATCTTTACGAGATCCCAGATTGGGGATAAAACAACAGCTATGAAAGACATTATTGGGATAAGTGAGGGAATTTTGAATATGGACTCGATGTTAGATAACAGTAGTATGTTAATGTAAAACTTCCTGAGTGTGATAACTGTATTATGGGTATGTAGAGAAATGCCCTTGTTCTTAGGGGATACTCACTGAAGTATTTAGGGCTGCAGTATCAGGATGTCTGCAGGTAACTTTGAAATGACTCAGCAAAGATAAAGAGAGAAAGCAAATGTAGCAAAATATTAACAGTGATGAATCTAGGTGAAGGATATGTGGGTAATCGTTGTATTATTCTTGCTGTTATGTGTGTTGGTGTGTTGAGAGAGGGTCTTTCTCTGTTGCCCAGGAAGCAGTGCAGTAGTGCGATCACAGTTCACTGTAACATCTAATTCCTGGACTCAAGTGATTCTTGAGTCGCTGGGACTATATGTGTGTGCCACCATACCCAGCTAATTTTTTTATTTTTAATTTTTTATAGTGATGGGGTCTAGCTATATTGCCCAGGCTAGTCTCGATCTCCTGGCCTCAAGAAATCTTCCTGCCTGGACCTGCCAAGGTGCTGGGATTACAGGCGTGAGCTACCATGCCAGCCTCCTGCTTGTGTTTTGTTTTTTGGTTTTTACCCCGAGACGGAGTCTTGCTCTGTCGACCAGGCTGGAGTGCAATGGTACGATCTCGGCTCACTGCAACCTCTGCCTCCTGGGTTCAAGCGATTCTCCTGCCTCAGCCTCCCAAGTAGCTGGGATTACAGGCATGCACCACCACACCCAGCTAACTTTTTTGTATTTTTAGTAGAGACGGGGTTTCACCATGTTGGCCAGGCTGGTCTCGAACTCCTGACCTCATGATCCGCCCGCCTCGGTCTCCCAAAGTGCAGGGATTATAGGCATGAGCCACCGCACCCGGCCCTGCTTGTTTTTATCATTTGAATTTTTCCAAAATAAAAAGTTGGGAAAATGAATGAAGTATATTTAAACATACTTAAAAGAGCTGCAAATCCCAAGCTAAAAGGAAAAAGCAAGTTATAAAATAACACATAGAGCATGATACCATTTAGTTAAAAAACACAGAGAACATTACTGTAGATAAATAGATGCTGTATCTGTGCAGAAAACAGAAAACAGTCTAGGTGTTTTGAGCAGAGAATGACTAAACACAAGCAATCAGGAAGGGAATGAACCAAAAATTAACATTTAATACCTTTTAAGATTTAAACCATATGATTAGTTTATAAGTTATTCTCATTTTCTTCTTTGTATTGTTTTGCATTTTCTGAATTTCTAAAATGTGCAAGCAGTACTTTTATAATTAGGAAAAAGTTACTTTTCAAAGTCCATCTGTAGTTTTTAACAAATTCAAAGCTGCATCTGATTCTGTTAGGTAATCATAGTCTAAGCTTACTGTATGTTTATTGTATGACTTTGCTGCCCTCTAGTAACACTAAACAATACAGAAAAAAAGAAACATCAATTCTTCTATCCTTTATACCCAGAGAGCATGTTTATAACTGTCGTCTTCCATAATATATCTGCTTCAAATTTTTTTCAAGAGGCACAATAATGTATGAATGATACTGACCCAACAGGTGGTAAGCGGGTTCTTTCAGAAAGGGTGCATAGATTGGTATTTTTGCTTTTTCATTGGTCACACTATTCTCAGATATAAAGTGTCCATTGTGAATGTAATATAAATATCTTGTTCTACTATGGTTCTGAATAATACTCTTTCACATAGTAACACTAGAAGATATAAAATACTGAACTGAACAAAATGATTTCAAATGCCCATTTTACATGAAATGTTTGAAGAAAAGTTTACTACTGAAGACACCTTGGAGCTGTTCATTGTAATTATCTTGCAGGAAAATGTTCTGCCTCAGCCCCCAAAGTCCTTACACATTTTCTAATGATAAAGATACTTAACTGGCCATTGGCACTGTTAGGGCTCACAATACCACAAAGCATGCCACTTTAGCATGCTGAGTACTTTGAACTAAAGGAGATTGGAAAACCACAGAAGGAGCCTCAGAACCAGGGTCTCTCTGACCTTCTCCTGCCCTCCTGTCTCTGGCCCCTCTTTCTTTCCCAAAGCACAGGGAGAGGCTCTCTGAACTTCTCATACCTGCCTAAAGATAGATCCTCCAAAAAGAAACTCAATTGTCATGAGTCTCCTCCCCAGGAATCTCTTCAACCAAGGAAGATCAACTGCAACCCAAGAGAAGAGACTGAAGGTCAACATCATGCCCAGAGAGACTTGGCACAGGCTCTAACACCTATTCATCTTTTCCCCAAATTATTTTCTCAACCTTAAGCTGCCTACATCCTTCCCTGTCTCTCCCCTTTGAAGAAGGTATATAAGCTTCTCAATATCATTCGGTTATAGGGTACTCACTTTTTCCTATGATGCCCCTGTGCATATAATAAATTTGTGTGCCTTTTTTTCCTGTTACTCTGTCTACTATCTATTTACTTCAGTCCTTCAGAGGGTAAAGAGAATGTTTCCTGTCCCCTACAGCACATAGAAAAAATAAACTCAAACTGAAATTTCTATCATTTTATATCAGTTCTTAAGATGTAGTACCCTATTGATTTCGTTCACAATTATAATCACAATTAGCAATTAATTTGTTTATTGACTTTTTACATCTCTAGCAGCTGACTACAGTTCTAGGACAAAGAAAACATCTGTCTTATTCACTGTTGTGTCCCTACTGCCTAGCACAATGCCTAGAGCATCAAACATGTTCAATAAATTTTGTTGAATGAATGGGTAAGAGAAATACCTGGTCTAAATAGAAGATACATCTTAAAAATAAACTAGGATGAACAAGGTAACCTTCATTAAAACATTTACTTTTGTTCCAAGGTTGAGGGGTCACATCTGGTGAAGGCCTTAGTTTGGATAAAGAGAAATTTCACTTTCTTTTGGTTGAAGAAAGTGTCATTTTGGAAAATGAAGAAATGACCATTATAGCTGAATTGCCAAAACACTCATGAGTGGAATACATTTATAAGAGTTGAATCTCCACTGGGGATACTAATGTGGCCAATAATTTTTAAAGTAACAACTTTATTTAAAAAAATAAATAAATAAAACCTTGGGGTCTTTTAAACCTGGATTGAGTCAAAGTTTTAGTAGAAACAATGATCTCATTCAATTAGAACCAATGGCTACATTTTAATAGAGTTTGATACAAAGTATAAATTTACTAACAATTTTAACTAGGACCATTTATATGCTCTAAACAGAGGTACTTATCTCTATTAGCAAGTTACTTGCAATAACTATGTGCCTGCAGGAGAGAGAGCATTCCTCACTGTTACTTGCTGCTTAAATGCCTGCTTGTGAGGATGTATGTGTGCATAGTTTTTAAAAAGAAAGAAATAAGAGAAAAACTCTGTTGAACAAAAGCTATAGGTGAAGAGTTATTAAGCAAGTGAACTTTTAAAAACAATTGTATAAGGTACACAGATAAAATTTACCCTACTATAAAATGAAAATAACTCTTTAAGCAAATATACGTAACACAATAAAACATCATTAATACCAACAATAACAAAAAGGAAATTTATTATAAGGATTCCAAGAAGATCAAGGGAACTCACACATGGCGTGCAGTCCAGCTTCTGGAAGAGTCAAGGACCTGGGAAGGTACCAGAAGCCCTCAGAGTATCCTTTCTGTCCTCATTCTTCTCTCTCGCTACATTGACTAGTTTTCTTGGCTCCTGAGTTGACATGTAATTTAAGGCTTTCCTACTGCTTTTGAGTTCATTGCAATTCCAGCCATAAGCAGGGACTCACTGTCTCTGTTTCAAGGGCAAAATCTCGGGAGATTCTGATCAGCCCACTTTGCATCAGCCAGTACAATGTAACTTGGTGTCTTAGTCCATTTCTTTTTTTTTTTTTTTTCTTTTTGGGTGTGTGCCCTTGTTGTTGTTGTTGATACAAAGAAATACCTGAGGCTAGGGTAATTTATAAAGAAAAGAGGTTTATTTGGCTCATGGTCCCACAGGCTGTACAAGAAGCATGGCACCAGCATTTTTTTCTGGTGAGGGCCCCAGGAACCTTCTACTCATGGCAGAAGGTGAAGGAAAGCCAGCATGTCACATGGTGAGACAGAAGCGAGAGAGAGAGAGAGCGAGAAGAGGAAGTACCAGACTCTTTTAAACAGTAGGTTCTCATGGGAACAAATAGGGCAAGAATACACTTGTTACAGGATGACACCAAGCCATTCAGGAGGCATCTGCCCCATGATCCAAACACCTCTCACCAGGCCCTACCTCCAACACAGGAGGTCACATTGCCACGTGAGATTTGGAGAGAACAAATATTCAAACCATATCACCTGGCTTCCTAACTCACGGGGTACTCTTCTCCCTAGAGGAGGCAGTTCCCAAAGGTGGAGGGGAGATGTCTATTACTACTTTAAGAACTAATCGGCCGGGCGAGGTGGTTCACGCCTGTAATCCCAGCACTTTGGGAGGCCGAGGTGGGTGGATCACCTGAGGTCAGGAGTTAATGACCAGCCTGGCAACACAGCGAGACCCCGTCTCTACAAACATTCGCTGGGCGGGTGGTGTATGCCTGTAATCCCAGCTACTCGGGAGGCTGAGGCGGGAGAATCACTTGAACCTGGGAGGCGGAGGTTGCAGTGAAACGAGATCACGCCACTGCACTCCAACCTGGGTGACACAGCGAGACTCCGTCTCAAAAAAAAAAAAAGAAAAGAACTAATCTACTTCAGTAATTTATAATACATTGAGATCATGCTTTAGAAATAAAGGGTTGTTACCTGTAGAATATGTCCATTTATATCAACGTAGGGTAAAATATTTATCACTAATTCAATAAACAGATAATGTCCAATAGCATTCAGTCAACGAATATTGTCTATTCTGTGCCAAGAGCCATTGAACATACTGTGAAAACAGCAGTGAACAAAACATAAAAATCTCTTCCCCTATTGTCTTAGTACATTTTGTGTTGCTATAACAAAATACCACAGCTTAGATAATTTATAAAGAACAGAAATTTAGTTCTTATCGTTTTGGAAGCTGGAAAGTTCAAGGTTGAGGGGCCACATCTGGTGAAGGCCTTCTTGCTGCACCACATACCACGGCAGTACGTGACAGGGGAAGAGAGTACAAGAGAGCAAGACAGAAAGGGGGCTGGACTCATGCATTTTATGAGGAAGCCAATCCCAAGATAACTAACCCACTAATCCAGCGACCACCACATGAATCCATTCATGAGGGCAGACCCTTCATGACCTAATGTCTTAATGTCTCACCTCTCAACATTGTTACATTGGGAATTAAGTTTCCAACACATGAATTTTGGGGGATACATTCAAACCGTGGCACCCATGAGTTGACATTCTACTTTAAGTTACTGCAGAACTGCCTTCATCAAAGTAAGGTCTAAATCAATCTAAAAAATTATTACATTATTTCTTCAGCCTTTTTCCAGAATAGAATTATTGAGATGTCCAGAGTTATAGTTTTTTTAAAAAAAGGAAAATCCTAGATCAGGGACTCCTAGGCTGTTATATTTCACCTACCAGATAAAATTTTTTAAAGATAAAATAAAAAATTGAGGAGGGCCTATAGCTTTTACTACATTTCAGTTTTCCAAGTAAGGGTATGAAGATAAACTCACAGACTACCATATATTAGCATCATTGTTTATAGAAATAAAGAAATTTTCTCATCTTAACATGAAAGAGAAAAAAAGGCACATAATTTCAGAATAAAGGACTATTTCTTCCAAGAAAGGACATCTGGTTACTCTATACACACAGACTGTCCTTCCTCTTTTATTTTGGCAGCTGAGTAGGGAAAACTTTTCACAAGTTCACAGACCTGAATTTGGTAGTCATTGTTCCAGACTGCATGGTTTAGGACTGAGTTGGCAAACCAAACTGCTTATTGCCTATTTTGTCTGAATCTGTGTGTCAATTAATCCATGTAAAGTCACAATTTCATGGGAAAAATACTAACCAGAATTATTGCTTGGAAAGATGACTTTTTTTAAAGGAACAATTTATTGATTGAAACAAAATGGTTGATGTATTAGTTCTTTGTCTTCCCAGGATACTAAAAGCATTGCAATATTAAATGGTGATGACATACTATATCAACAAACAAATTAGTATATTTGATACTCAAAGTACAGAAGTACTTTATCAAGTAATTAGTTTCTGATAATATACCAGCTGACAGGCAGTTAAGGTAGCTATTCAATTTCAGGAATTTAATTTCCACAATCTCTATAACTTCTGATAGAAGAACCTTTGGCTTGCTTGGGCAGTAAGATAACTTTTAAATGTTTAACTTTGCTCTTTAACTATATAAATAGGTAGACTGGCAAAGTTATAAATAAATCTGTTGTATCTGAATACAACCATGCACTGCATAATGATGTTTTGATCAATGATGGACTGCATATATGGTGGTGGTCCCATAAGATTGCAATGCGGCCAGGCGCCGTGGCTCATGCCAGTAATCTCAGCACTTTGGGAGGGTGAGGCAGGCGGATGACCTGAGGTCAGGAGTTCGAGACCAGCTTGGCCAAATGGTGAAAGCTCGTCTCTACTAAAAATTCCAAAAATAGTCATGTGTGGTGGCACGTGCCTGTAATCCCAGCTCCTCAGGAGGCTGAGGCACAAGAATCGCTTGAACTTGGAGGCAGAGATTGCACCACTGCACTCTAGCCTGGGCAACAGAGCTACACTCTGTTTCAAAAAAAAAAAAAAAAAAAGATTGCAATGGAGCTGAAAAATTCCTATCATCTAGTGACATCATAGCAATCATAATACTGTAGCACAATACATTACTCATGTGTGTGGTGATGCTGGTATTAAGAAACCTCTGTTTCAGTGGTATAAAAGTATAGCACATACAATTACATATACCACATAAAACTCCATAATGATAATAAATGACTATGTTACTGGTTTATGTATTTGCTATACCAGTAGTCCCCAACCTTTTTGACACCAGGGACTGGTTTCATAGAAGACAATTTTTCCATGAACTAGGGGGTGGAGGATGGTTTGAGGATGATTCAAATGCATTACATTTACTGTGTACTTTATTTCTATTACAATTACATTGTAATATATAATGAAATAATTATACAATTCACCATAATGTAGAATCAGTTGGAGCCCTCAGCTTGTTTTCCTGCAACCAGATGGTCCCATCTGGGGGTGATGGGAGACAGTGACAGGTCATCAGGCATTAGATTCTCATAAGGAGTGCACAAGCTAGATCCCTCATGTGCAGAGTTCACAATAGGGTTCGTGTTCCTGTAAGAATCCAATGCTGCTGCAGATCTGACAGGAGACAGAGCTCAGGTGGTAATGCGAGTGATGCAGAGTGGCTGCAAATACAGATGAAGCTTTGTTTGCTCACCCGCCGCTCACCTCCTCTTGTGCAGCTCGGTTCCTAACAGGCCACTGACTGGTACCAGTCTGTGGCCTGGAGGTTGGGGACCCCTGCTTTATCTTATTTCTCGCATATTTAGTGAGGCCTCATCAGTTGTTAAGGCCCAGCTATTTATCTTCCCCCCAAATGTATATATTGAAACACTAATCCCCAGTGTGATAGCAGAGGAGGTAGAGATGCTGGAATGTGACTAGGTCACAAAGGTGGAGCCCTTATGAATGGGATTAGTGCCCTGGTAAGAAGCTGAAGAAACCACAGTTGTCTCCCTTCCACCATGTGAGGACTCAGCTAGAAGGTACCATCTATGAACCAGGAAGCAGACCCTCACCGGAACACAAATCTGCCAGTGCCTTAACCTTGGATTTCCCAGCATCCAGAGCTGTGAGAAATAAATTTGTTGTTTATAAGTCACCCAATTAATGGTATTTTGTTGTAGCAGCCCAAATGGACTAAGACATCAGCTAATGTATATAGAATATTTTTTACATATTTATTGGCTTTGTGGCTTCTAACATTTTAAAAATAAACTTAAAAAAAGAGAGAGAACAATGTCTACCTTTGGCCACTTGCCTCCTGCAGGGGTGGGAGGTGGTTGGGGACGCCTATACTATACTTTTTACTGTTATTTTAGAGCGCACTCTTTTTACTTACAAAAAAAAAAGTTAAGTATATAAGAGCCTCAGGCAGGTCCTTCAGGAGGTATTCCAGAAAAAGATATTGTTTTTATAGGACATGATAGCTCCATGTTTGTTATTTTTCCTGAAGACCTTCCAGTGGGACAAGATGTGGAAGTGGAAGACAGTGACACTGATAATCCTGACCTTGCGTAGGCCTAGGCTGATGTGTGTGTTTGTGTCTTAGCTTTAAAGTTTAAAAAGTAAAACAAAATAATTAAAATGGTAAAAATAGAAGATATTTTTGTGCAGCTGTAAATGTGTATTTTTTTAAGCAAAGTGTTATGCCGGGCACGATGGCTCACGCCTGTAATCCCAATACTTTGGGAGGCTGAGGCAGGTGGACGACCTGAGGTCGGGAGTTTGCGACTGCCTTGACCAACATGGAGAAACCTTGTCTTTACTAAAAATACAAAATTAGTTGGGCGTGGTGGTGCATGCCTGTAATCCCGGCTACTCAGGAGGCTGAGGCAGGAGAACTTCTTGAACCCTGGATGCAGAGGTTGCGGTGAGCTGAGGTTGCACTACTGCACTCCAGCCTGGGCAACAAGAGCAAAACTCTGTCTCAAAAAAAAAAAAAAAAAAGTCAAGAAGTTTTAAAAAATGTCTGGGCACGTTGGCTCATGCCTGCAATCCCAGAACTTTGGGAGGCCGAGGTGGGCAGATTACTTGAGGTCAGGAGTTCAAGACCAGCCTGGCCAACACAGGAGCTTGTGGGGTGTGCGGATCATCTCTACTAAAAATACAAACATTAACTGGGCATGGTGGTGCACGCTTATAATCCCAGCTACTTGGGAAGCTGAGGTGGGAGGATTGCTTGAACCTGGGAGGCAGAGGTTGCAGTGAGCTGAGATCACGCCACTGCACTCCAGCCTGGGGATAGAGTGAGACTCTGTCTCATTGCTTGAACCTGGGAGGTGGAGGTTGCAGTGAGCTGAGATCGCGCCACTGCACTCCAGACTGGGTGACAGAGTGAGACTCCATCTCAAAAAACAAAAACAAAACAAAACAATAACAACAAAAAAGTTTTAAAAAATAAGAAAGCTTATAAAGTAAAAAAGTTATAGTAAGCTATTTATTATTGAAGAAAGAAATATGTTTAAACATTTAGTGTAGCCTAAGTGTACAGTTGTTTATAAAATCTACAGCAGTGTACAGTAATAACCTAGGCCTTCATATTCACTTACCACTCACTCACTGACTCACCCAGAGCAACCTCCAGTCCTGTAAGCTCCATTCCTGGTAAGTGTCCTATACAGGTGCACCATTTTTAAAGCTTTTATGCTGTATTTTTACTGTATCTTTTCTATGTTTAGATACAGATACCATTGTGTTACAAGTGCTACAGTATTCAGTACAGTAACATGCCGTATAGGTTTGTAGCCTAGAAGCAATAAGCTATGCCATACAGCCTAGGTATGTAGTAGGCTACACCACTAGGTTTGTGTAAGTATGTGATGAAATTGCCTAATGGCATATTTCTCAGAATGTATCCCCGTCAAGTGACAAGTGATTGTATTGTGGCTTACTTTAAAATGAGAGGTACTCTTCCCTCTATCCATATCCAATCACCACTTTTACACTGGGAGAAATTTTTGAAATTTCAGGCCACCATAATAACATATTTGGCTTCTGGACCTTGTCTTTGCTACCTCTACCCTAATTATTTTACTGCAAATCTTTCTCTTGGCTCAGGTGTCTGGAGGCTGATCAGGCACAATTTGAATCTTCTATGATTAGAAAAGGGAGTTCAATTTCACTAGTGAAACACTGTTGGAATCAGAACTTACACCAATGCTGAACAGCCAGAATATAAGAACTGAGAGTAACATAAGTAGAATGGAAGCCAGATGTTATTAACCCTTCCTATTAACTAGAAGAAAATGTTAATGTTATAGAGGATGCTCTTAGCTCCAAAACTGAGTCCTAGTTGTGCACATGTCAAATCTAATTAAAAATATAAAAATTAGGCCGGGTGTGGTGGCTCATGCCTTAATCCCAGCACTTCAGAAGGCCGAGGCAGGCGGATCACAAGGTCAGAAGTTTGAGACCAGCCTGGCCAACGTGGCAAAACCCCGTCTCTACTAAAAATACAAAAATTAGCCAGGTGTGGTGCCAGGTGCCTGTAATCCCAGCTACTCGGGAGGCTGAGGCAAGAGAATCGTTTGAACACAGGAGGCAGAGGTTGCAGTGAGCTGAGATCGTGCCATTGTACTCCAGCCTGGGCGAGAAGAGCAAGACTCCGTCTTAAAAAACAAAACAAAACAAAACAAAAATACAAAAATTAGCCGGGTGTGGTGCCAGATGCCTGTAATCCCAGCTACCCGGGAGGCTGAGACATGACAATAGCTTGAACATGGGAGACAGAAGTTGCAGTGAGCTGAGATCGTGCCACCGCACTCCAGTCTGGGCCATAGAGCAAGACTCCGTCTCAAACAAATAATAAATAAATAAATAAATAAAATAAAAAGAAATGCTTGGAGTGCTCGGGATCTTCCACTTCAACCTGGAATTTAAATCTTACTGAAATTTCTACAGGATGGTGTGGGCAAACAGGCATCCTAATGTTTGCTGATATAAGTGCAAACTGCATAACTTCTATAAAAAGAAATTTAGAATTAGCAAAATCATAAATGCATATATTGAGATCTAGCAATTTCAATTCTATTTCATCCTACAGATGTAACAGTTTTTCAAAGCTTTTCATTACAGCACTGATTAAGACTAGAAATAATCTAAATATCAATGTTTATGGAACTGGTTAAATAAATTACGGTATATCCCAACAATGAATCACTACGCAGGTGGGTTAAAAAAAAAAATAGACGGCCGTGCGCGGTGGCTCACGCCTGTAATCCCAGCACTTTGGGAGACTGAGGCGGGCGGATCACGAAGTCAAGAGATTGAGATCATCCTGGCCAACAGAGTGAAATACAAAAATACAAAATAAATTAGCTGGGCGTGGTGGCACGTGCCTGTAATCCCAGCTACTAGGGAGGCTGAGGCAGAAGAATCACTTGAACCTGGGAGGCGGAGATTGCAGTGAGCGGAGATCGCGCCATTGCACTCTAGCCTGGGCGACAAGAGCGAAATTTAGTCTCAAAACAAACAAACAAAAAACCAAAAAAACACAACCCTTCATATACAGATATGGGCCGATCTCCAATCTACGGTAGGCTAAAAATGCAGCTTACACACCATCTGTGTAAAAAGGGGAACACATTAAAATATGCATATTTATTTGCTTTTATGTTCATGGAACATCTTTAGAGGATCATAAGAAACTGTTAACATTGCCACTGAGGAAGTGAACAGCCTTCCAGACATGGGTGGATTTTTTTCACTCTACCGAATACCCTTTTAATTTCGAAACATCAAAATGAATTCGCATGCACAGGTGCATGCCCGAAGGAAAAACTTCTAGTTCGGTGATGAGATAGGGAAAGCCGGTGAGTTCAACCTTAGGCGCAATCACCCTGTGAAGGTGTGGCCAGCGAGGGCTTTGTCACGCAAGTCTGAGAACTGTCACAACCTTCCCCACCCCCTGCTCTATTTTCCTTCCACTTGTTTCTGAAACTCACTAAGCTTTGGAAAGTATTTAGTCATAGAATTGCTTGCAAACTTGGCATTCTTTAGAAAACACGGAAACACTTTTGCTTTCCTTGTTCCTGAAAGACTGGGGAACGGGGGACATCAAGCCAGGTAACATTGTATCATAACTGAAATTCAATGTCTTTGAAGTAACATTGTACCATAAATGAAATTCAATGTCTTTGAAGTAACATTGTATCATAAATAAAATTCAATGTCTTTCTAAGAGCTCTGTAGCTATAAAGCTGTAGAAATACAAAGTATTACTCAAGAATAACTAGTAATTACCAATAGTCACACCTCAGGTCAAAGTTTGGAGAGGACTATTCCACCTACTAGATCACACTTTCCTTCCCGAAAGCCGCTTCTCTCTCTGGCCTCTCCCCTCCTCCTCCTCCCTCATCTGTTTGGCGGGAGGCTTCCTCACATTACCGCTCCGCGTAAGTGCGAAGACGCACTGCAGCAGCGCCGTCTGAGGGACAACAGAGCCTACTCTTTCTTCTCATCTCTATGATCCTCTTTGTGACCTGTCAAACAACACCAGAGTTCCATGCTAATAGTACTCCACTCCGACAGAGAGCGATGCAAAGAGCCGACGCTCTCGCGAGAGGTGTGGGGCTCTCTCTCTCTCTCTCGCTCTCTCTCTCTCTCTCTCTCTCGCTCTCTCTCTCTCTCTCTCTCTCTCTCTCTCTCTCTCTCTCTCTCTCTCTCTCTCTCTCTCTCTCTCTCTCTCTCTCTCTCTCTCTCTCACTCTCTCTCTTTCTCCAAGTATTGAGAGCGCGTGGGAGCATAGGCGCATGCGCGCTCGTGGGGTGCGCGGTAGCAACAGAGGACTCGACCCGGCTGGAGCTCCGGAGAGCGCGCGTGCGCCGTCACGAGCTCGGCGCTGCCGGGGCCGCGGTGTGGAAGCGAGTATTCGACCGCCGTGCGGGCCGCGGGGATGTTCCGAAAGGCCCGGCGGGTGAACGTGCGCAAGCGGAACGACTCCGAAGAGGAAGAGCGGGAACGCGATGAGGAGCAGGAGCCGCCGCCGTTGTTGCCGCCGCCGGGCACGGGCGAAGAGGCGGGCCCCGGTGGCGGCGACAGGGCCCCTGGCGGGGAGTCGCTGCTGGGCCCGGGGCCGTCGCCGCCTTCCGCGCTGACCCCGGGCCTCGGGGCTGAGGCCGGGGGCGGCTTCCCCGGCGGCGCGGAGCCCGGCAACGGGCTGAAGCCGCGCAAGAGGCCTCGCGAGAACAAAGAGGTGCCCCGGGCCAGCCTGCTCAGCTTCCAGGACGAGGAGGAAGGTAAAGTGCGCGCTTCGGACGCCCTTAGACGGCCGCATCCCCGACGCAGGCCCCCGTCCCCCGCCCCCGTATTCTCTGGACGCCCAGCCCCGGAGCCCTGGAACGGAGTCCCCTGCCGTCCGACCGGCTGCGAATCTTCCCCAGCCTCCGGCCTTCTGCTCGGGCAAGGGACGCGTTCCCGCGCTGCCCCCAGCCTTTTCTTAACCACCTCCTCTGCCACGGGGCCGGAGCTCAGATCAGGCATTCAGAGTGTTTCAGGGGAAATTCGGTGTTCCCTGTCCTGCCTCTTTTCTGCCTGGCGTGTTTCAGGGCCAACTTGGTGTGGGTCCCCTGGCTGCTCTTGGCATGCTTTCCGAGCCCTCTGCAGGTCACTGCGCCCACACTTCTTGGATGCTCTGTCCAGGCATCCTCGACCATGAAGGCCGAGTTTGTAAAAAGGAATACTAGGAGAGGGAACAGAAGCCTGGAGTTGCAGCTCTGGTTCTGAGTGACCTTGGGCCAGTCCCTTGCAGTCGCTGAGCCTCAGTTTACCCATAAAAGTAATTAGGGGTAGCAGATACCCAGCCTTCTTCGCACTGACTTTGGGAACAGTGAAGCGAGACGGTGTAAAAATAGTAAAAGCAAGGTAGTTTCTCCAATTCCTGTGGGAGGCCAGGCTGCAGTGGTTTTAGATTGCTGATCTTAAATGAGCCTTAAATCTTTTCTTCTGACCATTTGAATGTGCATAACCCAGTTAATTCCATGTTACGAAAAAAGAAATTAAGTTTTGTAAATCTTGCATTTTTATTCGAGAGGTTTCCAGTAAGGTAGGTAGTTTATCTTTGGCATTTCTGTTACTCTTTATTTGGTTTGAGAGGAGTACAGACAGATTTTTGTTTTTGAGATACATGAGCTATTTTTTTTTAAGTATTTAGTACTTTTAAAATTTCAAATCAAAGAAAAGTGATTTGCCCTTACCTTAGCTTTAAAACCACTATGTCAGCTTGTGGTGGATGTAGTTACTCAGAATTGACAGCACCTTTTTATTTTAGATATTTTGTTTCGGATTCGTTAATAACTTGGTGATGTGGTTTTTCAGAAACATTTTGAATGATTTTTTCCCCTCTCAAATAGATGATTTAAGGACGACAATAATAGGAAAATTTTGTGAAGTTACATGTGCTATTCCTTTAAAAAGTCTCAAAAATCTCATTACTTCACAGTAATTTAGGAAGTTGACCTCTGTTTTTGAGTCTGTGACAGACTTGAAATAATTATACAATGATTTTGGCATATGAGTATATATATTTGGGATAATTTGGACAGCACGTAAGATCATGTGAAAGAAGGGAAAATATTTTCAGAAAATAGTTGCTACAGACTTCATTTAATTTCCTTTTTAAGAAAATGAAGAAGTTTTCAAAGTGAAGAAATCAAGTTATAGCAAAAAGATAGTAAAATTGCTCAAGAAGGAATATAAAGAAGATCTTGAAAAATCGAAGATTAAGACAGAACTCAACTCATCAGCTGAAAGTAAGTACCAAACTAATTGAATTCTTTTGAAATGACAAAATGAAAGCTCTTTCTCACAGTGATTTGCTGTATATCTTCTGAACTCATTCAGTGGACCCTGTGGTTGTCAAGGGCCCTTATTGAGTAGCAGTACAGTTCTGTTATTTAATTGTAACACAGATGCTTTGTAAATGTATTTTATAAGAAGACAGAATTGTTGCCACTGGAACATTTCTGCTGCAATGACTAGATTCTCTCACAGTTTTCCTACTTGTGTGCAGACTGCTGTTGAACAGAGAAAGAAGGTTTCTCATTTTAGCCTAAGACACAGGTTTATTTCTGTTTGAAGGAGTGTTGTGCAAATTCTTGTATTTTGTAGAGACAGATTTGCGATTTCTTTGGTGGTATTTCCACAGTGGATTTTATTCTTAGAGAACTTTTAGGAATGCCCTAAATTTAATATTAGTATTACTCCCATTCAGCAGCCTTATCTGATACTAGATGAAGACTCCTTAGAATAATGAGGCAGGTATATTGTACAGACATCTCTTACGTCTCTCAAAACCTCAGTTTAAAAAATTTTAAGCGGTTATTTTGTCTTTAGGAAAGTGGATCCAGTATAATATTCTATGGTCTGAGTTATTCTCCTGCAAATGCTATTTTATTTTATGGAATTAATGAGAAAATCATGATTTTCCAGATTCTCACTTACAGGCTTATTGTGAAAAAGTATGGCTTTGTATCTCAAATTTACAATCTAGATGTGAAGACAATATCTCATAAATGTGTAAGAGGACTCAGTGTTTGGCAAAATGTTCAATCAGTGTTCCAAAGGGTGGCTACTCTTTCAGAGGAGAGAGGACTGCTTTATGGAAAAAGTGGGACTCGAAGATGGATCTTTGATAGTTAAAATTCCGAAAGGGAAGGTATTGGGGGTATGATCAAGGATTAAAATGACTAAAGCTGTTTTGGAAAAGAACAAGTACACCTGACAGGTCAGAGTAGATGATTTGTGAAGGAAGTAGTTAGAAGTTTCATGTGAAAGATACGTTGACAGATTGTGAAGGATGTTCAGTATCCAGTAAGGGTTTACATTTGCTACAGTGGCTTGCCAAGATGGTGACATGATAAATGCGTTTTGAAACTTTAGCCTGGTATTAACATGCAGCATGAGGAGAGATTGGAGGCCTAAAGCAGTTTAAACTCAAGGGCCAGCTTTGATCCATTAATAGTGGGTTTAAAAAGGTCTCACAGTTGAGCAAGAGTAAAGGCTTCTACTGATTTAGTAGGAAATTCTGGATGAGTTAAAAATGTTTTCTGTTGTTTTAGGGGGAGAAGTGGAAAGAAAGAATGATTTGAGAACCATTCCAAGGGAAGAATTGATAGGCTTAATATACACTTTGCCATATTGGATTTAAAAGAAAGAGTCAAATTTGAACTTTTGTCCTGGAGTGTCTTAATCCATTTTCTGCTCCTGTAACAATACTACAGACTAGGTAATTTATAAACAATAGAAGTTTATTTGGTTGACAGTTCTGGAGTCTGGGAGGGCCAAGAGCATGGCACAGGCATCTACTAAGGGCCTTTATGTTGTCATAACATGGTAGAAGGGCAGGTGAGTCTCCAAGACAGAGAGAGAATATCCTGCCAAACTCATCCTTTTATCAGGAGCCTGGGATAATGGCATTCACCTTCTCATGTTGTAACTGCCATTTAAGGGCCCCACCTGTTAATAACGTTACAATGGCAATTAAATTTCAACATGAGTTTTGGAGAGGACACTCAAACCATAGGGTGTCTTGGTTATGAATAATTATATATAGGAATAGAGAAGGCAAGTGGAAGGAGGAATGTTTTTAGGAGAACTGGTTATTTTGGAGTCTAGGAAACTGCCTTATTTTCCTCAGAATTCTTGAGACCAACTATATATGATGAGAGTAAAAGAAAGGTCAGGATAAGTGACAACTGAGAAAGGCCTGTTGTCATGGTTGTTGTATTAAGTCTGTTTTCATGCTGCTGATAAAGACATACCCAAGACTGGGAAGAAAAAGAGGTTTAATTGGACTTACAGTTCCACGTGGCTGCGGAGGCCTCAGAATCATGGCAGGAGGTGAAAGGCACTTTTTACATGGCGGCAGCAAGAGAAAATGAGGAGGAAGCAAAAGCGGAAACCCCTGATAAACCCATCAGATCTCGTGAGACTTATTCACTGTCATGAGAATGGCACGGGAAAGACCAGCCCCCATGATTTAGTTACCTCCTCCTGGGTCCCTTCCACAACACGTAGGAATTCTGGGAGATAAAATTCAAGTTGACATTTGGATGGAGACATAGTCAAACCATATTAGTTGCCATTTATTGTTGGGTTTAGAAATTGAAACAAGTGTGAAGTTGATGAAGCCATCTCTGACCTCTTCCATCCTTCTATCCTCATTGAATTCTGATACTCCACTCACTAGATAACTCCAATTAATGTCCTCTGAAGGCGGAGTCTGATTGTATTGTAGGTTGTCATTGGTAACACTGAAATGAAGGTCTGTCATTAATTGGCAATCCAGAACTCTTCCTACCTTCAACCCTCTATAGTAGGCAGAGACAATTAACTTCAAAATAACCACGGTATTGACTTGAGAACCCCATTTTTCTGATATTCTTAAAATAATGAGTTCTCTTTTTAATTTGAATTTGAGTGGAAGTAGTCAGTGAATACCTAGAGATGTAGATTTGGGGGTGGTGCTTATTGCGGTGATAATTAAAGGTGAATGGAATTGATGAGGGAGCCGTATATAAAGGAAAAATTCCTGAAGACCAAAGACTTCTACTCTAGTAAGCCTACATGTAGAGGAAGGGATTTACCAAAGAGATAAAAGAATCAGGAAGGCCAAAGAGGAAAAGAGAAGAATGTTTCAGGAAGATGATGGTCGCTTGTGTGAACTAGTACAAGAAAAGTCAGGAAAAGTGAGGACCAAGGAGGGGCTATTGGCAAGATTGCCCAGCGTTTCTCTTGAGGGCTTCTGACAGGATGGATGGGAGTGGCCCACCAGCCAGACCCAGTGCCCTCAGAGATGTTTGGAAGAAGGAACATCTTTTGCTAAATTGCTTGATGATGCTATCATATATGAATTAGCCGTGGCTGCAGCCATTGGGTTAGGTTGGGTGAAATCAAAGGCTGTTTGTAGGGTCAAGGCACAAAAGTTGGAGAGGAAGTAGAGGGCAGCAGGTCCACACTGCTTCCTTGGGAAGTTTGGCAGAGAGAGACTAGGCAATAACTAGAGGGACCAATGGAGTCAAGTGGGAAAGCTCTTTTGATGAAGAGAAGCCTGTCCCTCTTTGTAGAAGAGGAGAGGGAGAGCCTGACCAGGTTTAAGGTGAAGTGGGTAATAATTGTGAGCAGGTTTCCTGAAGTAGTAGTAAATGAAATTGAAGGCATGAGTGGAGCCTTGAAAAAGGTTATTTAACATCTATATAGAGATGTCTGGAAGGGTAACATGTGACCACTGACATTCACATATCACCATGCTTTCGGCTTGTGTTTGCTCAATCATAAGCAAATACTTGTGAATTTAATGAAACATTGAATCCTAAAATTTGTAGGAATCATTCATTATCTGAGCATATCTGATGTAGTAGACCTTTTGTGCTTTTGTTTTTAGTCCATTAACAGCCATTGGTTTAGCATGGGTAAATTTGTTTTGTTTTTGAGGTGGAATCTCGTTCTGTTGCTCAGGCTGGAGTGCAGTGGGGCGATTTCACCTCACTGCAGCTTCTGCCTCCTGGGTTCAAGCGATTCTCCTGCCTCAGCCTCCTGAGTAGCTGGGACTACAGGTGTGCGCCACCAAGCCCAGCTAATTTTTGTATGTTTAGTAGAGACAGGGTCTTACCATATTGGCCTGGCTGGTCTTGAACTCCTGATCTCAGGTGATCCACCCGCCTTGGCCTCCCAGGGGATTACAGGCGTGAGCCACCATGCCTGGCCTAGCATGGGTTTAGAGCAAAAGGAAATAGGTAGTTTTTACTCCATCTAATAATGTGATAAAGTGAGTTTTAAAACCTTATAGCTTCATAATCCATTTCAGAGGGAAGTCTGGGTAATGAGAAAATGGTAAATGAAAAAAAAAAAGAAAAAAAATGAAAGAGCCTAAAAGAGGTTACCTAAAATCTTCTTGGTAAAGTTAAAAAGAGGGGAGGGATGTTATCTCTGGGACTGTTACTTAAGGGAGTACAGTATGGTTTGAGAAGAAGGAAGAAGTTTGAAGCAGTTTTGGGGACAGGAACATTCTAAGGAAATGACAGAAAAATATCTTTCATATTGAGAATAAACTTTTGCTTTACTCTTTCAGTATATTCCTTGTGCCTGTTGTGAGCATTACCAGGTTCAGTGCTTCAAGGTGAAGCACTTCGATTTTTGCCTGGGACAGAGGCTGTATTAGGATTATTTAATTGTAAGTAATGTAAACCAGGACAGTTTATCATTAAGATGTAGTGGTGCCTCCTGGATGACAATGGCAGGAAAGCAATCTTGAAATGGGCCTCAGGAGTGGATTAGAACTGAGAATTAGGAGGCTCTCTTCTCTGTCCAGATGGCACAATGTGGCCATTCCTCAGCTCCCTTCCTAGTTTACATATTCATGTAGCCTTTAGTTTCAGTCCTGATTCCAGATTCCCAGAAAGAGAATCTGGTTATCTCTGCTTCAGTCAGAAGTCCACTCTTAAACATTGAGTCGTGGTAGTGGGGTCAGGCTTGCACAGTGTAAATGTGACTGCTGGGATCTCATCTCTTTAGGTGATAGGTGACAAGTGGTTTTGAGCTAAGAAGGTATTCCATGTAAGTGTCCATTACTAAGAGACTTAGCTGGACTGTAAATGTGCTTTGTTCATAACAGAGTTGCCTCGCATGGGCTTAGGGTTTAATGAAATACTAACATAAAATGAAGTAATGCTTGAAAGAGGTACAAGCAGTTCCTTGTGGGAGTTTAGCAGAAAAAACAGTTAATTTTGATAAATTGTTGACATTTTGATAAAATTAACTGAAGGTGGAATGGAGCAGGGCCTCAAATGCATCCTTTATTACATCCTCTGTATTATTTTTACCTAATCCTGTCTGTTATGCTGTTTCATACTCACACACTCAAGAGTTATGAGTTTTTAACAAACAATTAATTCAAGCTTTACTGGATTGAGCCCATAATTGAATGAAAAGTTCCCCTTTTTTTAATTAAAAAAATTTTTAATGATGTCAATACCATTGGAATAAACTTTCTTAATTTATGAATTTTATTTTACATATATTTTAATTCTTCAAAAATTTAGGTGAACAACCTTTGGACAAAACAGGACATGTTAAGGATACAAATCAAGAAGATGGAGTTATCATCAGTGAACATGGTGAAGATGAAATGGATATGGAAAGTGAAAAAGAGGAAGAAAAGCCAAAGACTGGTGGAGCTTTTTCAAATGCTTTATCTTCATTGAATGTTCTTCGTCCAGGTGTGTACTCAAAAGTATTTCTCAGAACTAAACTAAACCCTCAAGAATGGGCCATCTTTAAAGATGATTATTAAGAAGGAATTAGCTGAGTGGTGTTTCTTATTATGACATTGCTGTTTGAAGAGGGAGTTTTTCCATTTGCAAATATAAAAAATAGGAGAACCAGAAGTTTCCCAACTTTTCCAAGTTTATTCACAGACAGGTAATTGTATTTTGCAAATAAGTCTTCAAGTAAATGGAAAAATGGTCCTGTAGTCCTTTTTAATGTATTTCAGATTAAGACTGACTTAACTTTCTTCTGAACTGCTGCTAAAAGCAAAACTAGTTTCTGTTAGTTTTTTTTTTTTTTTTTTGCTTTTTGAGGCGGAGTTTCCCTTTTGTTGCCCAGGCTGGAGTGCAATGGCACGATCTCAGCTCACTGCACCCACCGCCTCCCAGGTTCAAGCGATTCTCCTGCCTCAGCCTCCTGAGTAGCTGGGACTAACAGGCGTGCACCACCATACCCAGCTGATTTTTGTATTTTTAGTAGAGATGGGGTTTCTCCATGTTGGCCAGGCTCGTCTTGAACTCCCAAACTCAGGTGATCCGCCTGCCTCGGCCTCCCAAAGTGCTGGGATTACAGGCGTGAGCCACTGCACCCGGCCTAATTTCTGTTAGTTTTATGTCCACACTCCTTTTTACTTTTCTGCAAAAAATAGTTTGCAGGTCTATCCACTGGCTAATCAGCCTTTGAATAAATAAGTGCTTAGTAGCCAGATTTAAATTATGAAGCAGTACCATTTAACTCCTGTTAATGTTTATACAATTTAAAAATATGCTACTCTGGGCTGAGAAAGTTGTAGTAAATTCTATACATACATCACTAGTGGCAGTCTGATTGGTACAGTCCTTATGGGAAGCTCTTTGGCAATATGAATCAATAGATTTCAAAATGTTCTTACTCTTGACCCAGTAATTTCATATCTAGAGATTTATCCCAAGGAAACCATGTTTTTATTGGAACATTTGCAATGAGCAACATTTAGGAAAAAATGTCTAGCAGGAGGGGAAAGGTTTGTTAGAAAATTACAGTACATTTACTTGATAGGATATTATGTAACTGTTAACAATTAGGCAAGTAGGGAGGCATTAATTTTTGCTATACTCAAAAGGTCAGTTAATGTGTGCGGTAGATTATGCCTTATCTATGCAGAAAATGTTAAACCATTAAAAATTATGTTTATGGAGAACAATAACATGGAATAAAACTTATTATGATATGAGAAATAGGTACAAAATTAAATATTTAGTATGATTACAGGTAAACTAAAAACTATCTGCAAGAGAAATGTACTATACATCATATAGTGCCTTTTCAGGGTCATGAGATTATATTATTTTTATCTGTTTTCCAGCATCATAATACAGTTTCATTACTTTTTTTTTTTTTTTTTTTTGAGACGGAGTTGTGCTCTTGTTGCCCAGGCTGGAGTGCAGTGGTGCAATCTCGGCTCACTGCAACCTCTGCCTCCTGGGTTCAAGCGATTCTCCTGCCTTAGCCTCCCAAGTAGCTGGGATTACAGGTGCCCGCCACCACACCTGGCTAATTTTTTGTAGAGATGGGGTTTCACCATGTTGGCCAGGCTGGTCTTGAACTCCTGACCTCAGGTGATCCACCTGCCTCAGCCTCCCAAAGTGCTGGGATTACAGGTGTGAGCCACTGTGCCCGGCCACTTCTATTTGTTAAAAATGAAAAAAAAAATTATAGCTAAAATAAAACTGCTTTGGTGGGTTTTTCCTTTTTACCCCGTCCCACTCTTTCCCATATATATTACCATTATATGTTCTTTTTAGTTTCCTCAGTGACTTTTATATTCCATTTAAACTCAATTAACAATCTTTTGGATTGCAGACATAGTATGGGAAGGAGGTGCCAGCAGCTGAAACATCACTGTGATGAGGCTATCTTGGATTATTTTACCCTTCATATTTTCAAGAAAATAGAAACTTTGCATCTCTCATACTGCCATATTCTTACCATTTGTTTCTAGGAGAAATTCCAGATGCAGCTTTTATACATGCTGCAAGGAAAAAGCGCCAAATGGCCCGAGAATTGGGAGATTTCACTCCTCATGATAATGAGCCTGGTAAAGGCCGCCTTGTTAGAGAAGATGAGAATGATGCCAGTGATGATGAAGATGACGATGAGAAACGCCGGATAGTTTTTTCTGTGAAAGAAAAGTCACAAAGACAAAAAATTGCTGAGGAAATAGGTAACTTGATTTAATTGAATAGTAAGCCTATTGCATTGCCTTTTTTTGTTTGTTTTAAGGCAGGGTGTCATTCCATCACTTAGGCCAGAGTGCAGTGGTACAATCATAGCTCACTGCAGTGTCTTGACTCGTGGACTCAAACAGTCACCCTTGTCTCAGCCTCTCGAGTAGCTGGGACTACAGGTGTGCGTCACCACACCTGGCTAATTTTTTTATTTTTAATTTTTTTGTAGTTATGGGGTCTCACTGTGTCTGGTGTCTTAACTCTTGGCTTCAAGAGATCCTCCTGCCTTGGCCTCCCGAAGTGCTGGGATTACAGGCATGAGCCACCATGCCTCAGCCTCCCAAAGTGCTGGGATTACAGGCATGGGCCACCATGCCTCAGCCTCCCAAAGTGCTGAGATTACAGGCATGAGCCACCATGCATGGCCTCTAATGCTATTAAATGTGATTTGATATTATAGTCAAGTAAAAAGTATTTAGACTTACTAAATTTTATGTTAGAGGACTATTCTTGGGTACAAGTGTTTTATTGGAATTTTTAAAAACTAATATCATTGTGATAACTCATGTTCATTGAACATTTATTGTGCAGCTGGTATTGTGCTTAGCAGTTTACATGCGTAAATTCATATAGTTCTATATTCCTAGGAGGCATTAGATTTTGTTCCCTTTGTTGATGTCAAGTTTACAGAGATTAAGAAACACATCCAAGATTTTAACTATTACATTAATACTGCCTTTAGCTTCAAGGAATACTGTGTTTAAAACAGGCAAAGTCAGGACTACCAAATGAGAGAGGAGATCATATTAGACATTTTAGTAAGATTGAGTTAATAGTTTTGCTCAGTTCTTGTGAAATGTCAGGACAGCATCTTTTACCTCTTTGCTCTTTGGGTGTTACTTACTTTTCTTTGTTGCTCATGGCTGTAGGAATTGAGGGGAGTGATGATGATGCTTTAGTAACTGGAGAACAGGATGAAGAGCTCAGCCGATGGGAACAGGAGCAGATAAGGAAAGGAATTAATATCCCTCAGGTACGACAAAAGAATTAAACTAAAAATTAAAAGTAGATTAAAAAGCCTTTTTTATTTTGTTAAAGTAAAAAATTCCGTATTGAATCTTTGTCATTCATTTCAAGTAACAAAATCCCATGAGGAGACACACACACACACACACACACACACACACACGCACGCACGCACACAGAGACACGTAGGCTTTTAGAAGAAACTGCAGTGTGTTCGGCTTTTTGCAGTCAGAATGATGGAGGAATTTCCAATTTCTTAGATGAGTTTTTCTCAAAGTGGTCCTTCAGTTAGCATTAGCATTACCCGGTAGCTCATTAGAAACGCAAATTACCAAATTATCAGCCCCCAGAGACCTACAGAGTCAGAAGCTTGGGGTGGTGGGGCCAGCAATCTTTGTTGAACAAGCCCTCCAGGTGATTCTGATGCACACTAAAGTTTGAGAACCATTGCTTTAAATGGAATGTTTTTGTGCGTGTAGCTTATTTTTTTGGACTTTAAGAATTATTTTGAAGAAGATGGATTTCTCAATAATACAAAAAACTTGAGATCGATGAAAAATATCTTCCCAGTTATAACAATTTGTTTTATAAAAGTAAGTAATACAGTGAGAAAAATTGCATAAACGTAAACCTATTTTTGTTAATAGTGTTTTGAGGCAGAATTCGCATACATTTGGGTGAAGTTAAGAAAATGGCACAATAGAGAAAGTCTTGGACTGGATGTCAGGAGTCTTAGATTCTAATCTCTGGTTGCCCATTGATTCTGTGACCATGGGCAAGGCATTTATCCTCTTTCATTGATCAAAGGTGGCCTTAAATGATTTTTGATGTTTCTTCCAACTCTGAACTCTGTTTTTCTGAAAATTATTAGAAATAAATTTAGTGATTCCACCAAGAGATAGGACATTCATTCAATCCTGCTTTTATCTAATTTTGAAGAATTCTGCAATTATTACATAATATTTGGCAAATAGGTATAATTTTTGCTGTTGATTTTTTAACCCTAAAGGCATATTATTATTTTCAAAGTTTTAACTACCAGATTTCATCTATATCCCATTTCTTTTCTAGGTTCAAGCCAGTCAACCCGCAGAAGTGAATATGTACTACCAGAACACTTACCAGACAATGCCTTACGGCTCATCCTATGGCATTCCTTATAGTTATACGGCCTATGGATCATCAGATGCCAAATCTCAAAAAACAGATAATACAGTCCCTTTCAAAACTCCCAGTAATGAGATGACTCCCGTTACTATTGATTTGGTAAAGAAACAGCTTAAAGACAGGTAGGGCAGATCAACTTCTTAAAGACCTGTCCGCTAGCTTTCTGTTCCCTCAGGCAACATGTAGTCTGGGGTAGCAGATGCAGAATATCAGCAAAGAAGATTCACTGGCCCAGCTTCAAAAGCTAAACAGAAGATGACTTCATACTTTGTTCTGCTACCTTCTTGGATTACTTCTGTGGAAGCCTCGAAAAATTATAAAAAATGCCACTCCATGATCTTGTTGAAGACATTTCTGAGTTTGTACCTCTTGGACTCTGAAAAAGTGTAGTCACGCTATGGGGGGAAAAGCAAAACAGTGAGATTTTGGTTAGCCCACAAAACTGTGAAATCTGTAAACTGCCATTTTTTGTTTTTTGAGAAAAAAAGCAGTACAGAGGAAAAGATGCCATTCCAAATATTTTTATGTTCTAATAGTGGAGCTAAATGCATATTTTAATATTGCAAGAGTCCTGACACCATAGACCTTTGGATGTAAATGTGTTATATTTATCCTTTTGTGTTCCTAAGGTTGGACTCCATGAAAGAATTGCACAAAACAAATCGACAGCAGCATGAGAAACATCTGCAAAGCCGAGTGGACTCTACCAGGGCTATTGAAAGATTAGAAGGGTCTTCTGGGGGTATTGGTGAACGGTATAAATTTTTGCAAGAAATGCGAGGGTATGTCCAAGACTTGCTTGAGTGTTTCAGTGAAAAGGTAAGAATGCAAAAATACTAATCTCTTTGAATAAGGCAAAATTAGGGAGGTCTAGATGGCCTTGTGTAGAACATTCTATAATTCTCAGAAAGTACCCACTGAACTCAACATTAGAAGTGATGAAAAGTCATGCTTCATTTTTCTTCACTTCATTAGTGGCATTATCTCTTAAGGGCAATATAATACCTTTGTTGAAAACAGAAATAAAGATAATATCTTAAAGCACATTTAAATAAGACTTTGGAAAGTCTTATTTCAATATGGTGGTAGATTATTATTGGCCTGTGCTGAATTCTTAGAATATAAGGGACTCATCTGATAAAATTTTCTTTTCTGGTTCAGGTTTAAACTTATTTTTAAACGTTTCTACAAGCAATTCTAAATATGCATATAAAGTTGCAAATTTTTATTAGTTTTTTTTTTTTTTTTTTTTTTACCCTGGATGATGATTACCATTGTTGCTAATAGTTTTTATCTAAGTAAGCCTATGCTTGATTTCTTTCAGAAACCATTTCATTGGATATCATTTTTTCTAAGGTTTCATTTCTCCCAAGTTTGTTTTTTTCAATAGGATAGTCAGTTGACAAAATGTTTGGCATTCTTATACTATTTATTGTTTACATTTAAAATTAGGTGCAAACAGCTAGTTTCTCAAATGACCTCCTAATTGATTTTTTTTCTTTAAGATAAAAGTATTGGTTGAGGCACTGGTTTATAAGCATTTGTGGACTTTGCAGCCTTATCTTTAAAAAAAAAAAAATTAAAACTGTGGTCCTTAAATATCCTGTCTGAACTTTGGATTGGAAGGCACATTTCCCTTTGTTATTGGCTATGTAGATTAGCTTAGAATCTGTAAGCATATAGTGTGGTTAAATATGTATTTCAACTTTTGTTATCTTTGTTGATTACTTGAATACCCTAAAACCAATGGCTGGGAAAAGATCATTGCCAGACTATGTCTTCCTGATGGATCTTTCTTCCTGATGGGTCTTAATGGTTCCAGTCAGTCTGTGGCCAGATTCAGGATGAGATAACATTCACCATGTCCTCTCTGTAGGGTTTCTCATGTTTTGTCTTTATCACCTGGTTTCTGGAGAAGCAGCTGCAGTCTGAGTTATGATACCACTTGTGGTGTATCAGTTGCTTAGGGTGGGGAAGAAGTATAGGCTTGTCTGTATTCCTCTGTGCCGGGAGCTGGAGTCAAGATTGGAAGTGGAACCTAAGTGTCAAGAGTTGACAGTCATGTCCTTCCTACTGGCAAAACTCTTCTGAGCCCAGTGGGCATGGTGGGAGCTGGTCTCATAACCTTTGTGACTAGAGAAAGGATCTTTTTCTTAAACTATGCTTTATGAGTTTGTCCCTGGAGAGCTGCTTCTTGAAGTGTCTTGGCGCTTGCTTCGGAACTTTCTTGAGTAAATTAAGACATTCATAATTGCAAACACAACTCTAAAAAATTTGACAGTAATATGATCAGCTAGATCATACCAAAAGTAGGACAACCTAGTTTATAGTTTTTAATTGTTGAATTATTAGTGTATTTCATCTCGATTACCTTGTTCCTAGAGAAGTTTACTTCAGATTATGCTAATGTGGTTATACAGAGTCACTTAGATTTTTTGGAACAAATCTTAAACCTTATACAGTGACTACGTTTTAATTAAAAGAGAGGTAGACATAGCTTCATTTAAAGATGAGTATTATATTTCATTCTAACATTTTCATGTGTATTTCATTTTAAGAGTACTGCTCAGCTTAGATCTTTAGAAGATAATCTTAAAAATAAAGAAAAAACAAAAAAGTACTGCTGAGTTGATAATATAAATTGTTATATTGGAGATACTTAGAAATAATTGGATACTTTGAATAATTATACTATAATAATATTTCAGAGTTAACCGTAAAAAGATAAAGATCCCTTTTTTTTTCCTCTTTGCTTATGAAAGTTTAGGTGGTTTTTAAAGAAGTTTTAAATATTTGTAAATCATTTTAACTTGCCATTGTTTTTGTTTCCCTGTAATTATCTTTCTTGGGTTCTTTGCCTTAACTTTGGCCCTAAAATAGTAATAATTGGTGAGAGTTTTGAGTTTGGAGAGGATAAAGAAATTGTCACGGTGCAGACTCTTGAGATAAATCAATATTGTTAAGAAACTTGAATGAGAGCTCACAGTCTGTTTAGGGCTTTTATTCTCAGTAGAGTTTTTCTCTGGACCTCCGGTAAAAGGCATTCCAGTTAACCTAAAGAGAAAAACTACATTGTCAGAATCTTAACTATATGTTGCAAAATTATATTCTGTATGATGCCAGCTTAGGTGGGTAGTTCCTACAGTACAGGAAGCTTAACAATCTCTAGGATTAAAAGATAAAAGAATGCCTCAGGCTCATTTATCTTTAGTACTTCATGGTTTAAAAAAAAAAATGAGGGCATGGGGAAGTGTAAATGGCAATGTTGTGGCAGTAATTGCTAAAAAAAAATCAGATTATAATAAATTTTAATGATAGAGTCTCTGGACTCAGCTATCAAGGATAATCATTACAGATTTGGGGACATTGTTGCCCATGGTGTGGCATATTAAAGAACAAAATAACTCCATTAGTTTGACCTTTCTGTGAACATTTGCTACTTTTGCAATGGAATCATGCAAGTATATAAAATTGCTTTTATTACAGACATCTCTGTATTCCACCTGCCTTTTTTTATTTTCCATTTGCAGTCTGTTCAGTTCAGGAAGCTGCTATAACACTTGGTGCCAGTGTTCCCAAACTCTAAATAATGTGTTTTCCATTTGCACTAACCATCAGGAAACTAGAATTTCTGGTTTCCTCAGGTATGTGTAGTGGTCATTAGTGTTACGTGAAAGTCTCATAGCATTTGATTATAACATAAGGTATTTAGAAAAAGAAAGTTTTCTGTTTTAAGTTAGCTCTCATGTTCTTTTGTATTCTATATGAATCAAGTAAATGCTTTAGGGATATTAACCTGGAAAAATTATTGACTTTGTAAGTTCACAATTCATGTAAAGAAATTTTTATAAAATATGGGAGAATTTAAACATTTGACAGGAAGAGAACAACTTTTTAAATTTGAGATATATTGAGTTCAGAGAGGTTAGTGATAGCTGGAAATTTTATTCGCCCTAGTAATTATTTTGTTTACATTAAAAAATCTGTAATAAAGCTACAAAATAGTAAACAGATTACTGTAACGTACTTGGTACATATGAGTGGCAGAGCAACTGAAATGTCCAAAATTGGAGAATTAGCAGACTCTTGTTCTTACCTACTTATAGAGCCATTGCACTTTTTTGGTACCACACAGTGATAATGTTTTACTTTGAACTACAAAAATCGCAATGCAGATAATGCTGCTGGAAAATTAAAAATAGATATTAAAAAGACTTCTAAGTACTTAAATATTCTCTAAGGGAAAAGCTCTAAAATTGTTGACATTTCTTTACTTGTTCTATGAATACTGAAGTGTTACATTTCTTAACTAATGTTTGCTCCAATAACTAGGCACTGGACATTATAGCTCTATGCATGGATTAAAAGAAGAAGTGTCGTTTCCCAAACATAAAACAGAATTTGCTACTTGTGTGCTGTTGGGGATTCATGATTATTCTGTCCATAGAGAGGGTACTTTTTCAGAAATCCGGAAATAGTATGGAACCCTCAAATAAATAAGCAGCTGAGGAGTTTGGTGTTACGGAGTGTGTTGTATTTTTACAGGTGCCACTGATTAATGAACTTGAATCAGCAATACATCAGCTGTACAAACAGCGAGCTTCCCGCCTTGTCCAAAGACGACAAGATGATATTAAAGATGAATCTTCGGAGTTTTCAAGCCATTCAAGTCAGTCCATCTTGAAGGTTTTTATTATTCATTAAACAACCTTGTTTACTTAGTGCAGCCTAATTGAAAATTAGAGATCTTGGAGCTTTTTTTTTTTTTTTTAAAGAAACAATTTCCTTGCTGTTGTGTCAGGTAGATCTAAAAATGGTAACAGCATGTACTTGAATTGTGTTTAAGAAAATAGAGCTTCACAAAGGAGCTCAAAAACGTGCTAAGATTCTGTCAGTCTTCTTATTCTTTGGGCATATTTTTTCATTCTCCTTTAGAGTATAGAAAAGACATTATCCGTATTTTATGTTAAAACCATTATCTGTTTGGCCCTAATTGGTTTTTTCCCCCATTTTCATTCAAAACACCAATACAAATAAATGCTTTTGTTGATCACAGTGAAAGAGTTTGAGTTTAGGGACTGGGACATGTTGTGGGTAGGGGGAGGGAAGCTATAACTTAACAAATGACACAACTCCAAGATAGGAGAGTTTTGAGCTTCATCCTTTGGATAAAGCAAACTTTTTGTAATTTCTTTTTAAATGTTTCTCTAGTTTGCTTTATGTACTGTGTTTTTTAGTAAGTCAGTTGGTGCTTACAATTCTTGAAATTTTGTATACAAATGGATAGAAATTGAATTTGTACTTCCATCATTATGACATGTGTTATGGAAAACCAGAATTAGAAACCTCTTGTTAAATAGTTCAGCGGAGGTCCTTTAACTGGATGTTTTAAACCGTTTAGTTCCTTTTTTTCCGTTACCCTCCATATTCTTGAGTGCGCTAATAGGAATTTTCCTAGTGTGAATTCCTTGTGGTTTCTTTTGTCATTTCTTTGTTCCCTTTGTCAGCATTTCTCAAATGGAAGTGTGCATCACAATTACCTGATACTCGTTTAACATACAGATTTTCTGGTTCTATCCCCAGTGATTCTTACTAGGTCTTCAGCATCCAGAAATTTGCATGTTAAACAATCTCTCCAGGTGATCAAATGCAAATAGCTCTAATGTTATTCTTTCAGAAAGCAATGCTTTGCTATACATGGTCTCTAAGTCAGAGAGACATAGGATCCCTGAAAAAGCATCCTCCTATATGTCAGATGGGTTTTGGAGAGGCATAAACAGATGGTAATACGGCCCTCATAGCTGAGGTAGTCTCAGCTATGAGCCCTATAAATGGCTATGACCTTCTGTTTTTGCCACTGAATTTTAAATTGGATTATTGACATTAGCCACCTACATGACTCATGCATCCCTCCCAGATCACTTTTGATCCAGACAGAACCAGATTTCTGGGGCAGATTACAGGTAACCATTATACTACAAAGGGAGGTAATTTTCTTTTAAGTTAGATGGTTTGTGTGAGCTGTACATTTCATCAAATACCTTTTCCCATCTGTAATTTGTTCTTGAGAATATGGAGCTATTTACTTAGAGGGGATTTGAAAGAAGAGTTGAATTATTTATATTAGTTTGATTGAAAGTTGGAAAGAAATTAAAAGATACTGGGAAAGTGAAAAATACAGTCCTAGAGGGAGTATACATTAATTGCCAAAGATTTGAGGAAAATGACATGGGATGCTGGAGAATCAATTCATTTTCTGATCTGTTTTTTAAAGAAGTAAAGAATAGTCTGAAATTCTTCTGTTTAGATTTATAAGCACTTATCTGCAATTACTGTGTATAATTCTTACAGAAATGGAGGAGGCTATCACTTGAGTCATGTTAGACTCACCTGTCTCCTCCAGTGCACATTTTACAAAACCTATACATGCAGTGATGTTTTAAGTATAATGTTTTTTTTTTTTTTTTTTTTTTGAGACGGAGTCTCGCTTTGTTGCCCAGGCTGGAGTGCAATGGCGCAATCTCGGCTCACCGCCACCTCCGCCTCCCGGGTTCAAGCAATTCTCCTGCCTCAGCTACGCCTGGCTGATTTTTGTATTTTTTTTAGTAGAGACGGGGTTTCACCATGTTGGTCAGGCTGGTCTTGAACTCCTGACCTCGTGATCCACCAGCCTCAGCCTCCCAAAGTGCTGGGATTACAGGCGTGAGCCACCGTGCCCAGCCGTATAATGATATTTTTAAAAATATTTCTTGAAGGAAAACTCTTGAGTCTGGAATTATTTTTATAGTTTGGGATATTTTAGCTAATTCATCTGGGGTGTGTAGTGAACTCACATCTAGGGCTGGGAAATCTTTCTGGTTTAGTAATTTTTCATTGTAATTGATGCACTCAGGAACATACCTCCTTCCTAATTTCAGAGCTATTTTGAAATATGAATGAAAAACTCAGTAAAAAAAAAAGTCAACTTTTAAAAATAGTAGGGTCTGGTCAGGCACGGTGGCTCTCGCCTGTAATCCCAGCACTTTGAGAGGCCGAGGCGGAGTTTGAGACCAGCTTGGCCAACATGGCAAAACCCCGTCTCTAAAAATACAAAAATTAGCTGGTGGCGGGTGCCTGTAATCCCAGCTACTCAGGAGGAGGCTGAGGCGGGAGAATCGCTTGAACCTGGGCGGCGGAGGTTGCAGTGAACTGAGGTTGTGCCATTGCACTCCATTCTGGGCGACAAGAGCAAGACTCCGTCTCAATAAATAAATAGATAGATAGATAGTAAGGTCTGATAATTAGGATATTCTGAAGTAAGAGCTAAATTTTGGTTTTGTTTTTCCTGTTGCTGATTTTGGTGACACATCTCTGTTGATATCAGTAAATATCAATTGATAAGTAAAAAAATATGCAAGTCTTAACTTGGATGTCTTTCATCTTGCATGTGCTCACCTCCCTCCCCTCTCACCCAGTCGTTTGGGTTGTTTGCCTCCCCTTACTGTCATATCTTCATAGTGTGGAACTAAAACGTAGAAATGAGGGAAGTATAGTGGACAGATGTTTCCCCCACCCCTTCTTTTACCTAGGCAAGAGATTAGGGGAGTCTTTTTTGATTAAAGAGAGTAGGTCCAAAATAAAGACCCTGAAACACTAAAATCTGGGGATCCCCAACAAAAGAACTGGCTCAGTACCTAGTGATCCGACGGAGACACCTCTGTTAGACAGCTCCTGCCCACACACACAGCTTCCAGTCTTGCTCTTCTATATGAACAGGCAGTTAACGATGATCATAAGGACCAACCTGAGCAGCAGAACCAAAGGGACTGAGGAAACAGACAGTGCTGGTACAAGTATGCAAGTTTTCTGTAAACAGATTACTTTCAAACAGTTGGGAGCCCCAGGGAGATAATAGAAGGTATCCTACTCAACAGGAGTATATAGAATGCTGTAGAAGAGGAATATTGTAAGAACAAGAACTATCTCTTGAAAACTAAAAATATGATAACTGAAATATAAATTTAAATAGGATTGGAAGCTAAAGCTAGGAAATTACCCTAGAATGTTTTTTGAGAAATGGAAAATACGAAGACCAAAAAAATAAAATAAAACTATGCTGTGAAAGAGAAAGATTAGCATTTGAGAAGGCGGAAGTTGGTCCTGCTCAGATGCGGTTTTCAGATGCCTTATTCTAAAAATAGTGATAGAAAACAAATTTCTACAAAGCAAAATTACAATAAATTTATTAAACTCTTGCAACAAAGCTGTTTTCTTATGTCTTCCTATGTTTTCCTGCTGTCATTCAATGTGATGCTGAAGTTCTTCCTCCTTAAAAATGTAATATTTTTCCCTTTGCACAGGTAATTTAGAGTTTTAATTTATTTGGTCATCATGATAGCTATTCCTGATAGCTGTCCTGTTACTTAGACATAAAAATAGTGAGTAAGCCCAATTACATATTTGTAGGGTTGTTGAACTCTTAAAAAGAAATCACTTCTTTAATTTTTCTACTTTTTAAAATGGGAACGCAGAATAATAATGAAATTTGTTCTAAACCAAAAACCTACCTGGTTTACCAGTTATTGCAGAATCTTGCCGTTGAGATTAGCAAGCAGTCTGTCGTAATGGCTTATTCTGTGCAAACTCTTTCCTCAAGATTGTTGAAAGATGGCTTTTAATTTTAACTGTTGTTGTTTTGCAGACAAAGCTCTGATGGCACCAAATCTTGACTCCTTTGGACGCGATCGGGCACTGTATCAAGAGCATGCAAAACGTCGCATTGCAGAGCGGGAGGCCAGGAGGTAATTCTCAAAACCCTTGCTCTGGCTTGTTTGGGAAGGGAGGAGTCTCTGTTATCTAGTTTGGGAACTTGATGTTTATTATTTAGGACTCGTCGTAGACAAGCCAGAGAACAAACCGGTAAGATGGCAGATCACCTTGAAGGCCTTTCCAGTGATGATGAAGAAACTTCTACAGATATTACTAATTTCAATCTGGAAAAAGGTTAGACATTTATTTGGAAATAAGACTCATCATCAGTTTAGTTTCTACTTGGGTATGGTTTTTACCATGAAATGATTTGAATCTTCATGGTCTCTGCATTAGAACCAGACACTTCTTTTTTAATTGCAGAAATTTGCATGCCTTTTTATTAGTGAATATCATGATGAATTCTCAAAAATAGGGGTAACATCTTCTCATAGGGTGTACTTAGTATTTGCATAATAAATGTTGTTACTGTTCCAAATGGTAGAATTTTAAGTGACTGGAAATGTGTCAGGTCCTTGAGGGCAGCTCTCATTGCAGCCTGTCTGGTCTGGAAAGGTAAAGCTTGGCAGTAGAGCACTCAGCCCTGAAGGAAACTCTTGATTTGGGGAGTCATAAGTAATCTCACCTTAGAGGAATGGTTAGTACTATTATGTGCCAGGCATTTTCAGAAGGATCCCAAATAAAAGTCTTCATTTCCCACCATTGGCTATAATTGTTTGGAATTATATCAATTGCACACCATTTGGAACTTAGTTGGAGAAGCTTCTTTCTCTTACTTTTTTTACAGTGAACATTTCTAAACAAAATTTGAAAGACTAGCACAGTGATCATCCACATACCTATCACTCAGATAACAATGCTTATGATTTCACCAAGTTTGCCTGGCTCTTTATACAAGGAGATGTGTGTGTTTGCTGAACCATTTGAAAGTAACTTACAGACCTCATGGCTCTTCACTCCCCAAAATTTCAGAGTGTGTTTCCTCTAAATGAGTATATTTTTCTGTATAATCACAGTATTATTATCTTTTTTCTTTTTGTTAGATGCCTATTCTGATTAAGTATTTCTTTTTTTAGCACAATAAGAAAACAGATTTCTTAATATCATGTCCATATATAATTTTTCTCAATGGCATCCTGGAAAAACCCTTTTTAGGAACTATTTTTATGGGTTATTTTGTGGTTTTTGAAACCAGGATCCACCTAAGGTTCATGCTCTGCATTTGGTTATGACATTTTTAAATCTGGAATAAATGAGTAACCCTAAGTACACATTCACACACCCACCCCTATTGTTCTTTAAATTTTTGAAGAGACCAGGCCACTTCTCTTATAGACTGTCCTATATTCTAGACTGGTCTGTATGTTTCCTCATAGCATTGTTTAACTTGTTCTTTGATCCATTTCTTGTAAACTGGAATTTAGGTCTGAAGGCTTAATTAGATTTAAGTTAAACTTTTTTTTTTTCTTCCCCAAGAATAATTTATACAGGATGCTGTTTCATACTGCTTAAAAGCACATGACAAATGTTAGACTGTCCCCACTATTAGCAATGTTAAGATTGATCTTGCAGTAAAGGTTCTCAGAACTTTATCTCTCCATTGTAAATATTTCCTTTTCCCAAGTAATCTGGGACATCATAAGAGTATCTTATTCTTGGTTGGGCACAGTGGCTCACACCTGTAATCCCAGCACTTTGGGAGGCCGAGGCAGCGGACCACTTGAAGTCAGGAATTCGAGACCAGCCTGGCTCACATGATGAAACTCCATCTCTACTAAAAATACAAAAATTAGTTGGGCATGGTGGCGCATACCTGTAATCCCAGCTACTCAGGAGGCTGAGGCAGGAGAATCACTTGAACCTGGGAGGCAGAGATTGCAGTGAGCTGAGATCGCACCACTTCACTCCAGCCTGGGTGACAGAGTGAGAATCTGTCTCAAAAAAAAAAAAAAAATCTTATTCGCAAATAACTTTTCACTTAAAGTTCCTAGCATCCATTCAGCTGATAGTTGGCTATGTCAGTTATTATAATCACCAACAGAGTTTGAATGAAGCAATGTGATTAGTGACTGATTATGATGCACAGCTGTTAATCTGTGCAGTGATCTGTGAACTAAAAAGCTAGCGGCACAATTACTTATGGCTAATACACCGTAGTAACTGAAATTTGAACCATCTTGTTTGGGAACAGGTTTTATTTAGCCAAACTGTGGTAGAAAAATTGTATATACTGGAACTGCAAAACAAGGACTGGCTGCACTTTAGTTTACATAATAGACAAATTGAAACTTCAATTTATTTTTTTCTTCTAAATTGTGACTAACAATTGGCCCTTTGTTAATGAGCGTATCTTCTGATACTGAAGCTACAAAGAAAACACTGAAAATATTGGACTGTTTTTTTCCTACTTCATACTAATGTATGGTTCTCTGTGGGGTTTTGTTGTTTTTAGATCGAATTTCAAAAGAATCCGGCAAAGTTTTTGAAGATGTCCTTGAAAGTTTCTATTCAATTGACTGTATTAAATCACAGTTTGAAGCATGGCGTTCAAAATACTACACATCCTACAAAGATGCTTACATTGGCCTTTGTTTGCCAAAATTATTCAACCCCCTCATACGACTTCAGCTCCTCACTTGGACTCCTCTTGAGGTGAGTGGCTTCTGTCACTATTAGAAAGTGTTATAATTTGATATCTGGGTAATTTTAATCTCAAAGCTAGAGATGTAAGCTTAAGCAAAATATTTTGCAGGGGTGATAGGGCATAGGCTATAATTGATAGATTGTATCTGGTTATAATCTTATGATCTTTCCTTTTAAGTTTCATGTCTTCCCAGCAGAGCTATGTGTTTTTTTTGTTGTTGTTGTTGTTTTTTCAGTTTACATATAATCCTTTTTTCAGCCAGCTGAAATTATATGCAGTAACACTGGGATATGAACATGAATAGTAAGAACTTGGTCCTTTGATCCTAGAGGAACTCAGAACCAGATGGGAAAGCACAATGAGGCAGGTGTGAAATGAGGACATGACCCAAGTCAGTTGTCATGGTGAGAAAAATTGATAGGCCAGGCATGGTGGCTCATGCTTGTAATCCCAACAGTTTGGGAGGCCAAGGCGGGAGGATTGTTTGAGCTCAGGAGTTCAAGACCAGCCTGGGCAACATAGCAAGACCTTGTCTCTACTTAAAAAAAAAAAAAAAAAATTAGCTGTGGTGGCATGTGCTCATATTCCTAGCTACTTCGGGGGCTGAGGCAGGATTGCTTGAGCCCGGGAGATCAAGGCTGTAATGAGCTATGATTGTGCCACTGCACTGCAGCCTGGGTGATAGAACAAGACCTGCCACAAGAAAAAAAAAAAAAGATAAGGAGGTGGAATCAAGAGGACCTATTGGCCTGTCATATAAGGGAGGGGGCTAGAATTGACTCTGGAGGTCTAGTGGTGATGTTTACAATGTGGTTTTAGAAGTTACCAACGTGGGTGAAGCTGTAGACATGGTTGAGATTGGCTAGGTTGAATTTGTGAACTATAAGGAAAAGGGAGCTGAGGTTGATGCCATGGAAACACAACTGAAAAAAATGTGAGCTCTGAGAAGCATTCAGCTCACAGCTCCTATTTCCTGTGTGCTCTTGGCCAGACCTTCTGAAGTTTTGCTGTGTGCATGAGTGTCTTGGTAGATAGCAAAGGCCCAAGACTGTATTTTGGAGTTATTTTTCTGTGTCCCCCACTCCTCTGCCCCACAGTTTCCAGCTGTGTCAGCCTTCCTGAGCTCCACCCTCTGTCTCCTCCACTCAGCAAAACTGCTCTGCTGTCCTGAACTAGCATCTCACCTCATTTGATTCCTTTCTTTAAAGGGTCATAGTCTTGTGCTGCCTATGGTCCATTGTATTTTGTCCAGTTCTTTTTTATTTTCTTTGGCTTTTAAGTTCCAGGGTACATGTGCAGATTTGTTACATAGGTAAACATGTGACATGGTGGTTTACAGCACAGATCAACCCATCACCTTGGTAGGAAGCCTAGCATCCAGTAGCTGTTGTTGCTCTCCCTCCCCCAAGTCCCCACCCCCACCCCCCAACAGGCCTCAGTGTGTGTTTTTCCCCAGTATGTGTCCATATATTCTCATTGTTCAGCTCCCACTTGCGAGAACATGTGGTGCTTGGGTTTCTGTTCCTGCGTTAGTTTGCTGAGGATAATGGCTTCTAGCTCCATCCATGTCCCTGCAAAGGACATGACCTCGTTCCTTTTTATGGCTGCATAGTATTCCATGGTGTATATGTATAACATTTTCTTTATCCAGTCTATAATTGATGGGCATTTGGGTTGATTCCATGTCTTTGCTATTGTGAATAGTGCTGCAGTGAACATACATATGCATGTAGCTTTATAATAGAATGATTTATATTTCTGTAGGTATATACCCAGTAATGGGATTGCTGGGTCAAATGGCATTTCTGCTTCTAGATCTGTGAGGAATTGGCACACTGTCTTCCTTACACTCCCACCAATAGTGTAAAAGTGTTCCTTTTTCTCTGAAACCTTACCAGCATCTTTTGTTTCTGGACTTTTAAATAATTCCCATTCTGATTGGCATGGGATGGTATCTCATTGTGGTTTAGATTTGCATTTCTCCAATCATCGGTGATGTTGAGCTTTTTTTCATGTTTGTTGGCTACATGAATGTCTTCTTTTGAGAAGTATCTGTTCATGTCCTTTGCCCACTTTTAATGGGGTTGTTTTTTTCCTATAAAGTTTCCTGTAGACTCTGGATATTAGACCTTTGTCAGATGGATAGATTGCAAGAATTTTCTCCCATTCTGTAGGTTGTCTGTTCACTCTGATAATAGTTTCTTTTGCTGCGTAGAAGCTCTTTAGTTGAATTAGATACCATTTGTCAATTTTTGCTTTTGTTGCAGTTGCTTTTGGTGTTTTTGTCGTGAAATCTTTGCCCATGCCGATGTCTTGAATGGTATTGCCTAGATTTTCTTCTAGGATTTTTATAGTTTTGGGGTTTACATTTAAGTCTTTAATCCATCTTGACTTAACTTTTGTATATGGTGTAAGGAAGGAGCCCAGTTTCAATTTTCTGTATATGGCTAGCCAATTCTCCCAACACCATTTATTAAACAGGGAATCTTTTCCCCATTGCTTGTTCGTGTCAGGTTTGTCGGAGATCAGATGGTTGTAGGTGTGCGGTCTTATTGCTGAGTTCTCTATTCTGTTCCATTGGTCTATGTGTCTGTTTTTGTATCAGTACCATGCTGTTTTGGTTACTGTGGCCTTATAGTTTGAAGTCTGGTAGCATGATATCTCCAGCCGTCCAGTTTTTAGTTGTTTGCAACCAAAGGTTAAATCCAGTTCTTGTTTCTCTTATCATAGCTGGAAGCAGAAATAGCCACTATTTTAGTATTTGGGTAACCTTTTAAATGTCTTTTAGGCAAAATGTCGTGACTTTGAGAATATGCTGTGGTTTGAATCTTTGCTGTTTTATGGTTGTGAAGAACGAGAGCAAGAAAAAGATGATGTAGATGTTGCCCTACTACCTACCATTGTGGAAAAGGTGATTCTTCCTAAACTAACAGGTAAATCTCCTGTTCTCTGAATTGAGCATTCAGACACACTGGCTTTCTCAAATCTATTTTTATGAGTTTATAATTCAGAGCATGTTTCCTTATAGAAATTACATGAGAAATAATAGTTACCACCTGGCCCAGAGATGGCTAGAGGGCAGAGGGGTTCTTATCCTGGGACTTGAAGACCACTTTAGGGTGGGCCTGTAGTTGAGTGCAGTAATTGCTTCATAGGTGAGGTTTAGAAATTCAAAGACTGACTGAAGCAAAATTATACAGAGTTTGAGGGAGGAGGATATGCATTTATGTGGGGAGCAATTAAAATGCTTTCATAAGTTCCTCAAAAAAGATTAGGAATCATTGATACAGGAATCTATTTTAAATACTAGAAATGTTAGTTTGAAATTCTTGATGCCAAGACAACATTTCTACAGAAATCCTCTTTTTTCCTAATCTTTATTTTCCCTGAGTACCAGAAATAAGAATAATCTATCCTCTCTCCACATCCCTATCCCTCCAAATTCCCACAGTTAATAGGACAAAGAAGACTAAAGCTTATATTGTAGAAAAAGAGGAAAAATAAATTAGGATTGGCATTAATAGAGGTCTGCTTGACAAAAAATTAAAGGTACAATTGGCTTCTGTGTCTCAATCCTCTTTTTTTCTTAATAGTGATAGCTGAAAATATGTGGGACCCTTTTTCTACAACACAGACTTCAAGAATGGTGGGAATTACACTAAAATTAATCAATGGATATCCTTCAGTAGTGAATGCAGAAAATAAAAATACACAGGTAATTTAGTATCTTTTGAAGCCTTTTTTTTTTTTCCTCTTTCTGTTGAATATGAGCAAGCATTGAGAGAATGAGTGGTTATCCTAAACCAATCAGAAATCTGGTTCTCCCACTTGGGCCATCAGGGCCATTAAAGCCTGAAATACACAAAATTTGAGATGTTAGGTTTTTTTTTTCTTTTTTTTATACCTAGTCCCGCAGAGAGATGTTAGTTTTCAGTTTAAAAAAATCAATATGGAAGGAAGATGTCATCATTTTAAATAGCCTTTCATTATGATTTCTCACCACCACACCTCAGTCCCAATCCAACTAATCAAATGTCCTTTTAAAGACTGTATTTTCTGGGGGGAAATGAGAAACCAAAATGTTAACAATTGATAATTTAAGCTTGTCCAACCCGTGGCCCATGGACATGTGGCCCAGGACGGCTTTGAATGCGGCCCAACACAAATTTGTAAACTGTCTTAATACATGAAATTTATGCACAGACCCCGCCCCCCTCCTTTTTTTTTTTCTTTTTTTTTTTTTTTTAGCTCATCAGCTGTCATTAGTGTCATTGTATTTTATGTGTGGCCCAAGACAGTTCTTCCAGTATGGCCCAGGGAAGCCAAAAGATTGGGCACCCAAACCATTTAAACAGCATATAAAACAACTAGATACTGTTTTATAACTAGTTGCCAAACTTAAAGTTAATGCTCTTCAGGGGCCATTCATAGAAGCTGTTTAAATGTAGAGAAGGTGGGTGCTCTTTGTCATTGTTGAATTTTCACTTTGAGAGCTAGATTATGTGTCTGGTCTTAAATCTTTATGTAGACTAAGGAATTGAAAGATTTCTAAAGCTTTATTGCTTGGCAGTTGTTGAGGAATGAACTAATAGATTATTAAGTATTAATTACTTTAGGGTCTTCAATGAGGAAAATTAAAAATTTGAGAAACTAGTTCACTCAGTTCAATATTCAGTTACATGATTTGGAATATGGCTTATTTTTCTTGTCATAGTCCTTATTAAAATGTGTGATCTACTTTTAACTTTTTAGGTATACCTAAAGGCACTTTTATTGAGAATGAGAAGAACTTTAGATGATGATGTATTTATGCCCTTATATCCCAAAAAGTAAGTAACTCTGAAGAACATTAAAGATAATATTCTCCATTGTGTTTCAGAGAAGGCTTATAAAATTCTGAAAAACTAGCTTGAAATACAAACTTCACCCATGTAGTGTATTACAGAGAGACTAGATTAGTGGCGAGATTGTTCCCTTAAGCAGAATAAAACAATACTCTTACGTTCTCCCTGAGTGTCTCAGAATAAATTTCCATTGCCTTTTTAACATACTATCTTCCAGAATGCAATTATTTGAAAAATTAAAAATTTATTTTGTTTACCTGTTTTGTAGAAAAATCTTTTGTCCAGGAATCATATGGCACCTACATATAAAATATCTGATCATGATATGTTTCTCTTTTTTTTACTTAGTGTCTTAGAAAATAAAAATTCTGGGCCTTACTTGTTTTTTCAACGACAGTTTTGGTCTTCAGTTAAGGTACGTGTCCATAGACTATCTAAAAGACTCAGATTTCGTTTGACTTCATATATTACATTTTTTAGAGTGTTTTGTTTTTTATTAACTCCATAGGCTTAGATCTATTTATATCTATACCCAAAATCTCCATTTTACAAAGTATTTTATTCCAAAAGTTCATTCAAGTTTGATATTTTCACAGGAGAAAGTGATTTCTGAGTTCCAAAGTAAGGTCCATCGTACTCAACGAAATGCCTGACTAAGCCACAATTAATTTTTTCAGCAAGTAGACTACAGTAGTCCTCCCTGTATCCATGGGGTATATGTTCTAAGATGCCCAGTGGCTACCTGAAACCACAGATAGTACCGAACCCTATATATACTGTTTTTTCCTCTACATACATACCTATGATAAAGTTTAACTTATAAATTAGGCACAGTAAGAGATTAACAATAACTAATAATAGAACAGTTATTAATAATATACTGTGGTAAAGGTTATATGAATGTAGTTTCTCTCTCAAAATATGTTATTGTACTGTGCCACAGCTGACTGAAACCACAGATAAGGAGTACTGCTGTAGCAGATACTCTTCTGAGGTTCGGGGATATAGCACTGAGTAAGCTAGAAGTGGAATCTTTGTGGAGTTCACAGTCCAGCACAGTTGACAACAAATAGGTAATCTCAGGTGTGATGAGTTATGAAAGGGGACATTCAAGGTAATGTGGAACATATGACAAGGGGCACAGAGACCTTGACTAGCTAGTCCCAGAAGATTTCCTTCCACCCTGAGGAAGTGATATTTAGATCATTCGACCTGGAGAAAAAATAGAAGTTAGCCCTGAGGTGAAAGAGAGCAGGCTACACTGGAGGCGCTGAAGAAAGCATAGGACAGCTGGAGTGAGCAAGTAAGTCCATAGTCCAGATGATAGAGGATCTTGTAGGTCATTTGAAATACTTTGGTCCTTATCCCAAAAGTTGTAGGAAGTCACAGGAAGATTTTTTCCTTAAAAAAAAAATAAAAGGTATAATTTACATACGGTAAAATTCACTCTTTTTAGTGTATAGTTCTGTAAATTCTGATGAGCAGATACAGCCATGTTATCACTACCAAAATCAAGATATGTACAACTTTTATTGTCCTGAGAAATTCCCCATTCTCTTTTGTAGTCAAGGTCACCACAAGCCCCTGGCCACCTCCCAGTCTATGTCCTATGAAGAGAAGGGAATTACATGATAGGCAAAGTCTTTTGAGTCTGGCTGCTTCCACTGAATAAATTTGAGGTTCAGCCTTGCTGTGTAGGTGCACCAGAGTTAGGTTTTGGTTTTCATTTAGTCCCTAATTAAGGGACATTTGGATTGTTTCTCTTGGGACTCAGAAAACAATACCATAAAATGAAGGCCTCAGAAACAGCCTTAGAAGAACTTTTTCTTTGACCTTCTCCTGCCCACCTTTCAGTCCTGTTCTCCCTTGAGGGTTGCCATAGAAACTAGAATCCCTGTTGCCCCAGGCGGGTCATAGACACCAGAACCCCTTTTCCGCAAAGCCAACCATAAAACCTAAATATATTACTCTTAATTTTGCCTCTGCCTTTCTGTGTAAAAACTGGCCATAAAACATCTGACCTACCTTGTTTGATTATAGGTCATAAAACCCCCATTCCAGAGAGGGTCCTGCCCCATACCCAGAAGGAAAGAATGCTGCTCAGAGAGGCCAAGAAGAATCTGGACGGACAGGCCTTGTGTTGTCTTCTCTTGAGCAGTAGATCATACCTTTTTGTCCAGTCATGTTTCTGCATGCCTGTACATATTTCGTTAAACCTAAACATAGTAGACAATTTCTCCTCCATCTTTGGGTCTTCATTCTGAAGGCTGTCATGTTACATAAAACTGTGATCAAATAAATTTATATGCCTTTTCTCCTGTTAATTTGCCTCTTGTCAGTAATTTTCAGCGAAACTTCATAGGGCAAAGGGGAAGCCTTCCCTTGGCCCCGACATTTCCAATTTGGTTATGAACAGACCTTCTATAAGGGTGTAAGAGCTTCTATAAGGGTGTTCTGAATATGTAAGTTTCATTTCATTTGGGTGAAACAGCCGGGCAAAGCTGTCTTCTGAAGTGGCTGTATAATTTTGCGTTCTTACCAGTAACCTATTACTGTCCTGGTTATTCCTTACTCCCACCATACTTGCTGTTGTCAGTGTTTTGCTTTTTAAGTCATTCTACAGGGTGCAATGTGGTATCTCATTGTGGTTTTCATTTGCATTTCCCTAATGACAGTGTTGAGGACGTTTTCATGTGCTTATTTGGAATTTGTTTATGTATTTTGGTGAAATGTCTTCAAATCTTTTGCTTAGGTTTTAAATTGGGCTTTATTCTTACTAAGCATTGAATTCTATATTCTGGAGAGAAGTCGTTTATCATATAAATGATTTGCAGATTTTTTTTTTTCAGTTTGTGGCTTATCTTTCCATTCTAATAGTCTTCCATATGCAGAAGTTCTTAATTTTGATGAAGTCCAGTTGATCTTTTTTTCCTGTTATGGATTGTGCTTTAGATGTCATATCTAAGAAATCTTTGCCTAATATGAAGCCACAAAGGTTTTCTCCTATCCTTTCTTCTAGAAGTTTCATAGTTTTAGGTTTTACATTTAGGTCTGTGACTCTTTTCAGGTTAATTTTTATTATAGGGTGTGAGGCCTGGATTAAGGTTTACTTGTTCCAGCACTATTTGTTGAAAAGGCGATAGCCTTTTCTGTGAACACCAAAAATTCCTTTGTCCTATGAACACCAAAAATTTGAGACAGGTCTCAGTTAATTTAGAAAGTTTATTTTGCCAAGATTGAGGACACACCTGTGACACAGCCTTAGGAAGTTCTGATGACATGTGCCCAAGGTGGTCGGGGCACAGCTTGGTTTTATACATTTTAGGGAGACACGAGACATCAATCAATATGTAAGAAATACATTAGTTCCATCCAGAAAGGTGGAGACAGCTCAAAGCAAGGCCCCCCCATTGGGGACTTCCAGGTCACATGTAGGTGAGAGAGGGATGGTTGCATTCTTTGGAGTTTCTGATAAGTTTTTCCAGAAGAGGCAATCAGAATATGCATCTATCTCTGTGAGCTGAGAGATGACTTTGAATAGAATGGGAGGCAGATTTGCCCTCAGCGGGGTCCCCAGCTTGAAGAGGCCCAAGATATTTCCCTTTCACAGTCCATTGAATTGCTTTTGTGCCTTTGTTGAAAACCAGTTAACTATATGTGTCATGGAAGGGTTTAAGGTAAGTAAACAAATTGCCTTTTTTTTTTTTTTTTTTTTTTTTTTTTTAAAGAGACGAGGTCTTGTGTTGCCTAGGCTGGTCTCAAACTCCTGAGCTCAAGTGGTCCTCCTTCCTTGGCCTCCCAAAGTACTGGGATTACAGGTATAAGCCACTGTGCCCAGCCATAAATTGCCTGGCTCAGCCTTCCGAGTAGCTGGGACTACAGGCGCCCACCACCACGCCCGGCTACTTTTTTGTATTTTTAGTAGAGACGGGGTTTCATCATGTTAGCCAGGATGGTCTCGATCTCCTGACCTCGTGATCTGCCCGCCTCAGCCTCCCAAAGTGCTGGGATTACAGGTGTGAGCCACCGCGCCCGGCCGTAACCACAGGTCTATAAATTACCATTTTTAAGATTACTCTGTCTGCTATGTGGAGATAATAGATTGAAGTAGGTATGGATAGTGATAGTGAAAATGGGAACTGGTATTTATTGTGTATTTTATGGGAACTAGTACTTACTGTGTGTTTACTATGTACCAAGCACTGTCCCGCACCTTTTACATAGATTATCTTGTTGAATCCTCAGAATGGCTCAATGAGGTACACGCTGTTTTTTCACTTTACTGATGGGGTAGTGAGGCACACAATAACCTGCACAAGGTCATTCCATTGGTAATTAGAGATGGGAATCAAACTCAGCCAGTCTGACTCTTGAGCTGCTCTTCTCAACTGGGCTTCTGTGGGAGACTTAATACCTAATGCCCTAAGGCCTCCATTGTCTATAATGAATTCTTCTTTTTCCCCTGCATCTGTAACAGTACTAGCTATGTATCATTCTTGGGAGAACTGAGTAAAGAGCCACACAAATCATTTTCTGTAGGTTTAGAACTCTTGCAGAGCCCTGCTTCAGAAAGGCTACTCAGTGCTCTTGCTCATAATCACTGGAGTAACTGCAGGGTTCTGAAGAGATTAAGGTGGGTCAGATTCGGAGGATGGCAGCAGGAACTGAGGGAAATGGACAGACTGGATGGTCGTGGAGACACACAACTTGAGAGAGAGGTCAGGAATGACCTCCAGACCTCTGCCGCAAGCAGCTGGTTGAATAGTGTTACCATTTACTAAGTTGAGAAACAACTGGGAAACTATAAGTTTTTATGGTGGGATGGGATGGGGCTTTCATTTTATGATGATAGCTTTCATTTTCTATATATTGATTGAGCTTGGGTAGCTTGAGATGCATAAGTGATATAACTTGGTTGTAGTTCATGATACATGGTAGCCATGCAGGGTTGTAGTCAGACTCTCCCATCTTTTGTGGGCAGCGCGGGGCGGGGTGGGGGTGTGCATAGAACCAGCTAGAGTGTAATTTTGAATGGAGGACACTTACCTAAGACTCAGCACTCCCTGATAGTACTGTCTGCAATGATGGAAAATGTTCTGTATCTGTGCTGACCAGTGCTGTAGCCACTAGCTACATGTGGCTGTTTCGATTTTGACTAATTAAAATTGAATATTCAAATGTAACCATTCTAGGAAATATCTGTACCTTTGAAAGTATTAATATTTCTTAGTACTTTGGCAAGACATGGTCTGCTGTATTTCATATGGTGTTTTACTATGTAACTTATTTACTTTGTACCTAATCTAATTGTTTCACATTACCTATTTTTTTTCTTCTTTCCAGCTGTTAGGCAATTTTCTTCAGTGGTATGGCATTTTCTCAAATAAAACTCTGCAAGAGTTATCAATAGATGGTTTATTAAATCGATATATTCTCATGGCTTTTCAGAATTCAGAATATGGAGATGACAGCATCAAAAAAGCCCAAAATGTGAGTTAAATGCATAGTACAGTTTTTAAAGCATATAATTTAAAATGAATTAAGTTTTTGTTTGTTTGAAGAGGGATTTGAGAATTTTATGAAACCCCTTTGATTACTGGACTTGCATGTAAGGTTGACAGTTTGCCTACCCAGGTAGTTCCAACCCCCTACAGCATTTTTTACATAAAAATGCATACTGTTATATATATATATATCCATCTATATCCATATTTTTATAGATATTAGTGAAAGTTTTGATATTTTTATAGGTATAAATAAAAGTTTTGATTTCAGAATAATAACCTTATTATCTTAACCTCAGTCTGGGCCAACTCGACTTCCCTTAGCAGCATGCATGGATGTCTATTCGTGGAATTATTGCAGGGGATGGGGGTGCTGTAATTTCATTTTTATACCACTCATTTTTACATCAAAAGCTGCTGGAAAAGGAAATTCAGTATATTTAGGCCATCCTAGAAGACTGGAAAATGAAGCAGTTGGTTGTCAGTTTTATGTTACTAATTTACTCAAATATTGGACAGATTATCTTTTGCTTTGAGTGCCTAACCCATTGGTTGGGGTAAAAATTTAGGTATATTGGTTTAGTTAATGTAGGAAGTCAGATTTAAAAGAATATTTCTTCAGAGTAATTGCTGTAGCTCAGAAGCACGTCTTCTGGTGAAATACATTTATACCCATTAACTAGACTTTGCTTTTAATACTTTAATTTATTCTGTCTTAACTATTTTATTTTACGTCTTTCTTCTCCACAGGTAATCAATTGTTTCCCCAAACAATGGTTCATGAATCTGAAAGGAGAAAGGACTATTTCTCAGTTAGAAAACTTTTGCCGATACCTTGTACACTTAGCGGATACAATTTATAGAAATAGTATCGGGTGTTCTGATGTGGAAAAAAGAAATGCAAGGTAATTTTGTAATTAATGAAATGGTAATCTAGAGTTGTTTAGTTGCCAGATTTAGTATTAAAATGTTTTAAGTAGAGATGTTTATATTTTAGTTTAAATTGTATGTTCACTTAGTATTATAAACCTACCAAAAATGCACATAATTTTTCATTTTAGCAGTTTTTACTTTTTTTCAGTATGTTATTTATGAAGATACTAAGGAAAGACTTCTGGTAAGGACCAACCCTCAGGGGAGTGAGTAAACGGTTGTTTTCTCTGTCTCCCTCTTTGAAGAATTAGAGAGGTCTCAGACTCTCTTGTTTGGAGTTTCATTATGCAGATTTAAATTCAAGTTTATCTCCCAATTTGGGGAGATTTTTTGTTTTAATCAATATTATGAACTAGAGGTTATCACTCATGGCTTTTTGGGGCAACTTATTTCTAATTTTTATCAAGGGTTGTAAGAAAAGAGTGAGTGAACCATTAGCCTTTCTGTGGACATTAATTTATGGGTGTTCAGGTAATTCTGGGATAAATCTCTAGCATAAAAAGTAAATAATAACACTAAGTAGGGCAGTTTGAAGGAATTGTCTTTTTAAAATTTTAATTTCATATATCTTCATAATGTCAAAGTCTAATTTTTGTTTAGATCACACCATTAGTCATACCCCTATAACAAAACCTTCTTCTGATCCCTCATTCCCCTTTCTTGAAAAAGGACCTATTTTCCTGCAAGAAAATTGGATATTTTTTCCACAATAAAATTAAAGTAGCTATTAAAGATTTTAGGCCAGGCATGGTGGCTCATGCCTGTAATCCCAGTACTTTGGGAGGCTGAGGCAGGTGGATCATGAGGTCAGGAGATGGAGACCATCCTGGCCAACATGGTGAAACCCTGTTTCTACTAAAAATACAAAAATTAGCTGGGTGTGGTGGTGCGTGCCTATAGTCCCACCTACTCGGGAGGCTGAGGCAGGGGAATTGCTTGAACCTGGGAGGCAGAGGTTGCAGTGAGCTGAGATTGCGCCACTGCATTCCAGCCTGGTGAAAGACCAACACTCCGTCTCAAAAAACAACAACAAAAAAGATTTTAATGGTAAAATTCTTTGGCAGGTTTTGGCTGATTTGATTTTGTTCTTAGTGTGTGCCATTTTGTTATTTGTTGGCACTAATATTTTTTTCTCTGTGTTTTCTACTAGATAAATTTTATCACATTTTAAACTTTGATTTACATATATTTAACAGTGTTTCTGTTTGGAAGTTAAATATCAACAAATAGTGTTTACTTTTCTACAGAAAAGAACTTTAACAGCTATGTAAGCACCTGCTTTGTGCAGTGCACATAAAGCAGGTTTCATGTGGGTTGGAAAGTTTTGCAAATTCTAATTCTTCCCTAATAGGTGCTTACTACAATTCTGTAGAAGAGATGAGACAATTACTAATGTCATATTATGTCTTGTTTCTCGTGAGTGGTTTAAGCTAAATGTTAAAACAGTCATTCTTAAAGTGTGGTCCCTGGACCAGCAGTATCAGCATGGCATGGGAGTCTGATAGACTTGCAAGTTCTCGGGGCCCCACTCTGGGCCTCTTGAATAGAACTCTTGGGGTGGGGCCAGGGATGATCTGCATTTCAACAATCCTCTAGGTAATTCTAATGTGTGCTAAAATTTGAGGATTACTTCCTAGTAAGAAAGCAGAATGACTTCTAGCTGGAGTGATAAGGAAAGTCAGATTATACTTTATTTAGTGAATTTTGGTGGAGTGGAAATTATGCTGGATCTTGACAGATTGGTGATGAAGAGACACAAATAACGATTTGTGTTCCAGGTATACGCTAAAACAGCCAGGACTCTGGTTTGGGAAGGAATGGGAGACAGGCCTCTGAAGTAGTTTGAAAACAGATTGCTTTCTTTTCTTTCTCAATATTAATGAAACTCATTGATCTCAATGAATTTTGTTTTGCTTTTTTAAAATGGGTCCCCTGTCTCTGGGCTAGTCATTTAAACATATGTAAGTTTTGTTCTATATGGATAAATGTAAACTTTTTTTTTTTTAACATGCTGTAGCTTGCATATCTGTTTCCTTTCTTTGAAAATGTGTGCTTGGAAAAATTGATTGCAGAAGCTCTAAAATAGCCATGAAATCAGTAGCAAATTTTCTCTTAGATATACTAATTAATGAGATGCTGCTATATTTTTTTCTTTTAGGGAAAACATAAAACAGATAGTAAAACTCCTTGCAAGTGTTCGAGCTTTGGATCATGCTATGTCTGTTGCAAGTGACCACAATGTGAAAGAATTTAAGTCTTTGATCGAAGGAAAATAGATCTATGAGACTGAAAAACCTATTTGCTTGATTACCATTCCCAATGTGTAAATTTTGTATATATGTAAAGTTTCTTAAACTGTAAAATAGCAATTCTTGTTTTAATACAAAAAACATTATATTCAATACTGTGTCCTTAAATGATATTTCTTCAGAATGAAAGGAATTCAGATTATTTCTAGGAGTCTATGAATGTTTTCTTTACTGCCTGTCATACTTTGTTTACTGAAGTATTTTGTATGGTCATTTAAATTAACCCTCTCAGTTAATTGTCCCCTGTAAACGATGTGTGCAGTGTAAATTGTGTAATTATGCATATATATATTTATACCACCATGGACTTACTTTCACACTGGAAATTTGTGGTGTTTTTCCACAGAGGAAGCCTTTTAACAGCAGAAAATTATCCGGTAGCAAATTGTCTTAGGGAAATTACTACACTGTTGTAACAAAAGGGCTGGCAAGTGACTAAATGTTCATTACCTTTTGGTTAGCGTTGCTATCACTGTAGCTGTGCTGCCTTAACATTGAGAGTTGAGTTGTGGACTTAGTCATTGAGTGAATGTTGAACTTTCTTCCTTGAATCAGCGTTAGAGTCAAATGTGGGTTTAATGTGAATGCTAAATGAATATGCAACATAGTTTCAAATGGAACATAGAAATTTCACTTTTGAAAATAATAAACCCACAACCTAATTGCATGGTTTTGGGCTGACCGTCCTGTCTCATTCATGATTTTACTCCCTGCCCAGCTTGCAGATACATGCATTTGAATTTTAGTAGTCTGTCATATTTAAAATCCCACATATGTGAGTTAAATATGCAATAAAGAATACGCCTTGCTGATTAGCCACACCCAGGCAATTTAATATCCATGGTCTTCTATAATGTTTATACCACATTGTAAATATTCAGAGAACTTGTTTTAAAGTTTATGCTTTCTGATTCTGTGATTTTCAAAAGAGGAATTTTTTTGGAAATTAAGGACTATCGTTTGATAATTATATATGTAATTAAGATTTAGCCAAGCATTAAATTAATTTTTAAATATATCCTTTGTTGTATTTTCCTGACGACTAAATTTGCAGCATTTCAAATGACTCTAATAAAGTGGGACTGTGAGCAGGCCCATGTGTACCCTTGATCAGGACATAATATGCAGAACAGTGTCATGCACTGTATTTGCTCTGTTAATTTTATCTTATCCCTACATATTTGTATTAGTTCATTCTCACGCTGTTATAGGGACATACTTGAGACTAGGTAATTTATAAAGAGGTTTAATTGACTCACAGTTCCGCATGGGTGGGAAGGCCTCAGGAAACTTACAATCTTGACGAAAGGCACGTCTTCACAGGGTGGCTGCAGAGAGAAATGAGTGCTGAGGGAAGGGGGAAGTCCCTTATGAAGCCATGAGATTTCATGAGAACTCAGGAGAACAGCATGGCGGAAACCACCCCCCATGATTCAGTTATCTCCACCTGGTCCCGCCCTTGATGTGGGGATTATTACAATTCAAGGTGAGATTTGGGTGGGGACACAGAACCAAACCAAATCAGTATTCATTCTGGATGAATTTTTCATTACACCTTACTGGCCTACTAAGTAGAATTAAAGTCAGAACACCTATTCCTCATCTTAAGTAGAATAAAACATAAAACATGTATCTGTATCACATACAGATCATTTAGGCCTTAAACTGCATATTATTTCCAAACCCATTAGACTAATTACTCTGCTTTTAAGAACTCTTAAAATAGAGTTTTTATCCTATGAAATCTGTCAGGCTATATTGGTTTCAGGAATGGGTTTGAACATCACACTAGGAATTTGATGTAGGGTACATAAAACAATGGTTTTTCTATCCCAAGCAGAACATTTTTATTCCTGAAATAGCTTAAGGACATTATTTCTTATGAAAGGAATTATCAAAAGATAAATCCAGAGGGTTACATTTTAATAAAGCTGGTTTTGCTTTTCAGTTTTTTCTTTTGGAGCAATCCTCTGAATTAACTCCAAAATAGGTGACAAATGTTTTTGAGAAGGAAAGCTACTTTATTGAAACAACATAAACCACAGTCAAGAGTGACTAGTACTACTGTAGCCAATGATGTCGAAGTCTCACCATGTCCCTGTTCTTGCCACTGGTGTCCTCTTGCAAGTATTTGCTCCTCTGCCTGAGGGCTTTTCTTTGGCCTGTGCAACAGGCTGGAGTGTCCTGGAGATACTTCCTGGAACAGATCTCAGCCAAGGGAGAAAAGGAATTGGAGGCTAAATGCCCCAGTGTGTCAGTTAGGGTCCTCCTGGGAGCAGACACTGAGATGGTATTAAATGTACAGGAAGTTTATTGGGGGAATGCGTATAAGAGAAAACGGAGGGGAGCCTGGAGGAGGCTGGGAAAGCTGTCAGACAATGAGGCAGGCAGGTCTCACCTGTGTGAAGGAAGGAGGATGAAAGTCTTAGACATTGGTGCAGTTCTAAAGTTTCAGCAGGGCCAACTGGCAGCTCTGACAGGTACAACCAGGGGTCTCCTTGCTAGTATGAGATCTGAGAGACAGAATTTCCTGATGACCAAACCCAATTTGCTGATCTCTCAGGAAAGCAGGTATGGTCCACATTGCCTATAAGAGGTCTTCAGTTGAGTAGAGCCATAGTTGCCTGCAGTGGTAACATTACCAGCACCCAGAATTGGCCAAAAAATTGAAAATGCTAATAATCATCCTTGAAATCATGAAACTCTTACAAAAGTAGTCAAATGTTACAGAGCTGCAATATAAAATAGGAAACTGTAAGTTGCTACATTGTAGTGGTTGTTAATGGTTACAAGAGCTCTTCTTATCTCTAACATGGTAATACCCATGTAATAAAGGGAGTCTTGCCATTCACTGATTATGACAAAACATTTGATCTGTTGTTTCAAGTAAATGAAAATGAGAAAAACACTAGCACTACATGTAGGAAGAAAAAAACATATCTGAATGGGAGGTGTACTTTCATAAACGTTTTGAAGACTGCCCTCCAGAAATGAAACTGTCCATGGATACTGGGTTCACAGCTGCTAAAAGCTGCCTCAGACTGCCCAAACACAGGCTGAATATTGTTATATGGGATTGGTATCGACATGCAATGTAGACTGGTCCCTGGCCTGCTTTGGGACTCTAGCCCCCAGTAATTTGTACTGCGTTCCTGTCAGTCCTAACTCCAGCAGCGGCTTAAAGGATACAATCATTCAGTACAATGAAAATCCCTAGCACATGACTTCTTAGGCTCTTGCTAAATATCTTTAGGAAAATGTATGAGAAAAGTTTTGACAAAACACTGCAGAAACCATTTTAAGCTACTTTGCAAAAACATTTTGATCATGAAAGCTTACCTTTTACTTGTAACCTTAGTGACATTGCTGTTGCTTTGGGACCGAGAGCCAACTTGAACAACTTGAATACAGCTCTAATCTTGAAGGTTGAGCCCTGTTTCTGGCTCCGGCACTTTGATTTCCACAAGAATCTTTGTGTTTCATTAAAATAAACCCCCTTCACTTGATCTCTCTTCAGTTGGTCTCTTGTTCCAAATGAAAATACTTCATTTTTATCTATCACAAGTTTCCTGTTTTCTCTAGTGGCAATTTCCTGTCTATGATACCTGCAAGTTATTTTTCAATCTGTTTTTTTTCCACAGTGATTCTGCTCTCAAGCTTACTAGTTTTTTATTCATAGGATTTCCATTTTTCTAATTTAAAATCTTATCCTTCACTGGTTACAATGAATTTCTTTAAAGAAAAAGCTAATGCTATTTGTAACCTACTGTTGCGTTGCCTTTCAAGACCACTGTTTTCTGTTCGAGCCATTTCTTTCTCAGTCATTGGTGGGGAACATGGCCAGGTACAACTAGGGTCTGCAGATCCTGCTATACTAGGACCAGGATCTGCAGAGCACTATACTAATAACTCTGCAGATCCTGATCCTGATATAAAAGTTAGCTTAGCCTGTGTAACCTGAAAAGAAGCTGTTAAAGGTTACTGAATCAGACTGTTAATATTTCCCTGATCTTCCATGTTGTCTAGCATTTTTGACAAAAAAACAAAAAACAAAAAACGAGCACTACTACTATATTGCCACTATGTGATTTTTTTTTAACCTATGAAAATAACAATTCCATGTTTCAACATAATGAATTGCATATTTCAACTAGAGTTGCCCATAGGAGAAATAACTTGCTCACAAATCAACATCTAGAATTTAGGGTGTTTGTCTTTAATTTGTTCTATTGGATGTGATATCTGAAACACCTACCTGGGGCTGTCTCTCTCCTGATGGAAAGTCACATCAGCCTTGTGTTAATTTCTTGTAGCTGGTGTTACAAATTACCATGAACTGGGTGGTTTAAAACAACAAAAATGTATTTTCTTGCAGTTCTGGAGGCCAGAACCAACAGGGCCATGCTCCTTCCAAAGGCTCTAGGCTCAAATCCTTCCTTGCCTCTTCCAACTTCTGATGGCTGCTGACATAGCTTGGCTATGGCCACATCGCTCCAATCTCTGCTGCTGTCTTCACATCACTTTTTTTTCTCTCTCTCTCTCTCCTGTGTGCGTGTTTAATTTTCCTCTGCCTCCCTGTTATAAGGACACTTATGATTGCATCTAGGGCTCTAGGGCCCACCTGGATAATTGAAAATAATCTCAAGACCCTTAATCAAATCTGTAAACCTAAATTAACATTCACAGACAAGGATCTCTTTTTGAAGTAGCGTTTTTTAGCCTCCCACAGGCTCTTCATTGCACAGTTTCAAGGGTTGAGTTGGTGTCAGCCTGTCTCTGTAGGCCCTTAGGATCTCACTAAGAAGTTTGTGTATGCCACTTAACCTATATTTTAAGTCACCCTATCCCAAAGACATTTCAAGGTCAGTGAAAATTTTTCCAACTATTGTCAAATGCTGTAACAAAAGTAGAAGTATAAATAGGAAAGAGGGACAAGAAAAAGAAGATAGAACCAATCAAGCCACTAGTCAAATTGCCTTTATGTTTTTCAAACTCTGGGCATGTGTCTTTTTCATGACTAAAATGAGATGTGGAAAAGCTGTGGCCTTCTAACAAATCTAGGAATAAGTCTTGCTACCCCCCAGTTTAATTTGAAGAAAGAAGCTGGAATTCCAACCCAGAACCCAGAAATTTTGACCTAAATCTCCTCAGTCCAAAATAAAAAGGAACCAGGAATATGCAGAACACTTGTTCGTAAAAGAGCTTAGTACCCATGCTTCCCACTATAAGAAAGGAAGCATTTCTAGTGTAGCCTTACAGACACACAGGCATGGTGGAAAGGATTTTGGGCTTTGGAGTAAGCAAGTTTGGTTTCAGTACCCAACTCCTCTTGAAACTGAATGATTTCAGTTGTCATAAAAGGTACCTCTCGGCCGGGCGCGATGGCTCACGCCTGTTATCCCAGCACTTTGGGAGGCCGAGGCGGGTGGATCACGAGGTCAGGAGATCGAGACCATCCTGGCTAACACGGTGAAACCCTGTCTCTACTAAAAATACAAAAATTAGCCGGGCGTGGTGGTGGGCACCTGTAATCCCAGCTACTCGGGAGGCTGAGGCAGGAGAACGGCGTGAACCCGGGAGGCGGAGCTTGCAGTGAGCCGAGATCGCGCCACTGCACTCTAGCCTGGGCGGACAGAGCGAGACTCCGTCTCAAAAAAAAAAAGGTACTTCTCAAGCAACACATTTGATATCAACAGTTTTTTCTGAGACAGTACTGACATAGAAATCCCCTCTAGTTCTTAGAACTAAATCCAAGAATCTTTGTGTTTCTCCTTCATGACTTGAAGTGGCTTCTTTTCTAATAAATTTAGTTCCGTGTCCTGAAACCAGGGTGGGTACAGCTTCTCTAAAATGGACGAAAAAATCAAGTCACATGACAGGGCCTGAAGAGGGAAATGATTTTTGCAACATAACCAAATTTAAATCCTGCTTTGGCTGTTGAAAACCAGAAGGAGAAGAGGTAAAGAAAAAGCAAACGCAAGTGGAGACAGTTTGAGTGCTGGGTTCTTCAGGTTTTCAATTTCTTTCTGCCCTGTTGGCTTTGACTTCATTCTCTTTCTTATTAGGTCTATTCAATGGAAGCAGAAATCTATGGGACACGCTGATATTAGCCAGGAAGCACCATTTGTTGAAAAATGAGGATGAGATAAAAGGGTTAGGTGCCTTTAGTTACTAAATTCCACGGTTGGCAAAAGCTATTCATCCGTCGGTGACAACCACAGCTGTCGTGGCCTCCCTACGGCCATGTTTTGTTGGACTCAGCCTTGAGATCCTGGTTTGTGACGTCCCACTCTCCATCGTATACACCTAAGCACTCTTCGATAGAACCCTGTGAGCTCCAGAACACACAAGAAAAGGCACCGAACAGAACTGTCCCAGAGCAGGCATTAGTTTTTCTTCTGCTACCTATCCAGACACTCAGACTAGGAACTCGGTGCCGTTTGCTGGGCTGTCGACACCATGGACAGCTCTTCAGGCGCCACCTGGTTGGCTCGGCGAGCCGACCGTCCCGAGCCCTTCCTCCTCTCCCGTCAGGCCCGTGGGGGCGGCGGGGTTGGTCCTGACGCCCAGCTTGGGGAGCAGCAATACGCAGCCCCCCAAGCTTTTCTCCGGAGTCCCTCCCCGGCGCTCACGCTCTGAAGAGCCCACGCAAAAGGACCAAGGAGGCCAGATCTTCCCTCTCCCTGCACCCCCGGCGGTGGGATCGCAGCTCTGCCTGGGGGCGGCCGCAGGAGGCAAAGGTAGCTGGAGACTGAGGCTGGGGCCGCCCGCGGGTGCCAGGCCCAGCCGGTCGGCGCAGAGTGGGCGTGGTCTCCCTCCTGATGCCCCGCCCCTTCCCTCGCGCGGGGCGGATCTTCCGCCCCCGGCCGCGGCGCAATGCGGAAGAGATGGGCCTGCTGGAGCGGAAGTGACGCTCCCGGCGGCTGTGGCGGCGGCTGCGGGAGAAGGAGGAGGAGGAGCCGGAGGAAGAGGTGAGCAAGCCGGCGGGGGGCGGGGAGCTGCTGCGGCCAGACCCACGGGCAGCCGGGCGGGCGGACGCCTCCAAGACCAGTCTCTGCCTCCGCAGCGTCAGCGGGAGCGGTGAGGGGCGACCGCGAGCAGCCGGGGTGCGGGAGGACGGGCGGGGTTGTGAGCAGACCACTGGTTGTGCGGGGTGCCGCGTCAGGCTGGGGGCTGTGGTGACAGCGGCTGTCAGCCCGCCCGCGGGAACGAACCGAATCCGCCTGGGCGCCGGGGTATCTCTTCTGGCGCATAAATGGAGGGTTTGGGCTGCTCGGCTCTTCCGTCTCTCCGAGAAGGAGCCGCTTTCCCGGGCAGTCGACTGCCCGGGACCCCCGAGGAGCCCCAGTCGGGTCGGTGCCCCGAGTCGTGACTCTTCCCGGGTGGCCATTCGTATTTATCGGCCCCGCCTGCCGTCCCCCCAGCCGGCGGTAGCCCGGGGCAGGAGAGGCGGCGGTAACCTGTGCCTTTTCCCTTGCCCTTCATCGCCACCCCCGGGAGAGCCTGTCGCGTGGGATAATCCTTTTCCTTCTCCTGCCCCCTAAGGAGCTTTGAACCAGCCTTGTCACCCTTCCCTCCCACCTCCGCTCCTTTCACCTCGAAGGAACTGCTTGAAGTTTCCAAATAGGTTCCCTTTCAACGTAGTGACAGATCTTGAAGCAGGAAGCTGATAAACAGCTCCGGACGAAATACGCTCAAAATTTTTCCTTTCAGTAAGCATAAATTAAACGGGAAACTCAACCAGACCGTTGATTGACTTACAGTGCTAAAACCTTGTCTTGCCTTGGTATGAGAATTGATAGCTTTTCCTCTTGCTTTTTGGTAAAATTAAGTGACGACTTATCTTTTGGAAAAAGCCATTTTCTCCCAGAGCTGTCTGTTTTTTCCCACCCCAACCCCCCATCAAAACCTGGCGGGGAGGGACTTTTGGATGCTTTGCAGTCCTTGCTGCAGAAGGAAACATCAGCTTCATTTGCTTTGCTTTGCTTGGTTTTCGCAGGGCTGCCTCCGAAGAAAGGAGAATGGCGTTCAGTAAAGGATTCCGGATCTATCACAAATTGGATCCCCCACCTTTCAGCCTCATAGTGGAAACTAGGCATAAGGAAGAATGTCTCATGTTCGAGTCTGGGGCTGTCGCTGTGCTCTGTAAGTCATCTGTTAGAGCCCAATTTGTCATGGTCTCTGTTTTGATTTGAAACAATTCAGATGCAACCATTTTTTAGAAAAGAGCCCGACAACCCTTTCACTGTATTTCCTCTAGCAGATTATGCTTGTATTTCCTTTTAATCAAACTTATTTTCCTGCAAACTTTTTGTTAACAGGTTTTTGTTGAGGGGGTGCAGGGAGATGCAGGTTTTGGTTGCAGGATTTTGCTTTCTTGGGTTCTGCTGCTGCTTCTAAAAGTAAATGTTTTTTCCAAAGAAATATTGTTTCAGTTTGTATCATGTATCACATAAACCCATACAGTGTCTTGCTTGACATATTTACTGGTAGGTCAGTTATAGTAGTAGGTATTATCTAATATTATCCAATATTGTTGGAGTATTTCTGTTATGGCCGTTGTGTTTTCATTAAGGGAATTGTAAACAACCTCTAGATTTTCATGTGAGATACATGATTGATTTTGTATTATTTTTAAAAGTATTTTGATAGTCTAATTTAAAGAAAAGGACTATTGTACCACAAGAAAAATAGATTAGTAATGTTTGAGTTATTTTAGGGGCAGATGGATGAAATTAAAATTAATTTGGATACTGGGTCTTTCTTAATGTAAGATATGCCAGGTGTGGGGGCTCACGCCTGTAGTCCCAGCACTTTGGGAGGCCAAGGGGGGCTGATCGCTTGAGGCGGGGAGTTTGAGACCAGTCTGGGCAGCGTGGTGAAACCCTTTCTGTACAAAAAATACAAAAAGTAGTTCGGCTCCGTCGTGTGCCCTTTAGTCCCCGCTACTTGGGAGGCTGAGGTGGGCGGATTGATTGAGTCTGGAAGGTCGAGACTGCAGTGAGCCTTGATCTCGCCACTGCGCTCCAGCTTGGGCAACACAGTGAGACCCTGTTTCAAAAATTAAAAAGAAAAAAAAGTATATGATTATATATACACATATATATGATTTAGGCAAATAATCCTAGTGTTGGGATTAGTTTAGTTACTGATTATATCTTTATAAATTAAAAATAGTGTTTGAAAGGCATACTTACAAATATAAGCCCTTAAATATCTTAAACTACTAAGCTTTCTCCAGCCTCAATAAATGAAGAGCATAAGACCTCACTCTTTGCATGTAGAATATTAATGTCAGTTAAAGTGTTAACTTGACTAAATAGTATAATTGCATCTTGATGGGGAAAAAGATAGTGACATAATGAAAAGTCTTAAGCAAAGAACAGTATATAAGAAATATATATTTGGTACATATATTTTTTGAATGAAGGAGAAGGGGCTCTAGGTCTTCCAAGAAATAAGTATAAATAATATTGGCTATACTCAATCAGTATGGACTTAATTGCTTCAAGTTGTTTTTTGTATTTAAACTATACCTTGGTACAGTATTAATTTCCATTGCATATATTTTTTACTACAAGTGGAATTCTTATACTGATGAATTCTGAATTAAAATATTGTGGGGGTTGGGTGGGGCGAATGTTTGTTTTTGTATGGGAAGCATTTTTCAGCTGCTTGTGTTTTTTGGTGACGTTACCTGACTTACTAATCTTGTATAAATTCTAAATGTTTCTTTAATTATGATTACTCATAATAGCAAGTCAAATGTTCAGCTACAAACTGTGTATTACTTATAGTTTTTAGAATTATTGCTACACTTTACTCCAAGGTTAGGAAACCTAAGAATAATAATATTTCCAAAACCTCCAGCAGCCGTCTTTTATGCCAAATAATGGTTTGTTTTTACCAAAAGGCCCTAAAACATTTATTTTGGCATTAATGTGCATTCTAAGGAGAAAGAATATTAAAATATTGTCTAAGCTATTCTATTTTCATTAGATTTAGACTATGTGAGCAATTCAGAAAAAAAATGTTGGAATATTGACTCTTTCTGTAAAGCTAACATAAATGGATGTCTAATCTCTTGGAATGTCATTATCTTTCCTACTATAAGCTTTACAGTAATACTTAACATATTAATATTTAAGAGCTAACAAACCTTCTTAAGTCATTTGACTTTTAAAATTAATTTGGCCTTCATTTTGGAGTGATACCAAGGTTTGTATTGTGCTGTACAGTGTTCACTTAAAATCTTCACACTTTAAAAATGCCTATTGTATTCAGAAGCTGTGCTTGGAAAATATCAATGTGTTCTCTTCATCTTCAATAATCCCAGCTCCCTGAATTTCAGTGCATTCTGCATATTCATCTACCTGAAGAATCTTCTAAAATCATGTTTTTTCTTTGTTTGTTTGCTTGTTTGTTTTTTGAGACAGGGTCTCACTCTGTTGCCCAGGCTGGAGTGCAGTGGCATGATCTCGGCTCACTGCAACCTCCACCTCCTGGGTTCAAGTGGTTCTCCTGCCTCGGCCTCCCAAGTAGCTGGAATTATAGGTGTGTGCCACCACGCCTTGCTAATTTTTGTATTTTTAGTAGAGACAGGGTTTCATCATGTTGGCCAGGCTGGTCTTGAACTCCTGACCTCAGGTGATTCGCCTGCCTCAGCCTCCCAAAGTGCTGGGATTACAGGCGTGAGCCACCGCGCCCAGCCCTAAAATCATTTTTTATATTAAAGCAAAGTGTAACCCTGTTTTTCACCAAGATTAAGTTTGTACTCCTCAACCTGTCATTTGTCCAGTGTTGATCTCCTTTAAGGAGATCTGGTGTTTCCTCAGTGCCTTCCCAAGCACCATGCTTTTTTCAGCTTCATCATACTGTTGCTTTTTACACCTTCTTCCTCCAAGACAGCTAGAGTGCTGCTTCTCTAATCTGAGCCTGTCAGTCCCACCGAGGTCCTACTCAGGTCTTCTTCCTTCATAAGACTCTGCCCCAACCACTCCAGCTCACCTTTATCTCTACCTTCTCTTCATTTCTCTAGAACTTACTCTGTATCACAAGGTGCATACTTCTTTTTTGCTTTTATTTTTTGAGACATGGTCTTGTTCTGTCACCCAGGCTGGAGTGCAGTGGCATGATCACAGCTCACTGTAATTGAACTCCCTGGAACTCCCGGGCTCAATTGATCCTCCTGCCTCAGCCTCCTGAGTAGCTGGGACTACAGGCGCACACGACTATGCCCAGATAATTTTTTTCGTATTTTTTTGTAGATAGGGGGCTTCCTCATGTTGCCCTGCTGATCTCAGACTCCTGGGTTCATGGTTTCCACCTGCCTCAGGCTCCCAAAGTATTGGGATTACAGGCGTGAGCCACTGCTCGCAGCCAAGACGCATACTTCTTATGTGCTGGTTTTGTTGTTGTCTAAATGCTCATATGTAGGTGTTTTTCTTGGAAAGGGGTGGTGGAAGTGACCTTAGCAGGACTTGGTCTTTATGTACACAAAGTTCCTAATTTCAAGTCTCTACTTGCCCTGGCTTTACTTTAAAAAGTAAATTTTAAACAGACATTTTAGTCAGCATACAGTGTTGAGGATTAGCAATCACTTAATTTTCTTGGCCTTTGCTGAAGTGCCATGAGATACCCAACATGAAATTTTGTCTTTCATACTATTAGCACATACCAAAAGATTGCAAGTAAAAATACAATGAAAATAGTCTCATACAATGGATCCCCTTAGGGACCCACGTGTTCACTAATGCAGCCTCAAGACTCTGTCTTTATGTCGATAGGATTCTAAGCTTAAATCAGTCATGATGTTATGACATTATCAGTGTTACAGTCACCTGGGCAGCTTTTACAAATACTACTGTCTGGGCTCTAGCCCCCTGGATATTCTGATATAATTAGATTGTGATGCTCATTTCTGAGCAAAGTGTATTTAGGCCTTTCTATGATAGATTAGGGGATTGCTTTTTTTTGGCTTGCAGATTTTATCCAAAATAACCATGTTTCCAGAATTTTGGTGCTGTTGTCTTTTATGGGGCTACTAAGTAGTTTTCTTGAAACTGTCAGGCTGAACCAAGTGCTAATACTCTTGTAGCACTTTGAGTATAGTGCCTTCATATCATATGGAATTCTGCTCAGGTTCTGTGTCTGGATGCCGCACTCCTTGAGGAAAAGGCCTGTGTGTCTTAGTAATATTTGCAGTCTTAGTGCTTAGTGTAGTGTTTTACTCATACTTGAAGAAAATGTGATTATTAAATGAATGACAGCAAGGGAAAGACTAACCTAGATTACAAAGTTGATAAACATGCAGTTATTATGTTTGAAAATAAGAGATATTTTTCCGTAAATTTTTGTTGTTGTTTTTTGAGCAGAGTCTTGTTCTGTCACTGAGGCTGGAGTGCAGTGGTATGATCTCCGTGCACTGCAACCTCCGCCTCCTGGGTTCAAGTGATTCTCGTGCCTCAGCTTCCTGAGTAGCTGGGACTACAGGCGCACACCAACATGCCCAGCTAATTTTTGTATTTTTAGTAGAGATGGGGCTTCACCATGTTGGCCAGGCTGATCTGAACTCGTGAACTCAAGTGATCCACCTGCCTTGGCCTCCCAAAGTGCTGGGATTATAGGCGTGAGCCACCAAGCCCAGCCCTATAAAACTTATTTCATATACATACATGCATACATTATATATATATATATATATATATATATTTTTTTTTTTTTTTTTCTTTGAGATGGAGTTTCATTCTTGTTGCCCAGGCTAGAGTGCAATGGCACGATCTCGGCTCACTGCAACCTCCCCTTCCCAAGTTCAAGTGATTTTCCCGCATCAGCCTCCCAAGTAGCTGGGATTACAGGCATGCGCCATCATACCTAGCTAATTTTGTATTTTTAGTAGAGACAGGGTTTCTCCATGTTGGTCAGGCTGGTCTTGAACTCCCGACCTCAGGTGATCCGCCCGCCTTGGCCTCCCAAAGTGCTGGGATTACAGGCATAAGTCACTGCACCTGGCCTATTTCCTATGTTTTTGAGAATTGTTATCTGACTGAACTGCTGATATAAAAGATGTATATTACACATTATTTAGATTTGTTATTGACAAATCCTATTGGAAATAACTGTTAACCACATTATTAAGGTTCTTCTGAAATGCCAATTTGAAATGTCTATGATAAATGTTACTTATTATTTCTATAAGTACTATTAATTTGTTTCAAAATTACTTTTTTTTTTTTTCCAAGATGGAGTCTTGCTCTGTCACCCAAGTTGGAGTGCAGTGGTGCAATCTTGACTCACTACAGCCTCCGCCTCCTGGGTTCAAGGAGTTCTCCTGCCTCAGCCTCCTGAGTAGCTGGGACCACAGGCGCCCCCCACCACACCTAGCTAATTTTTCCTTATTTTTAGTAGAGACAGGGTTTCACCATGTTGGCCAGGCTGGTCTCAAACTCCTGACCTTGTGATCCACCCACCTCAGCTTCCCAAAGTGCTGAGATTATAGGCGTGAGCCACCACGCCTGGCCTTCAAAATTACCTGTTTAAAATAGAAAATAATTTCATTATTATTTCTTCTGTTGCATTGATTTATTTAAAACACTTTCTAAAAAGTTCTTACCCTTAGATAACAGTTAATATGTTTTTTAGGAGTGTACCCATTTTTAGCATTACTCAGTTTTGAAAAGTATTTGTACAGCAAGTGTTTGATTAAATTGCAATTTGATGTCTTTGGAATAGTGGTTCAGTGTAGCAGGTGAGCTCTGTGACTAGTTTGCTGCATCTACCAGTTTAAGCAGCTTGTGTGATGGTTAGCAAGTTATAAACAGGTACATATTTTTTTCCTGGAAACAATTTATTAAGAGATAAAAGATGTCTCTCAGCTTTGTGTACAATTCATTGTTCTTAGTCTTTCTCCAGTTTACACACACATACACAAAGACTGTCACAGGAGAAGGACAAGCTGTCAGTCTGACATACATGCATTAAATTCACAATCTCAATATTTTACAGCCCATCTCAGGCTTCAATAAAGTGAATGATTCATTTCATAATTATATCCTAAATAGAAGATGGAGTAAAGAAAAGGTCAACATATGGGAAATGGAGGATAACTCTAAAAACAGAAGTTATGGACCTCTACGTAAAAGATGGGGAGGTGAGGTGGCGCCATGGATTCCTAACTCTTAAAATTAAAGCTTTTGCTCTTTTCCATATTACATGCTAGCATGGGAGTAAGGATGAATTGCTTTTATCTGTCTAGTGGTAAGATTACTTTCAGGCTTTTCAAGTAGCATAATTTGAGTCAGATTAGGACTCAAATCATGCATTTTATAAATAGCAAGGCCATATCACTGCACCTGGTTTTCCTCCAAGTTGTCCTTATGAGATTCTTTGTCTACCTAATTTTTTCTTACAACATAAGTCATAATACTATATATAATACTCAATATAAGTCATAATACTATAGGATGATATTCTGAGATCTTTATTACAGAATATGAAATATCCTCTCTTTTCTATAAAACTGCGTAAAGGACTAATCGTAGTGAAATGATAATGGCTACCACTTACTGGAAGCTTATTCTGCCAGTCACAACATTAAGCCAGAGGTTTTTAAACTTCATTGTTTTATGGTGACCTTATTATCTCATTAAGTTGTTTTTGTTTTTGTTTTTGTTTTTGAGAGGGAGAGTTTCGCTCTTGTTGCCCAAGCTGGAGTGCAATGGTGCGATCTCGGCTCACTGCAACCTCTGCCTCCCGGGTTCAAGCAGTTCTCCTGCCTCAGCCTCCCAAGTAGCTGGGATTACAGGCATGTGGCACCACGCCCAGCTAATTTTGTATTTTTAGTAGAGACGGGGTTTCTCCATGTTGGTCAGGCTGGTCTTGAGCTCCTGACCTCAGGTGATCTGCCCACCTCGGCCTTCCAAAGTCCTGGGATTACAGGTGTGAGCCACTGTGCCTGGCCTCGTTAAGTTTTTCACAACACCCCTAGGCCACAAACAATACTTAATAGTTCTGTTTATTAAATAGTTAGGTCCAAAAAATATTTGTGTCCCAACAGCTTTTGTAGCTGTTCAAAAAAAAAAATGCAGAAAAAATAGAACATTTATTTTCTTCATAAGTAACCACAATTTACTAATGAGATGTGTGTGCTTGTTGAGCACTGAGCACTAAATAGCTTTTCTTTTTCTTTCTTTTTTTTTTTTTTTAAGATGGAGTTTTACTCTTGTCACCCAGGTTGGAGTGCAATGGCACGGTCTCGGCTCACTGCAACCTCTGCCTACGGGTTCAAGCAATTCTCCTGCCTCAGCCTCTCAAGTAGCTGGGATTGCAGGCACCCGCTACCACACCTGGCTAATGTTTGTATTTTTAGTAGAGACGGGGTTTCACCATGTTGGCCAGGCTGGTCTCGAACTCCTGACCTCAGGTGATCTGCCCACCATGGCCTTCCAAAGTGCTGGGATTACGGGCGTGAGCCACTGCTCCCAGCCTGCATAGCTTTTCAAACCTTGGAACAGAGTACACTGCCGTCCTCATTTCCTGTTCCACATTGATTTTCAAGTGACACTTGCTTTTATCACAGCAACCAGCAAAAACCCGGTTTCACTAATATATATCATCCAAGGAATGCACTGCAATCTAATATGACAACTCAAGCACCTCAGGTTAATAGTTTGGCTGGTTTCCAGCATGTGTTGAGAATCTCAGTGTTTCCTTCTGTTTAAAATATGCAGCTTCCCTGGGAGTTTGCTGTAGTGCCGTGGGGCATCTGAGCACACAGTTCAGGAGATGTGGCATTTGACACACTTTATTTCATTCAGTTCAGATTGTGCTTTTATCCACATTTCAGAGATTTGGAAACTGAGGATTGGAAAGATAACTGCCCCAATGACATAGTCCTACCATTTAATTTTTTTTTACTGTAATTATTGTTTGTGCTGTTGTGAGGCTATTGTATTACCATATATTGTGTGGCTATTATTTTCAGGGGTGGGGAATGAAGTGTAAAAATAAGGGAAGGCGTTAAGGTTAAGAGTGTAATTGGTAGCATTTTCTAATGAGGGAACTGTACACTTGTGTTTTTCCCTACAAACTATTAACATATTAATATATTAGAGGAGAAAGTATGGTTTAATTTACAGTAAAGTCATTAAAAACAAAGTTTCTTTCCTGGGCCAAGTTAAATGTCAGGTTCTAGACTTTTGGATAAATATAGTAGGTGGTAATGCCAAACAGTGTGTGTAGTTTGTTTTTTTTTTTTAATTGCCAAACGCTGTCAACATGATTGCCCTTTAGATAAGTTGCAGTGTCCTGTCTCTTTTAAAGAAAAATTTGCAAGTTGAGGGAAGAAGTGACTTTTTATAGTTGACTTTTTCAGCAGAGAAATCATGAAATTTAGACTTGTTATATATCACTTTATGTTAGGGTTGCAAAAATTCATTTTCTTTTTATAAATACCTTTGGAAGGTGCATATTTATTTTCTTTCTTTTTTTATGTGCCCCTGTAGTCTGAGGAATGTACGTATTTAATAGAAAGTAACTTAAATGTCAACTCTTTAAAAAGAAAATCAACCAAACTTTTTTATTCTGGGTTGGTAGTAGGATTGACCTAGGGTCAAACCAGTAGTTAGTTCTTAAGTGCTTTCATTTCTTCACCACTTAACTTTGCTATGAGGAAATAAAAAGGAAAGGCAGAACTTCCACTCTCACTGAATAGTAAAAACTCTGTGGCTTTTTATTACATCATCTCAGGTCTATCAGATGTTCTAACTTGTCCTATAAAATATACGTAACTCAGGACTATAACGGGAGCTTCTGACCATAGTGGAGTAACAGGAACTAGATTTACCCTCCTACCTTAAGTAACAACAACAAAATGAACAAAATACATGGAATGATTTGCAGACCTTGAACAAAAGGCAGCACAAGATGCTGACCCCTGAGAGAAGGGAAACAAATGAGGTGGGTTTTATGAATGCTCCAGCTTACTGCCTGGAGAGCTTCCAGGCCACAGCAGCAGAAGAGTCACTCAAGCAAAGCTTGACAGGATTCCTGAGTAGGGAATATGGGGAGGCCAAGGCAGCCAGAATCTCAGGGCTGTGTACTAGAGATGAGACAGTTGCACAAAGAGCTCCAGAGATCTGTAGAGGACTCCGTTTGAGACTTCAGCTCAGTGTTGATCGGTGCCAGTGTGTAAGGAAACCATTTGAGGCAGGGAAAGAATCACCAAAAAGGAGTAGGCAGAAAAATTTCTGGAGCTCACACAGGGCTGGGAATAGTTCATGTTTAACAACTAGAGTGGAGAAGTCCTGCATGGAGAATTAGGTTGAGTACTGCAAAGGGTATACTGCTTCAGTAAAGGGGCAAAGTAGTCCTAGACTAAATTCCACTCCAGCCCTCCCTAACAAAGCTTAAAAGCAAGACCCAAAGGGATGCCACTGTTTCCAAGTAACCGAACTTCCAAATAACTGTATCCCAGAACGAAGTTTAAGAATATTTATAGGAATATAGGAAAATATACCTCATAAGGAGCAAAGTCAAATGTAGAAACAGATGCTGTAATAGACAAGGACATTAAAACAGCTATTGTAAATATACTCCATATGTTCAACAAGTAGAGGAAAAAATGAACCTGTTAAGACGAGATATGAAAAATGTGAAAGAGGCCAGGCACGGTGGCTTACACTGTTAATCCCAGCACTTTGGGAGGCCGAGGTGGGCGGATCACCTGAGGTCAGGTGTTCAAGACCAGCCTGGCCAACATGGTGAAATCCCATCTCTACTAAAAATACAAAATTAGCCGGGCGTGGTGGCAGGCACCTGTAATCCCAGCTACTCGAGAGGCTGAGGCAGGAGAATTACTTGAACCCAGGAGTTGGAGGTTGCAGTGAGCCAAGAGCATGCCATTGCATTCCAGTCTGGGCAACAGAGCAAGACTCCGTCTCTAAAAAAAAAAAAAGTGAAAGACCCAAATTAGACTTCTAGATGTGGTAGGGATTACTATATTAGACATTGTAGAAGAAATGATTGGCAAACTTGAAGACATAGTAATAGAAACTGTCCAAAATAAAATACAGAGAGAAAAAAGGCTAAAATAAATAAATACACAGAGCATCAGTGAACTGCAGGACGACTTCCGGTGACCCAATATACATGAATATGTGGATCCCAGAAAGAAGTTGGTAGGGAAGAAAAACACTTGAAGAAATAATAGCTGGCACTTTTGCAAATTTCATGAAAGCTATGAATCCACATATCCAAGAAGCTAAATGAACATAAAGCAGAACACTATACCCAAATACATGATCAAGTTACTGTTTACCAGTGATACAGAGAAGATCTTAAAAGTAGCCCAAGGAAGAAAAGACACACATTTACAGAAGAGTGAAGATAAGAATGATAGTAGACTTTTCTTTGCAAGCAATCCAAGCCAGAGGACATTGGGAACATCTTTAAAGTACTGGAAGGAAGAAACCAAACCAAACCATTCACCTAGAGTTTTGTACCCAACCACAAATGAAGATGTAAAGACTTTTCAGACATTCGAAGGTTGAAAAAATATGAGCTAATTATAATGACTAGCAGTTTAATATTGTAGTATTACCTTTCTTAGTATCCAATACCAACATTTTCAAAACTTTTGAGATTATAAAGTCTGAATCAGTGAAATTTTGAAAGAAGCATACAAAGTGAAAGAAGCAATAAAGAGTGGAATGGGCTAGTGCAATTGTTTAGCCTTGTTAGAGTATCAAAAGGAAGTATAGTTTTAAAAATTGTGCATGATTTTTACTGGTGACAATTAAAATTTGCTTTGAGTGTTTTAATGGTTGTTAATAAGAATTTGTATTTTATCTTTTTCCAGCTTAAATAGAGTTTATAAATATAAGCCATTGCTGATCAGTAGTGTTACGTATGTGAGCACATGCATTCACATTGGGTTGCATTTCATAGCTACTGAACCAAATGATGAATGATTTGGCACTTGGAGAAAATAAATTTGGCATTTGGAGAGATATATAAATTCTTCTTGGTTGGATACTCATTACTTCCTCAGTTCAGAATGAAAAAATTTTAGACCCTTGAAATTCCTGGATAATTCTGGGCCAACTGAGTCAGTGAAAAGAAAAAAATTAAAAAAAAACTTTATTGTCTCAAAACATTAAATATTTCTATATGTTAAATGTACTTATTAAAATTTTGTGTTTCTATTTCATTATAGTCTTATTTAACTTTTTATATATAAAGGTGTGTTTACTTATATAACTAGCTCTTAGCAATAAATATTTATTATGAGTTATGTTTCATTCTGTTCACTAGTGGACCATAGGATTGCTGTAATCTCTTGAATGTGTTGCTGAAATATAGATAAACAAAATCATTTAATATCCTGTGGACCATGTGTGAACTATAAGTAGAATGAATCTTCTTTTTTCAATTTTTTTTTTTTTTGAGACAGAGTCTCACTTTGTTGCCCAGGCTGGAGTGCAGTGGCATGATCTTGGCTCACTGTAACCTCAGCCTCCTGGGTTCAGGTGATTCTCCTGCCTCAGCATCCCGAGTAGCTGAAATTATGGGTGTGCACCACCATGCCCAGCTGATTTTTGTATCTCTTTATTAGAGACAGGTTTCACCTTACTGGCCAGGCTGGTCTCGAACTCCTGACATCAAGTGATCCACCTGCCTCAGCTCCCCAAAATGCTGGGGTTACAGGCGTGAGCCACCGTGCCCGGCCTCTTTTTGTTTTTATTTTTAAATTCCAGAATCTTATAATTAAATAAATTTCTAGCTGGTTGTACCTTAGTGCTCATTAGTTGTCTTTCCTTGGTTAGCATTGGGAATATATCTTTGGCCTATCTTGTTCCCAGTTTTATCAATTCTCTTAGAGAATGGAGTAGAAAGTACAGTTTTCAGATTTTTAGTTGTGGCAAAGTGACGTAGGATTGATGAGAGCTGGGTTGAATAATTATGTTGGATGACACAATTG